>NC_000003.12:160069210-160372240 GCF_000001405.40 Homo sapiens
GGAATTTGGCTCAGGGCTGGTGCCAGTTTCTTTCCGCATTTTGGGTAACAATCCAAACATCTTGCTTAGTGCCTGGGAATATTCACGGCCCCAGCTTGGGTTCAAGCCTGCGAGAGAAATGCAGCTGCCCAGCTCACAGAGCAGTCAAAGCACCTGGTGTTTCTTGGTCAGGACGGGAGAGAAAGTGGGAGAACTGGGGGTCGTCACAGCTCCTCTTGCCGGGTTCTTGGTGGTGAAGTCACAGAGGAAGGACTAGGGGGTGTGGGCAGGAGCCGGCCACCAGAGCCAGGTTTTTGTCTGCTCACATCTCTGCCAGTCCAGCGGTAGAGGTTTTCCTTTGCATTTCTCTCGGTATGAATGGGATAGAATGCAGTGGCTTATGTTTTTACAGCTTTGGGTCTTTTGTGTATTTTCTCAGGAGGTGTTTGTGCTTTAATTGACTTAACAGTTCTTATCCAAAGCATGGTCTGACTGCCCATTTGGGTAAAGTTTTTCTTTTGTTTTAAAAATAATGATATTCAGGAAAGTTTTAACATTTTATAAATGTTGACCTTGCATATAAGTTTATAGGTTATTATATATATATTTGAAGTGCTGTTATCAGTGAGTTTTTCCCCACTGTATTTTTGCATTTGTTATTACTGCTTTTATAGGTATTTGCCTATTTTTCCCAAGGATTCTTATGACTGAAAAAACCTGAATGTGAATGATCACATACTATAGAATGCACAGCTATTAAGTATAGAGCTCAGTGATTTTTAAAAACCTTGCACACTTGTGTCACTACCACCCAGGAGACACTACAAGCCATACAAGATCCTCCTGGGCAATGCCCTCCCTCTGGGGGGTTCGTTTCTCATGCTCAATGTCAAGCCTATGAAAAGTCAACTATGCTTCCAACAGCAATACTTTGTTTCCTGAATGTACCTCCTTGATCTGTTCTTCCACTGTTAAAGGAGTTTGATTACTTCCCGTTTTTGGCAGTGATGACAAACTAGTTTTGAGCATCTTGCCACAGGCTTTGGTGTACATCTGTGTGTGCTCCTGTTGAGTATTTAAACAGGGTGGCAGAGCTGGGTGGTAGGGCAGTTGGTGAGCCCCTTGGGGTCTCCCTCTCATGCCCAGCAGTTTTCCAGAGCACACAGCCCGTGGGAGCCTTCTCCTCTTGGTTACCAGCATGTGATGTCACTGTACAACAGCCTTTAGCCATTTTGTTTGGTGTGTGTTGGTTAGCATTGGGGTTTCAATTTGTGTTGCATGGTGATTAAGCATGTTGAGCACTTTTTCTTGTGCTTGCTGGCTTTCAAATGACCTTTATCATCAGACGCCTGTTAGAATCTCTTGTCCACTGAAAAGAGTGGGTTGTTTGGCTGGGCGCGGTGGCTCACGCCCGTAATCCCAGCACTTTGGGAAGCCGAGATGGGATGACAGCTTGAGGCCAAGAGTTCATGACCAGCCTGGGCAAAAGATCCCATCTCTTAAAAAAGCAAGGGGCTATTTGTCTTTGTGTGGTGATTTGTAGGGCTTCTTTGTCTATTTTGGACATACACCTAGCTCATGTCTATGTATTGCAAGTATGTCGTCCCTGTCTTTGACTTGCTTTTTAAAAATTTGTAAGGGTTTCTTTTGATGAAGAGGTTATTGATTGATTGTTCTGCCTATTTCTATTGGAATATTGCTTCTGCGCTAGTCTCTTTTTCCTTCTTCCACTCAAATTACACATTTGTTAGGGCTTTTTACATCATTTTATGTGCCTTAGTTTTTTTTGTTTGTTTCCCTGTTTGTTTGTTTGTTTTTTTCTGGAGACAGAGTCTTGCTCTGCTGCCGAAGCTGGAATGCAGCTGAATGATGTCAGCTCACTACAACCTCTGCCTCCCGGGTTCAAGCAATTCTCCTGCCTCAGCCTCCCGAGTAGCTGGATAACAGGTGCCTGCCACCACGCCTGACTAATTTTGGTACTTTATAGTAGAGACAGGGTTTCACCATGTTGGCCAGGCTGGTCTTGAACTCCTTATCGCATGTGATCTGCCCACCTTCGCCTCCTAAAGTGCTGGAATTACAGGTGTGAGCCACTGTGCCTGGCCTAAAAAATTATTTTTACAGAGACTGCATCTCATTCTGTTGCCTAGGCTGATCTTGAACTCCTGAAACCTGGATATTTTCTCTAGCTTTGTCTTATGTACAGCAGGTCCTCAAATCACTTCATTTTGTTATAACACTGATGAGAAAACACCTCAGCTGTCAACCAGGGCCACGGCCGCTGTCTAGGTCTTGTTTGCATGTTCTCCTCTTGTCTGCGAGTTTTCTTTTGGTACTCAGGTTTCCTCCCACATCCTAAGCTGCACCCCTGAGGTGAATTGGTGGGTCTCTAGTCGCAGTCTCAGTGAGTGAGGGTGGGCATATGTGAGAGCTCCCTGCTATGGGATGGCGTCTTGGCCGGGGTCGGTTTGCGCCTTGTGCCATGAGCCACTGGGATAGGCTCCGGCTACCTGAGACCCTGAAGTGCAATAAGCAGGTTGGAAAACGAATAAATACAAATTATCATCAAATAAAAATTCCTAAAACATAAGATAATTACACAAATGCATGACAATAAACAATGTCATCTGAAAGCATCCAGTCACCATATTTGTGATCGTAACTGCGTGGTGTGGTAGGAGGTGCTCCCTCCAATTGTGGCTTTGCAAACATTTATTTTATTTATTTTTTTATTTTATTTTATTTTATTTTATTTATTTTATTTTATATTTTATTTTATTTTATTTTATTTTTATTTTATTTTATTTTATTTTATTTTATTTTATATTTTATTTTATTTTATTTTATTTATTTTATTTTATTTTATTTTATTTATTTTATTTTATTTTATTTTATATTTTATTTTATTTTTATTTTATTTTATTTTATTTTATTTTATATTTTATTTTATTTTATATGTTATGTTATGTTATGTTATGTTATGTTATGTTATGTTATTTATTTTATTTTTGAGATGGAGTCTCTCTTTGTTGCCCAGGCTGGACTGCAGTGGCGCAATCTCGGCTCACTGCAGCCTCTGCCTCCCGGGTTCAAGCAATTCTTCTGTCTCAGCCTCCCAAGTAGCTGTGACTACAGGCACGTTCCACCACACCTGGCTAATTTTTGTATTTTCAGTACAGATGGAATTTCATCATATTCGCCAGGCTGGTCTCAAACTCCTGACCTCAGGTGGTCCACCCAGCTCGGCCTCCCAAAGTGCTGGGACTACAGGTGTGAGCCACCACACCCAGCCTATTCTTGATTTAACCTATCACCACTATAATCACCATCATGCACTCATTCACCAAAAATTTGGTAATTGCCTTGTTTTTATTAACCTTCAGTGGATATATAGCTCATATTTATTCTAATGTATAATGTTAGGAAGGTTTTTAATCTTTCTTTAGAAGTTTGGTGACGTTTTTGTGACCAGAAATATGCTGGAGGAATTTAGCTCTGGTTTATATTAATTAACCTATGGTAAGATTCCTTTTATTTGTAGGTTTGCTTAAAGACACAGTTTCTATTAAGTGAGGATTTACTGTACAGTTAATGTACTTTTTTTTTGCTCTGGAACTTCCTTTTGATGTCTTTTATGGCTTTTAGTTCCTTTGCTGAAATTCTCAACCTTGAGCTTTAATAGCTTGGACATATTATAGATTTTTTAGGGTTTACTCCTGGCGATTTCATTATCCTGATCCCTGTGTGTCTGTTTTTGTGGCTGTGCTTTTTGGTCATGACTTTTCCTTCCTGTCTGCTTGGGTATCTTTTCATTGTGTGTTGGATATTTTATTTTATTTCATTTTTTTGAGACAGAGTCTCGCTCTGTCGCCCAGGCGGGAGTGCAGTGGCACGATCTTGGCTCACTGCAACCTCCGCCTCCTGGGTTCAAGCGATTCTTCTGCCTCAGACTCCCGAGTAGCTGGGATTAGAGGTGCCTGCCACCACACTGGCTAATTTTTGTATTTTTAGTAGAGACGGGGTTTCGCCATGTTGGCCAGGCTAGTCTCAAACTCCTGACTTCAAATTATCTGCCTGCCTTGGCCTCCCAAAGTGCTGGGATTACAGGTGTGAGCCACTGCACCCGGCCCTAAATCTGTTTCTCAGCTCCTTAAAATCACACCCATCATTTGTGGTATTGATTAAAAGTGCAGGTATTATGCATTTTAATTTGCAGTATTAGTGTTTCCTGCTTTATAACATGGGATATGTTTCTTCCAGTCATTAAATGTATCCCTCAGTGAAGTCAGGTAGCTTTCTTCTTGGCTCTGCATACTTTTTTAATATTACAATTATTCCTGGGTAATTTGTGTTTGGATGGCTATTGTGAAAAGGATTTAATTTTTTATTTTTTCTACCATGTTATTGGTCATGTACAGGAAAGCCATTGATATAATATTTTTTCTATTGATGTTCATGGAGGCAAAGAGTGATGAATTTGTATGTGTCTTTCTGTTATCTTGTGGAACTGGTGCAGCTGTCATCAGGTGGCTTCAGCATTCCTGCCTGTCTCATGCTTTTGACCTTTGACTAGTTAATCATGATGCTGGTTATGGAGCTGAGATGTATGTGTGGGTAAAAACTTGGTCAGAGTGGGCCCTAACCTTATCATATGCGTTTCTGAGGCAGTGTGGCCAGTAATATGTGCAGATTGCTAATGTGTCCATGTATGGCTTTGTCTCCAGTTCCTCATTAGTAGATGTTTTCAGTGTGCCTGGTAATAAATATCTACAAATTAGATTGGTTGTAATGTTCTTGTTCTGTGGCCTCATTTTCAGATTTTTCTGTCATTAATTATACTTACTAAAACCTCTTCTCTTCCATACTGTTATTTGGCCCTCATCTTGGTGTTTTCTTACTTCTGTGCTGGAACATCATCTGCATTTCAGTTAGGAAGCCACTGCCTGGGGCCAGATCCCGCCCACCACCTGTTGTTATCAGTAGTTTTTTATTGGAACATTGTCTTATTAGAACTCAACCATGATGATTTGTTTACGATCATCTTTGGATGCTTTCTTGTCACAGTGGCATAGATAAGAACTTGTGATGAGGACCCGAGGGTCCTCAAGCCTGAATTATTTATGAGACAGCCCTTTAAGAAGTTTTCGACTCACTGCTTGTATCTCCGTGACCCCTCCCAGGCCTGTTCCATCCAGACTGCAAGGCACTTGCTTCTGCACTTTTCTTACCTGGCAAAATTCCTGCCCTTACAGAGTTTATACTTCAGTTGGGGAATAATAGGCAATAAAGAATAAGGAAAGTGTACAGTAAATTACAAAGTGCGAGAAGAGTCAAGCCGGGAGGGGTGAACAGAAGTGGGAGGCTTGCACAGGCCACACTGAGGTTGTGGGTTTGTGCCCAGTGTGGCTGCTCTTCCACCTGTGTGCTGACCCCACATTCCTTCCACACAGGGACCTTCCAGAGTAACTGGACTGTCTTCACACCTCCTTTCATCAGTGCCTTCCTTGGGGTCCTATGGATCTCCAGAGGAAGAGTCTCCTGGGCTGAGCACACGGGTGCAGTCACCACAGGGCCCTGTGGCCAGGGTGTTGAGTGTCTGGGAGGGGAAGCTGTGGGGGCAGTAGTGGGAGGCAGGGTGGGCGGGGCACCATCTCCTTTCTGCACAGTCTCTTTCTTGCTTAGGAGTTTGCACCTGTTGTGTGGACAATGAGTGCAACTTCAGGGTTATGAGAATTGTGGTCACTTGTGCATTTTTTTAAAAAGATGGCAGTAATAGGACCCCCTTCCAGGGTTGCGACTGAGTTTAAGTCAGTGGCATTTGTAAAGCCTGGCACTCAGTGAGCACTAGAAAGATGTGCTAAATGAAGCAAAGTCATCATATTCAAATTTGTAGTTTTCGGCCAGGCGCGGTGGCTTATGCCTGTAATCCCAGCACTTTGGAGGCTGAGGTGGGTGGATCACCTGAGGTCAGAAGTTCGAGACCAGCCTGGTCAACATGACAAAACCCCATCTCTATAAAAATACAAAAAAATTAGCCGGGTGTGGTGGCAGATGCCTGTAATCCCAGCTACTTGGGAGGCTGAGGCAGGAGAATCGCTTGAACCCAGGAAGCGGAGGTTGCAGTGAGCCGAGGTCACACCATTGTACTCCAGCCTGGGCAACAAGAGTGAAACTCCACCTCAAAAAGAGAAAAGAAAAAAAAACAAATGTTTAGTTCTCATATTTAATTGCTTTGGCTTTTTCCAGCAGTGATGTTTTTTGGGAACACGTGTTTTACTTTTATTGCCGCTACTAATGATATAGTTTAATAAAAGATAGAAGAGAATACTTAACTTTTATTTCCAGTAACTACAAACACAAATGGTTGAGCATGGTTTTTCTAAGCTAAATTAAGGATAGTTATAGCTGACTACATTTGCCATCAGTTTATACACTGATTTTTTTGACAGCTTGACTTCTTGGTAGGTTTGCATCTTGAGTATAAATTCTTCATAGGAAAATAAGTCCAGAGCACTTATCTTTAAAATAATAGTAATTTCAGCAACATATTTAAAAAATATAACAATTTGTGTTTTGATGCTCATTATCAAGTTCTTGTAGGTGATGGCCTATGTGCTACAAAATGTTAGGAAGAAAGACTCCTGTGAATGGCATGTTTCAGGTGGTGTAACAAATAACTTTTTCAAGTCCATCTTTGTGGTTGTATGATTGACTAAACATTAACCTGTAAGACTAACTTAATATTAAATCATAATGAGCCTATAATTGGATGTATATTCTTGTATTGATAATGGTGTTCATCGATTAAGCTGTTGGATGACCTTGGACCATTTTAATGTCTAAAGTGACAGTAGAGAACCAGACTCACATAGGATAGGACATGGGAGGTTACAAACCAGGGCCTCGGATTCCGTGAGACTCACACAAGATTGTCAGGAGTGTGGTAGAGGCAATTTTTTGCTGTGTAAATAGGTATTATAGTTTTTTTGCTTGTATTTTTTTTGTTGTTGTTATTTTTATTGTGTTTATTTTTCCGAATATATTTGATCCAAGGTTGTTTGAATCCCAGGTTGCAGAGGACCTACTCTACTAGAAACTGATTTCTTTGAGCAACAACAGTGTGTGAGGGTGCTGCATCCTCGGGCATTGTCTCTCTGTGATGGGGCCCAACTTGCTGGAGTTCCACTGGGGCAAGACCCAGCACTAGGCAGTGAACAGATCCCGTTTCTGAGGTATTTCTGCTGCCACCGGGATGAGGAGCAGGCTCAGCTCCACCCATATCCACCAGTGTGTAAACCCAATTTCCTACCAAAGGCAGGGAACGCCACCACCTCCTACTTGCAGTCCCTGACCCTGTGCAGTTTACACAGTGTCCCTTCATTCCTAAGTTGTCATGGTGAAGAAAGAAGTCAGTAGCAAAATGACCCTCTTATGGAGTTATGAAATGGGGTTGTCATGGAGAACAGTGATCTGCAGGGGACCTGGGGGCCAGCGTGGCCTTGACACTGATCAAGTGAGAAGGCAGCCATCCTTTGACAGGTACTGTTTGTCCAGTGTGCAGGTTAGTCCCAGTGACTCCAGTAGACCATGACGGTGATAGTGCAAGAGAGGCGCTAACTTGAAATAGTGGCCTTACATGTGCTGCACTAAGAGCTTCACAGATACCCACCCAGACCAATGTTCAGAGACAGGGAGCATACCCATGAGAAGTAGGGGAAGCTGAAGATGAGGAGCTGATCCCCTCACACTGTACAGTAAGTAGTCCCCTCTCATCCTCTGAGATGTGTTCCAAGACCCCGGAGCATGCCTGAAACCACAGCTAATGCTGACCTCTAGATATACTGCTCTTTTTCTGTACATACATACCTATGTTAAAGGTTAATTATGAAATTAAGCACAGTGACAGATCAACAAGAGTAAAGTAGAACAATTAGGACAATATGTCTATCACTACTCATTTGCTTTGGAACATTATTTATTTATTTATGAGGCAGGATCTCATTCTGTCTCTCAGGCTGCAATGCAGTGGCATACTCATGGCTCAATGCAGCCTTGATCTCCAAGCTCAAGCAGTACTCCCACCTGAGCCTCCAAGGTAGCTGGGGCCACAGGCATGCACCACCATGCCTGGGTAATTTTTTTTTTTTTTAAGGCAGAGTCTCACTCTGTGAGAGTCTCAGCCTGTGCCAGGCTAGAGTGCAGTGGCATGATCTTGGCTCACTGCAACCTCTGCCCCTGCCTCCTGGGTTCAAGCGATTCTCCTGCCTCAGCCTCCTGAGTAGCTGGGACTACAGGCATGCGCCACCACACTGGCTAATTTTTGTGTTTTTTAGTAGAGATGGGGTTTCACCATGTTGGCCAGGCTGGTCTTGAACCCCTGACCTTGTGATCTTCCCACTTCAGCCTCCCAAAGTGCTGGGATTACGGGCGTGAGCCACCATGCCCAGCCTGGCTAGTTTTTAAAATAATTTTTTGTAGAGGTGGCCTCACACTATGTTGCCCAGGCTGATCTGAAACTCGCATGTTCCAAGTGATCCTAGGCTCATTTTGACCTCCTAAAGTGCTGGGAATACAGGCTAGAGCCATCATGCCTGGCCAGGGACCGTTATTAAACAAAATAAAGATTACTCAAACACATCAATCGTTGTCCAATTATGCTGGACAAATGGATAATTGATGTCCCTAACAGGACAGAGCAGAACTGAAACCATAAAAAGTGAAACTGCAGATAAGCGAGGAATACTACAGTTGTTGAACGTGGAACCAAGGTATGGCTCAGACCTGGCCAAAAACTCAACTTCCAGGACATGCCTACCTGACATTAACTTCCTGGCATTGCCTGGCTGGCCTTAACTTCTCAGACATCCCCACTCGACCTCAAACAGCTGATGTTATTCACCTGATTTTAACCTTTGGGTTTGAACCTCCCAGCCTCGTTCACAGAGTCTTCACAGCTGTCCTTTAACATTCCAGTCAGACCCACACAGCTATAGATTCCTGGCCTTAACCTCTGGCCTTACCCATGTGACCTTAATCTTTTGGCCTTAATCTCCTGTCCTTACAAACTGAATTTTACCCACCTACCTTAACCTCTTCAACTTACACACCTGATGTTAACCACATAGCTTTACAGAGCTGGCCTTCACTACCTGGCCTTAACCACTTGGCTTTATTCACCTTCCAGCCCGACCCACTAGGCCTTACCCACGTGGCCTTCTTAAAGATACGACCATACTTGCCTGCCTGACCTCACCCAGCATGACTTAATCTTCTGGTCTTATATCCATCTGGTGTTAACCACCTACCTTGACTCAGTGAGACTTCATCTCTAAACAGTTCCCTCTGTGTCCCATTCACGTATAATTAGCCTCCTGTCATTTAGCTGGCTTACCGACTTGGCCTTGATCCTCTGGGAAGTTTCCCCATTGATTTACCGGCCTGGTGTGTTAACCAAATAGTTTTTTATTCAGCTGGATTTAAACACCTGGTTTTAACAATCTGGATTTACTCACCAGATGTTATTAACTTGATGGCCTTAATCACCTTATCTTAGCCTCATAATCTGGCTTTATCCACCTGGCCTTATTAAATTCCTGGCCTTATTTACCCAGTCTTAATTTTCTGGCCTAGAAGAACTGGGCTTACCAGCCTGGCCATAACATCCTGCCATTATCCACCTGTTTATAACCAGCTATTTAATTTGCTGGCTTCATTATCTGGTCAGTATCCAACTGATCTTATCCATGAGGTCTTACACCCTGGCCTTACCCGCCTCATTTTACCACACTGGGCACACCCCATTAGACTTCCCCACCTGGCTTAACCCTATGGGCCTTACCCAAATGTCCTTAACCTTCTGGTTTTATCTACAGGCCTTAATCCCCGGGCCTTACTCCACTGGATTTATCTGCCTAGGTTGACTCCTCTGGACTTATCCACCTTCCATTATTCTCTATATTTCCCCTCCCCAGACTTAGATACCCTTCTAAACCCATCTGGAGTTACCCAACTGGCATTAAACTCATGGCTTTACCAACCTGGATTACCAACTGAGCTTACCAACCTGGCCTTATCTTTCCATTCTTACTCACATGGACATCCTCTTTACCCACTTAAACTCAGCCACCTAGTTGTATGCAGGGAGGCCTTAACTTACTGGCCTTACCTATCTGGCCTTTTAAATAGCTTGGCTTCCTGACCTGGCCTTAACTTCATGGTTTTGCCAACTTAGATTTACCCACCTACCTTGTTAAGCTACTGGCCTCACTCATGCAGTATTAATCCCCTGGCCTTGTGCACCTGGCTTACCCACCTGGCTTTACCCTACTGGCTTTAACATCATATCTTTACCAACTAGAGTTACCCAACTGATCTTACCTACCCAGGCTTACCCAGTTGGCCTTCACAATTAGTCTCAACCTTCTGGCTTTACTTAGCTGTCCCAGCCCTACTGACCTTAACCTAGTGTCATTATTCGCTGTCCCAGCCCCTTGCTTTACTTTCTTGGACTTCACCTATTGGCCTTCCCACATGGCTGTATTTTCTTGGCCTTACCCACTTGGCCTTGTTCAACTACTGGCCTCAACCAGTAGGCATTCTGCAACCGACATTATCAACCTGACAGCCATACTCACCTGCCATATTCACTTGCCTGGCCTCAGCCAGCATAACATGACTTAATCTGCTGGCTTCATACCCATCTGATGTTGACTACCTGGTTTAATTCATCTGGCCTTCACCTCCTCACCTTCCCCTCACTATCTTGCCCACCTAGTATTAGTTTCCTATCATTATTTAGCTGGCTTGGCAACTTGGCCTTAATCCTACAGGGAATTTCTCCATGGATCTACTGTCCTGGGGTTACACAAATAGTCTTTTCTTTGGCTAAATTTAAATGCCTGGTTTTAACAATCTGGCCTTACTCACCAGACATTATTAACCTCACTTCCTTAATCACCTTACCCTCATGGCATTATTAAACAAGTTTCATCCATGTGGCCCTATGAAACTCCTGGCCTTACTGACCCAGGTTTAATTTCCTAGCCTAACTAATGATCTTGGTCTTATCTACCTGGCCATAACTTCTCGCCGTTATCCACCTATTCTTACCTACCTGGCTTTAATTTGCTGGCCTCAATCTACTGTCAAGACCTACCTGGTCTTGCCCATGGTGCCTTACTGCCCTTTCTTTATTGCTTGGCCTTACCCACCTCAATTTATCACCCTTGCCAGAACCCTTTAGTTTTCCACACCTGGCCGAAACCTGTGGGCCTTAACCATGTGGTCTCAACAACCTGGATTACCTACCTAGTTTTTCCACCTAGTCTTCCCCATTGTGAGTTTCATGCTTAGTTTACACAGCTGTCCTTAACCTTCTGGTTTTATTTACCAGGACTTAGCCCCCAGTCTTATTTTTCAAAACTTACCTCCCTAGGTTTCCTCCCTTGGGCTTATTTCCCTGCCTTTCTTACCTAGATTTTCTCCCACGCCCGAACATAACATACCTTACATTTCCCATTTGGACTTCCCCCATCTGGCCTGAACCTCATGGACTCCATAGCTTACCAACCTGGCCTTCTCACTGGCCTTAGCCTTTCATTCTTAGTCACATGGCCTCAACCTCCTAGCATAATATGCCTAGCATTAAGTTCTCAGCCTTTATCGGGGAACCTGCCCTGATATTCACGTAGGTTCTTTTCTATTTTCCCTAAGTGTCGGCCAGCTTGAGAAATAAAGGGACAGAGTACAAAAGAGAGAAATTTTAAAGCCGGGCATCCGGAGGAGACATCACATGTTGGTAGGTTCCGTGATGCCCCACAAGCCGCAAAAAACAGCAAGTTTTTATTAGGGAGTTTCAAAAGGGGAGGGAGTGTGCGAATAGGTGTGGGTCACAGACATCAAGTACTTTACAAGGTAATAGAATATCACAAGGCAAGTGGAGGCAAGGCGAGATCACAGGACCACAGGACCAGGTGAAATTAAAATTGCTAATGAAGTTTCGGGCACCATTGTCATTGATAACATCTTATCAGGAGACAGGGTTTTGAGATCACCTGGTCTGACCAAAATTTATTAGGCGGGAATTTCCTCTTCCTAATAAGCCTGGGAGCACTATGGGAGACTGGAGTCTATTTCACCTCTGCAGTCTGGACCATAAGAGACGACCACGCCCAGGGGGGCCAGTTCAGAGACCCACCCCCAGGTGCGCATTTTCTTTCTTAGGGATGTTCTGTGCTGAGAAAAAGAATTCAGCAATATTTCTCCCATTTGCTTTTGAAAGAAGAGAAATATGGCTCTGTTCCGCCCGGCTCACCGGCGGTCAGAGTTTAGGGTTATCTCTCTTATTCTCTGAACAATTGCGTTATCCTGTTCTTTTTTTCAAGGTGCCCACATTTCATATTGCTCAAACACACATGCTGTACAATTTGTGCAGTTAATGCAATTATTACAGGGTCCTGAGGCAATGTACATCCTCCTCAGCTGACAGGATTAAGAGATTAAAGTAAAGACAGGCATAGGAAATCACAAGGGTATTGATTGGGGAAGTGATAAGTGTCCATGAAATCTTTACAATTTATGTTTAGAGATTGCAGTAAAGACAGGCATAAGAAATTATAAAAGTATTAATTTGGGGAACTAATAAATGTCCATGAAATCTTCACAATCCACATTCTTCTGCCATGGCTTCAGGTGGTCCCTCCATTTGGGGGTCACTGACTTCCCACACAAGCCTTACACAGTTGGAGTTACGAACCTGGCTGTACTTGCTGGCCATAACTTTACTAGCTTTACCCACCTGGTTTTTTCAGTCGCTTGGCTTCCTGGCCTGGTGTTAACCTTATGGTTTTGCCAAAATAAATTTACCCAGCAGCCTTATTAACCTCCTGACCTTACTCATTGAGCATTAATCTGCTGACCTTACGAACCTGGCTTACCCACCTGGCTTTACCCTACTGGCCTTAACCTCATGTCCTTACCAACCTGAATCACTGAACTGATTTTATCTACCCAGCCTTACCCATTTGGCTTTCACAATTAGTCCAAACTTCTGGTCTTACTCACATCTCCCAGCCCTACTCACCTTAACCTAGGGGCATTATGCTTAGTCCTGACCCTTGGCCTTACTTTCCCAGCCCTCACCTATTAACCTCCCCATGTGGCCTTATTTATCTGGCCTTACCCAGTAGGCTTTCCCCACCTGACCTGCTTAACCTTAGGGCCATACTCACCAACCTTATTCACATGCCTGGTCTCAGACAGCATGACTTAATCTGCTGGCCTCATGCCCATCTGGTGTCTAACCCCTAGTTTTGTTCAGCTTGCCTTAACCTCCTTGCCTTCTCCTCACCTGTCTTACCTACCTAGCATTAGCCTCCTGTCATTATTTGGCTGGCTTGCTGACTTGGCCTTAATTCTCCTGCACGTTTCTCCTATTAATTTAGCAGCCTGGTGTTACTCAAATAGTCTTTTATTCAGCCAGATTTATAAACCTGGTTTTAACAGCCTGGCTGCACTCAGTCAAACTTACTATCCTTCTTGCCTTCATCACTTTATCTTGTCCACATGGTATTAGGAGCCTGGCATTATCCTTCTTTCCTTATTAACCTCTTGGCCTTACTCACCCAGACTTAATTTCATGGCCTAAAAGTTCTGGATTTACACACCTGGCCATAAGTTCCAACCCACCAATATCTACCTGTTCTTACCCACCTACGTTTAATTTGCTGGTCTCAATCTCTGGTCTTGACCCACCTGATGTTGCCCATGAGGCCTTAGTCCCCTGCCTTTACTCCCTGGCCTCTCCCCCCTCATTTTACAACCCTGGCAAGACCCAATTAGTCTTCCTCACCAGACGTAACCCTATGGGCCTTAACCTCATGGCCTCAACAACCTGGATTAGCCACCATGTTTTCCCACCTGGTCTTACTGACCTTACATGACCCAAATGGCCTTAACGTTGGTTTACACAACTGTCCTTAATCTTCTGGTTTTATCTGCCAGGTCTTAACCCCTGGATTTACCTCCCTAGGTTTACTCCCCTAGACTAATACCCCTGCCATTATTCTCTAGGTTTACCCTTCACCCTTGAACTTAGAAAACTTGCATTAGCCACCTGGACTTACCCACCTGGTCTTAACCTCATGGCTTCACAAGCCAAGATGACCAACATAGCTTACCAACCTGGCCTTCCCACCCGGCCTTTACCTTTCATTCTTACTCTCATGGCCTTATTCTCTTGGATTAATTGGCCTAGCCTTAACCTCACGGCATTACCCACTTGGAGTTAGCCACCTAGCTCTACTCAGGGAGGCCTTAACTTACTGATGTTGGCCACTTGGCCTTTTAAATTGCTTGGTTTCCTGACCCAGTCTTAACCTCATGGTTTAGCCAACTTAGATTTACCCATCTGCCTTATGAACCTCTGGGCCTTACTCATTCAGTATGAATCCCCTGGACTTATTCACCTGGCTTACCCACCTGGCCTAACCCTACTGGCATTAACCTCATATCCTTACAAACCAGAATTGCCCAGTTGATTTTTTTTTTTTTTAGATGGAATTTCCCTCTTGTCACCCAGGTTGGACACGATCTCAGCTCACTGCAACCTTCGCCTCCCTGGTTCAAGTGATTCTCTGCCTAAGCCTCCAGAGTAGCTGGGATTACAGGTGCCTGCCACCACACCCGGCTAATTTTTGTATTTTTAGTAGAGATGAAGTTTCACCATGTTGGCCAGGCTAGTCTCAAACTCCTGACCTCAGGTAATCTGCCTGCCTCGGCCTCCCAAAGTGCTGGAATTATATGTGTGAGCCACTGTGCCTGGCCCCCAGTTGATTTTACCTACCGATCCTAACCCACTGGTATTCACAATTAGTCTTTTGTTGTTGTTGTTTTGAGGCAGAGTCTTGCTCAGGCACCCAAGCTGGAGTGCAGTGGTCCATCTTGGCTCACTGCAACCTTGGACTCCCGGGTTCCAGTAATTCTCCTCCTTCAGCCTCTCAAGTAGCTGGGATTATAAGTGTGCACCACCACGCCCTTCTAGTTTTTGTATTTGTAGTAGAGACATGGTTTCACCATATTGGACAGGCAGGACTCAAGCAGCCTGGGCTTACTCACCTACCATATTCACCTGCCAGGCCTCAGCCAGCATGATTTAATCTGCTTGTCTCACACCCATCTGGTGTTGACCACCTTACTTTGTTCAGCTGGCCTTCACTTCCCAGTGTCCCTCTCACTGTCATCCCTATCCAGTACTACCCTCCTGTTATTATTTAACTGGCTTAGTGACTGCTCTAATGCCCTTGGGTGTTTCCCCTTGATTGACTGGCCTGGTGTTACCCAAATAGTCTTATTCAGCCTATTTATACACCTGTTTTAGCAACCTTGCCTTACTCAGCAGACCTTATTAACCTCATTGTCTTAATCATCCTTATTCTCATGGCATTATTATACAAGCTTCTTCCATGTAGCCCTTTGAAACTCCTGCCCATAAGATCCAGGCTTAATTTCCTAGACTAAAAGTCCTGGCCTTACCCACCTGACCGTAACTTCTTACCATCATCCACCTATTCTCACCCAGCTGGCTTTAATTTGCTGGCCTCAATCTGCCGCCACGACCCACCTGATCTTACCCATGAGGCCTTACTCCCCTGTCCTTACACCCAGGTCTTACTCCCCTCTCTGGTGAGACCCCATTAACCTTGCTCACCTGGCTTACCCTTGTGGGCTTTAAACTCACAGCCTTAACAAATTGAATTAGCTGCCAGGGTTTGCCACCTAGTCTTACCAAACATGGCCTTCACACTTGGTGTATACAACTGTCCATAACCTTTGGTTAACCATGTCATTAACCTTATGGCCATACTCACCTGCCCTCTTCAGCTGCCTGGCCTCAGCCAGCATGACTTAATCTGCTGGCTTCATACCCTACTGGTGTTTGCCACCTGGTTTATTCAGCTGGCCTTCTCCTCACCTTACCTGCACTGTCTTACTCACCTAGTATTTGCCTCTAGTCATCACTCGACTGGCTTAGCAACTTGCTGTTAATCCTACTGGGTGTTTCCCCTGTTGGTTTCACAGTGTGGGGTTACTGAAATAGTCCTTTATAGAGCTAGGTTTAGACACCTGGTTTTAACAACCTGGCCAAACTCAGTAAACCTTATTAACCTGATTGCCTTCATCATTTTATTTTATCTTCATGGTATTACAAACTTGACGTTATCCATCTGGCCTTATTAACCACCTGGCCCTTCTCACCCAGTCTTCATGACTTTGCCTAACAATCCTGACCTTACCTGACTGGCCTTAACTTCCTGCCATTGTCCACTTGTTCTTACTCACCTGGTTGTAATTTGCTGTCCTCAAGCTCCCATCAAGACCCAGCTGATTTTATCAGCTAAGATTTACCCATCAGCTTTATGAAGCTCCTGCCATGCTCCCCTGCCCTTGCTCTCTGGCCTTATCCTCTTCATGTTAAGGCCCTGGCCAGACCCCATTAGCCATCCACACCTGGCCTAACCCTGTGGTCTTAACCTCATGGCCTTAACAGCCTGGATTAGCCACCTAGTTTTCCCACCTAGTCTTACTGATCATAGGTGATCATATGTGATCACATGGCCTCCACACTTGGTTTATGCAACTGTCCTTAGCCTTCTGGTTTTATCTAACAGGTCTTAAGTCCCTGGAGTTACCTCCCTAGGTTTTTTTCCCTTGCTTTTATCATACCCCTGCCCTTTTTCCCTAGCTTTATCCCAAGCTGAATGCCCCAACCCCAGCCCCAGCCCCAAGCCCATATTTAGACATCTTGCATTACCCACCTGGCCTTAACCTCATGACCTTCCCAACCTGGATGACCAACATAGCTTACCAACCTGGCATTCCCACCTGGCCTTAACCTTTGATTCTAACTCACATGGCCTTACCCTCCTGACATAGTCTGCCTAGTAGTAACCTCTTGGCATTATCCAGGTGGAGTTAGCCACCTAGCTGTATTCAGGAAGGCCTTAACTTACTGGCCTAAGCCACCCGGACTATTCAATCACTTGGCTTCCTAACCGGTCTTAACCTCACATTTTTGCCAGCTGAGATTTACCCAACTGTCTCATGAACCTACTGGCCTTATTCATCCAGTACGAATCTCCTGGCTTTAACCTTCTAGTTGTTTCTACCAGGCCTTAACCCCCTGGATTTACCTCCCTAGGTTCATTCACCTAGACTTATCCCCCTTTACTTATTCCTTAGATATCCCCTCCCTGGATGTAGACACCTTGCATTACCCATCTGGATTTGCCCACCTGGCCTCAACCTCATGGCCTGACCATCCAGGATTACCAACTTAACTCCCTGACCTTCTTACCTGGCCTTAATGTTCTACTGTCACTCTCATGGCCTTAACCTTCTGGCATAATGTGCCTAGGTTTAACCTCTTAGCTTTACCCACTTAAACTCAGCCACCTAGTTGTATTCAAGGAGGCCTTAACTTACTGGTCTTAACCATCTGGCTTTTTAAATAGCTTGGCTACCTGACCTACCCTTAACCTCATGGTTTTGCCAACTTAAATTTACCCACCTACCTTATTAACATCCTGGCCTCACTCATTTAGTATTAATCCCCTGGTCTTATGCACCTAGCTTACTTACCTGGCCTTACCCTACTGGCCTTAACATACGTCCTTACCAACCAGAATGACACAGCTGATTTTACCTACCTGGCCTTACCCAGTTCACCTTCACAATCAGCCTCAACCTTTTGGTCTTACTTAGCTGTCCCAGCCCTACTGGCCCTAACCTAGTGTCATTATCTGCTGTCCCAGGCCCTGGCTCTACTTTCCTGGCCTTCACCTATTGGCCTTTTCACATGACTGTATTTTCT
This sequence comes from Homo sapiens, assembly GCF_000001405.40. Taxonomy (NCBI): domain Eukaryota; kingdom Metazoa; phylum Chordata; class Mammalia; order Primates; family Hominidae; genus Homo; species Homo sapiens. The sequence goes on from NC_000003.12 coordinate 160,087,059, forward strand.
TGGCCTTACCCACTTGGCCTTGTTCAACTACTGGCCTCAAACAGTAGGCCTTCTGTAGCCAACATTATTAACCTGACAGCCATACTCACCTGCCATATTCACCTGCCTGGCCTCGGTAAGCATAGCATGACATCATCTGCTGGCCTCATACCCATCTGATGTTGAGTACCTGGTTTAATTCATCTGGCCTTCACCTATTCACCTTCCCCACACTGTCTTGCCCACCTAGTGTTAGTTTCCTGTCATTAGTTAGCTGGCTTGGCAACTTGGCATTTATCCTACTGGGAATGTCTCCATTGATTTACTGGCCTGGGGTTACCCAAATAGTCTTTTCTTCAGCTAGATTTAAACACTTGGTTTTAACAGTCTGGCCTTCCTCACCAGACATTATTAACCTCATTTCCTTAATCACCTTACCCTCGTGGCATTATTAAACAAGCTTCATCCATGTGGCCCTATGAAACTTGTGGCTTTACTGACCTAGCCTTAATTTTCTGGCCTTACTAACGGTCTTGGCCTCATCTATCTGGCCATAACTTCTCACCATTATCCTCCTGTTCTTACCCACCTAGCTTTAATTTGCTGGTTTCAATCTGCTGTCAAAACCTACCCGCTCTTGCCCATGGTGCCTTCCTGCCCTTTCTTTACTGCCTGGCCTTACCCACTTCATTTTATTTATTTATTTTTTTATTATTATTATTATTATTTTAAGACGGAGTCTCGCTATGTTGCCAGGTTGGAGTTCAGTGGTGTGATCTCGGCTCACTGCAACCTCTGACTCCCTGGTTCAAGCGATTCTGCTGTCTCAGCCTCACGAGTAGCTGGGATTACAGGCACGTGCCAACACGCCCACCTAATTTTTATATTTTTAGTAGACTTGAGGTTTCACCATGTTGGCCAGGATGGTCTCTATCTCCTGACCTCGTGATTCACCTGTGTCGGCCTCCAAAGTGCTGGGATTACAGGCATGAGCCACCACGCTTGGCCAACCCACCTCATTTTCTCACCCTTGCCAGAACCCATTAGCTTTCCAAACCTGGCCTAAACCTATGGACCTTCACTTAAGTCTCAACAACCTGCATTATGTACCTTGTTTTCCTGCCTAGACTTACCCATCATGGGTTTCATGCTTAGTTTACACAGCTTTCTTTAACCTTCTAGTTTTATTTATCAGGACTTAGCGACTGGTCTAATTTTCCTAAACTTACCTCCCTAGCTTTCCTCCCCTGGACTTACTTCCCTGCCCTTATTACCTAAATGTCCCCCAACACCCAAATTTAACACACCTTACATTTCCCATTTGGACTTGCCCATCCCACCTTATCCTCATGTCCTCAATAGCTTACCAAACTGGCCTTCTCACCTGGCCTCAGCGTTTTATTCTTAGTCATATAACCTCAACCACCCAGCCTAGTCTGCCTAGCGTTAACCTCTCAGCATTACCCAGTTGGAGTTATCCACCTAGCTGTACTCAGTGGCCTTAACTTTACTAGCTTTAGCCATCTGGCTTTTTCAATGGCTTGGCTTCCTGACCCAGTGTTAACCTTATGGTTTTGCCAAAATAAATTTACCCACTGGACTTATTAACTTCCTGACCTTACTCATTCAGCATTAATCTGTTGGCCTTATGAACCTGGCTTACCCACCTGGCCTTACACTACTGGCCTTAACCTCATGTCTTTACCAACCCGAATCACCTAACTGATTTTATCTACCCAGCATTCTCCATTTTACCTTCACAATTAGTCCCAACTTCTGGTCCCAGCCCTACTGGGCTTAAACCTAGTGGCATTATCCTTAATCCTGACCCTTGGCCTTACTTTCCCAGACCTCACCTATTGACCTTCCCTTATTTATATAGCCTTACCCACTAGGGCTTCCCCAGCCAACCTTACTAACCTTAAAGCCATACTAACCAGCCATATTCACCTGCCTGGTCTCAGACAGCATGACGTAATCTGCTGGCCTCATGCCCATCCAGTGTCTACCCCCTAGTTTTATTCAGCTTGCCTTAACCTCCTCGCCTTCCCTTCACCTGACTTACCCACCTAGCATTAGCCTCCTGTCATTATTTGGCTGTCTTGCTGACTTGGCCTTAGTTCTCCTGCATATTCCTCCTATTAATTTACCAGCCTGGTGTTACCCAAATGGTCTTTCATTCAGCTGAATTTATAAACCTGGTTTTACAACCTGGCCACCCTGAGCCAAACTTACTAACCTTCTTGCCTTCATCACCTTATCTTGTCCACGTGGTATTAGGAGCTGGCATCATCCTTCTGTCCTTATTAACCTCTTGGCCTTACTCACCCAGACTTAATTTCATGGCCTAAAAATCCTGATCTTACACACCTGGTCATAAGTTCCTGCCCATCATTATCCATCTGTTCTTACCCACCTAGGTTTAATTTGCTGGCCTTAATCTCTGGTCATGACCCACCTGATCTTGCCCGTGATTAGTCCCCTGCCTTGACTCCGTGTCCTTGCCTCCCGTATTTTACCACCCTAGCTGGAACCCATTAGTCTTCCTCAATAGACCTAACCCTATGGACCTTAACCTCATGGCCTCAACAACCTGGATTAGCTACCATGTTTTCCCACCTGGTCTTACTGACCATACATGACTCAAATGACCTTCACGTTGGTTTACACAACCATCTTTCATCTTCTGGTTTTATCTGCCAGGCCTTAACTCCTGGATTTACCTCCCTATGTTTACTCCCCTAGAATGATAACCTGCCCTTATTCCCTAGATTTACCCCCCACCCTTGGACTTAGAAACCTTGCATTAGCCACCTGGACTTACCCACCTGGCCTTAACCTCATGGCTTCACCAACCGAGATGACCAACATAGCTTACCAACCTGGCCTTCCCACCTGGCTTTTACCTTTCATTCTTACTCTCATGGCCTCATTCTTCTGGATTAATCTGCCTAAGCTTAACCTCATGGCATTACCCGTTTGAAGTTAGCCACCTAGCTCTATTCAGGGAGGCCATAACTTACTGGCTTTAGCCACCTGGACTTTTAAATTGCTTCGTTTCCTGACCCAATCTTAACCTCATAGTTTAGCCAACTTAAATTTACCCATCTGCCTTATGAACCTCTGGGCCTTATTCATTCAGTATGAATCCCCTGGACTTATTCTCTTGGCTTGCCCACCTAGCCTTACCCTACTATCATTAACCTCATGTCCTTACCAAACACAATTGCCCAATTCTTTTTTGTTTTTTTGTTGGTTGGTTGGTTTGTTTTTTTGATATAGAGTTTTGTCGCCCAGGCTGGAGTACAATGGCACGATTTCAGCTCACTGTGCCTCCACCTCACGGGTTCAAGCAATTCTCCTGCCTATGCTTCCTTAGTAGCTGGGATTACAGTAGCCTGACACCATACCTGGCTAATTATTGTAGTTTTAGTAGAGATGGAGATTGACCGTGCTGACCAGGCTAGTCTCAAACTCCTGACCTCAGGTGATCTGCCTGTCTCAGCCTCCCAATGTGCTGGGATTATAGATATGAGTCACTGCGCTCAGCCCCAGATTGATTTTACCATTCAAGCCTTACCCAGTGGTATTCACAATGAGTCTTTTTGTTGTTGTTTTTAGGCGGAATCTTGCTCTGTTACTCAGGCTGGAATGTGGTGGTGCCATCTTGGCTCGTTGCAACCTCGAACTCCTAGGTTCAAGAGATTCTCTTGCTTCAGCCTCTCAAGTAGCTGGAATTACAGGCATGTGCTATCAGTCCTGTCTAGTTTTTGTATTTGTAGTAGAGACGTGGTTTTACCATGTTGGCCAGGCAGGTCTCAAGCAGCCTGGGCTTACTCACCTACTGTATTCACCTGCCAGGCCTCAGCCAGCATGATTTAATCTGCTGGTCTCACACCCATCTGGTGTTGATTACCTTGCTTCATTCAGCTGGCCTTCACCTCCCAGTGTTCCTCTCACTGTCATCCCCATCCAGTACTACCCTCTTGTTATTATTTAGCTGGCTTACTGACTTTGCTTTAGTGCTCTTGGCTGTTTCCCCTTGATTGACTGGCCTGGTGTTACCCAAATGTCTTTTATTCACCCGGATTTATACACCTGGTTTTAGCAACCTTGCCTTATTCAGCAGACCTTATTAACCTTATTGCTTTAATCGTCCTTATCCTCATGGCATTATTAAACAAGATTCATCCATGTAGCCCTTTAATTTGCTGGCCTCAATCTGCTGTCAAGACCCATCTGATGTTAGCCATGAGGCCTTACTCCCCTATCCTTACACCCTGGTCTTACTCCCTCTCTGGTGAGACCCCATTAGACTCACTTACCTGACTTAACCTTATTGACTTTAATCTCATAGCCTTAACAAATTGGATTAGCTGCCAGGGTTTGCCACCTAGTCTTACCAAACGTGGCCTTCACACTTGTTATATACAACTGTCCTTAACCTTTGGTTAACTATGTCATCAACCTTAAGGCCATACTCACCCACCCTCTTTAGCTGCCTGGCCTCAGCCAGCATGATTTAATCTGCTGGCTTCATACCCTACTGGTGTTTACCACCTGGTTTATTCAGCTGGCCTTCACCTCCTCACCTTAGCTGCACTGTCTTACGTACCTAGTATTTGCCTCCAGTCATCATTTGACTGGCTTGTCAACTTGCCGTGAATCCTACTGGGTGTTTACTCTGTTGATTTCACAGCGTGGGGTTACTGAAATAGTCCTTTATTGAGCTGGATTTAGACACCTGGTTTTAACAACCTGGCCAAACTCAGCCAACCTTATTAATCTGATTGCCTTCCTCACCTTATTTTATCCTCATGGTATGACAAACTTGACATTATCCATCTGACCTTATTAACCTCCTGGCCCTTGTCGCCCAGTCTTCATGACTTTGCCTAAAAATGCTGGCCTTACCCAACTGGCCATAACTTCCTGCCATGTCCACGTGTTCTTACTACCTGGTTGTAATTCGCTTGCCTCAGTCTCCCATCAAAATCTACCTGATTTTACCCACTAAGATTTACCCACCTGCCTTATGAAGCTCCTGCCATTACTCCCCTGCCCTTGCTGTCTGACCTTTTCCACTTCATGTTACGGCCCTGGCCATATCCCATTAGCCTTCCACACCTGGCCTATCCCTATGGGCCTTAACCTCATGGCCTTAACAATCTGGATTAGCCACCTAGTTTTCCTAACTAGTCTTAATGATTACACGTGACCCACATGGCCTCCACATTTGGTTTACACAACTGTCCTTAGCCTTCTGGTTTTATCTAACAGGGAATAGCCCCCTGGATTTACCTCCCTAGGTTTTCTCCCCTGGTTTTATCACCCCCTGCCCTTTTCCCCTAGCTTCACCCTCAATTCCATGCCCCAGCCCCAGCCCCATATTTAGACATCTTGTATTACCCACCTGGCCTTAAACTCATGAACTTCCCAATCTGGATGACCAACATAGCTTACCAGCCTGGCATTCCCACCTGGCCTTAACCTGTCTAACTCACAAGGTGTTAACCTCCTGACCTAGTCTGCCTAGTAGTAACGGCTTGGCATTACCGAGGTGGAGTCAGCCACCTAGCCCTATTCAGGAAGGCCTTAACTTACTGGATTAAGCCAACTGGACTTTTCAATTGCTTGGCTTCCTGACCTGGTCTTAACCTCATGGTTTTGACAACTTAGATTTACCCACCTGCCTTATGAACCTCCTGGCCTTACTCATCCAGTATGAATCTTCTGGTCTTACACACCTAGCGTACCCACCTGACCTCACCCTAGTGCCATTAACATCCCATTTTTACCAACCCAAATCACTCAGCTGATCTTACCTCCCCAGCCTTACCCAGTTGGCCTTCCCAATTAGTCTCAACCTTTTAGACTTCCTCACCTGTCCCCACTACTGGCATTAACCTCGTGTCATTATCCCCTGTCCCGGCCTTTGGCTTTCCTTTCCTGGCCTTCACCTGATGGCATTCCTGGTGGCTGTATTTACCTGGCCTTACCCGCTAGGCCTTCCCCACCTGACCTCATTAACCTTAGGGACATACTCACCTGCTCTCTTCACCTGCTTGGCCTTAGTCAGTGTGACTTAATCTGCTGGCCTCATACTTTTCTGGTGTTTACCACCTAGTTTTATTCCTCTGGCCTTCACCTTGTCACCTTCCCCACACTGTCTCGCCCACCTAATATTAGCCTTAGGTCATCATTTGGCTGGTTTGGAGAATTACCCTTAATCCAACTGGGTGTTTCCCCAGCCTGGGAATAGTCTTCTATTTAGCTTAAACACCTGGTTTTAATAACCAAGCCACACTCAGCAGAACTTATTAAGCTCATTGGCTTCATCACCTTATCTTATCCTCTTGGCATTATGAACCTGGCATTATCTATCTGGCTTTATTAACCTCCTGGCCATTCTCTCCGAGTCTTAATTTCCTAGATTAAAAGTCCTGGCTTCACCTACCTGGACATAACTTCCCGCCCGCCATAATCCACTTGTTCTTACCTACCTGGCTTTAATTTGCTGGCCTTGATCTCTGGTCAAGACCCACATGATCTTGCCCATGAGGCCTAACTCGGCTGCCATTACTCCCTGGTCTTACCAACTTCATTTTAGGGCCTTGGCCATACCCCATTAGCCTTCTCCACCTGGTCTATCCCTATGGGCCTTAACCTTGTGGCCCTAACAACTTGGATTAGCCACCCAGCTTTCCCACCTAGTCTTCCCAACTGTACATGACCCACATGGCCTTCACACTTGGTTTACACAATTGTCCTTAGCCTTCTGGTTTTATCTACCAGGACTTAAACCACTGGATTTACCTCCCTAGGTTTACTTCCCTGGGCTTATACCCCTGCCCTTATTCCCTGGATTTACCACTGCTCCCCAGCCCCTGGATTTAGAATCCTTGCATTAGCCAGCTGGACTTACATACCTGGCCTTAACCTCATGGCCTTACCAACCTAGATGACCAATATAGCTACCAACCTGGCATTCCCACCTGGCCTTAACCTTTCATTCTAACTCACATAGCCTTCTTTCCTAATCTACCTAGCTTTAACCTCTTAGCATTACCCACGTGGAGTAGCCACCTAGCTCTATTCAGGAGGCCTTAACTTACTGGCATTACCCACCCAGCCTTTTCATTCACTTGGCTTCCTGACCTGGTCTTAACCTCAGTGTTTAGCCAACTTAGATTCACTCAAATGCCTTATGAACCTGCTGGACTTATTCAATATAAATCCCCTGAACTTATGCACCTGGCTTACCCACCTGGCCTTACCCTCATGTTCGTAACAACCAGACTTGCCAAACTGATCTTACCAACCTAGCCTTACCCAGTGTCCTTCAGTTAGTCTTTTTTTTTTTTTTTGAGATGGAGCCTTGCTCTGTCACCTAGACTGAAGTGCAGTGGCACAATCTCAGCTCATTGCAACCTCCTCCTCCTATGTTGAAGCAATTCTCATGCCTCAGCCTCCCAAGTAGCTGGGATTACAGGCGTGTACCACCATTTATGGCTAATTTTTGTGTTTTTAGTAGAGACAGGATTTCACCATATTGGCCAAGCTGGTCTTGAACTCCTGACCTCAAGTGATCCACCCGCCTTGGCCTCCCAAAGTGCTGGGATTACAGGCGCAAGCCACAGCGCCCTGCCCACAATTACTCTTAAACTTCTGGTCTTGCTCACCTCTCCCAGCCCTACTGGCCTTGACCTAATGTCATTATCCTCTGTCCTGACCCTTGGCTTTACTTTCACAGCATTCACCTTTTGATGTTACCACATGGCCTTATTTACCTGGGCTTACCCACTTGGTCTTGCTCACCTTCTGGCCTTACCCACTATGTCTCCCCCACCTGACTTCGTTAATCCTACAGCCAAACTCACCTGCTGTATTCAACTGCCTGGCATCAGCTAGCATGACTTAATCTGCTGGCCTCAAACCCTTCTGGTGTTGACCACCTGGTTTTATCCAGCTGGTCTTCACCTCCTTGCCTTCCCTGCACTGTCTTACCCACCTACATTAGCCTCAGGTCATCATTTGGCTGGTTTTACAACTTGCCCTTAATCCTACTGGGCAGTTCCCCCGTTGATATCCTGGCCTGGGGTTGCTCAGTCTTTTCTTCAGCTGGATTTAAACACCTGGTTTTAACAACCTGGCTGCACTCAGCAGAACTTATAAGCTCATTGCCTTCATCACCTTATCTTGTCCTCATGGTATTATGAACCTGGCATTATCTATCTGGCCTTATTAAACTCCTGACCTTACTCACCCAGTCTTAATTTCCTGGCCTAAAAGTCCTGGCCTTAACCACCTGGTCAAAACTTCCTGCCATTATCCACCTGTACTTATCCACCTGGCTTTAATTTGCTGGCCTCAATCTCTGGTCATGACCCACCTGATCTTGCCCACGGGGCCTTACTCCCCTATCCCTCACACCTGGCCTTACTCACCTCTTAGGGCCCTGGCCAGACCCTATTAGCTTTCCCCACCTGTCCTAACCCTAAGGGCCTTAACCACATGGCCTTAACAACTTGTATTAGCCACCTAGTTTTGCTACCTAGTCTTAAAGAACATAGTTACCTACATGGCCTTCACACTTGGTTGACACAACTGTCCTTAACCTTCTGGTTTTATCTATCAGACAGTAACCCTGGATGTATAGCCCTAGGTTTACTCCCCTGCCTTACTTCCTATATGTACATGCCCTCTTCCCCATTGCTTTTCGATTTAAACACCTCCCATTAACGAACTAGACTTATCCATGTGTCCTTAACCTCATGGCCTTACCAACCTGGAATGCCAATATAGCTTGTCACCCTGGCCTTTCCACCTGGCCTTAACCTTTTGTTCTTACTCACATGGCTTTAACCTCTTGGTCTAATCTGCATAGCTTTAACCTCTTAGCATTACCCAGTAAGAGTTGGCCTCCTAGCTCTATTCAGGAGGCCTGAACTTACTGGCCTTATCCACCTGGCCTTTTAAATTGCTTGGCTTCCTGGCCTGGTCTTAACCTCATGGTTTTACCAACGTCAATTTACTCACCTGCCTTATTAGCCTCCTGGCCTTGCTCATCCAGTATTACGCCCCAGGCTTTATGCACCTGCCTACGCTTCTGACCTTACCCTACTGGCATTAACCTCATGTTCTTACCAACAGGAATTACCCAACTGATCTTAGCTACCCAACATTAACCAGTTGGTCTTCATAATTAGTCCTAACTTCTGGTCTTACTCAGCTCTCCCAGCCCTGCTGGCCTTAACCTAGTGTCATTATCCTCTGATCATCCTCCCCTGCCTTACTTTTCTGAGCTTCTTCTATTGCCTTATCCACCTGGCCTTAGTAAACTTAGGGCCATACTTACCGGTTGTATTCATTTACCTGGCTTCAGCCAGCATGACTTAATTTGCTGGCTAGGTGAAGTTAATCACCTAGCTTTGTTCAACTGGCCTTCACCTCCTAGCCTTCCCCTTACCACCGGGTATTAGCCTCCTGTTATTATTGGCTGGCTTATCGACTTGGATTTAACGCTCTTGGTTGTTTCCCTTTGATTGACAGGTCTGTTGTTACCCGGATAGTCTTTTATTCAGGTGGATACACGCAGCTCGTTTTAACAACATGGCCTTACTCAACAGACATGATTAACCTCATTGTGTTAATCACCTTATCCTGATGGTATTCTTAAACAAGCTTCATCCATGTGGCCCTACGAAACTCTTGGCCTTACTGACCCAGGCTTCATTTCCTGGCTTAAATGTCCTGGCCTTACCCACCTGGCCATAACTTCCCATGATTATTCACCTGTTCTTATCCACCTGGATTTAATTTGCTGGCTTCAATCTGCCATCAGGACCCACCTGATCTTACCCATGGAACCATACTCTCCTTCCCTTATTCACTGGCCTTACCACCTCTTTTTACTGCCCTGGCCAGACCCCATCAGCCTCATCCACCTGGGCAAACCTTATGGGCCATAACCTAATGGGCTTAACAACCTGTATTACCTACCTAGTTTTAACATTAGTTTTACCCACCATATGTTACCCACATGGCCTTCACACTTGGTTCTTAACTTTCTAGTTTTATCTACCAGGCCATACTCTCCTGGCCTTACCCCGCTAAAATTACCTCCATAGGTTTACTTCCCTGGACTTATGCTTCTGCCCTTATTCCCTGGATTTACCACCTCCTCCCACCCACTTCCCCCTAGACTCATACACCTTGTATTACCCATCTAGATTCACCCATTTGGCCTTAACCTCATGGCCTTTACCAACCTAGATTACCAACTTACATTACCTACCTGGCATTCCCACCTGGCCTTAGCCTTTCATTCTAACTCACATGTTTTCTTCCGCCCAGTCTCCAGTCACAAACCAAATTATGAAGAGAGTGTGTGTGCCTGTGTGTATGTTTGTGTGCGCAGGCACTGGAATGGTTCTTTGGAAGACAGTGGGTGTGGCACACACACGTGGCATCAGATCCCAGCCTGGAGCTGTCTACTACATACATGGAGTGTGTGTGTGCCTGTGTCCCAGCTGGAGTGCAGTGGCGCGATCTTGAGTCACTGCAACCTCCACCTCCCGGGTTCAAGCAATTCTCCTGCGTTAGCCTCCCGCGTAGCTGGATTACAGGCATGCGCCACCGTGCCCGGCTAGTTTTTGTATTTTTAGGAGAGACAGGCTTTCACCATGTTGACCAGGCTGGTCTCAAGCTCCTGACGTCAACTGATCTGCCCAACTTGGCCTCCCAAAGTGCTGGGATTACAGAAATGAGTGTGTGTGTGCCTGTGTCCCAGCTGGAGTGCAGTGGCACTATCTTGAGTCACTGCAACCTCAGAAATGAGCCACCGCTCCCAGCTGAGACTCTGCATTTCTAACAAGCTCCTATTTGATGCCACTGCTGGCCTGAGGGCCCTCACTTTGCACAGCAAGGTTTCACTCAATTTGTTTTTGGCTTAAACTAACACTCTGACTGATATGGCAAAACCCCATATCTTTAAAAATACAAAAAAAAAAAATTAGCTGGGGTGTGGTGGTGCATGCCTGTAGTCCCAGCTACTTGGAAGGCTGAGGAGGGAGAATTGCTTGAACTTGGGAGGTGGAGGTTGCAGTGAGTCAAGATTGTCCCACTGCACTCCAGCCTGGGTGACAGAGCAAGACCCCGTCTCAAAAAAAAAAAGAAATGCAGAATCTCTCATACTGGACTAGAGCCTAAAGAAAAACTTAATTTTAAAAAAAGAAATGCAGAATTTTATGCCCACCCAGACCTACTGAATCTGAATCTACATTTCGACACAACCCTCCAGGGATTTGTATGATTCATGTTTGAGAAGAAGTAATTTTAAAGCTACTGGGTAGCTCACAGACTCTCCAGAAAGCCAGAGAGCCAGATTTGGGACTGTTGCCACCAGGTACAACACCCACATCACTCCATAGAGGGGAGGAACCCAGTGCCTGGATCACCAGGCCCCGGGCAAGAACTGAAGGCTGCACCGCTAACAGTGGGGAGCTGCTTTCACAGCAAAGCCGCCATCTCCTCCTCCCTCACCCTGGAGCCCATGTGGGCCTGTCCCTTCTCATTCTCTAGCTTTCAACCCAAGGCAGATAGAGAAGGTTACTGGGCCGAGGCCACAGCCCATCCCTCAGCTTAGGGGAGACCAGGAGAGGGAGTGGCATTTTCAGTTTAAGTAATGAGGTAAGTTTAAGTAAGCAGAGGTGTGCCTAGGGAGGAAGGGGAGGCTTCAAAACACAAGCAAGGGAGTTCAGCTGCTGTGTGGCCAAAGATTTAGCAGACTCCACTCCCTGCATATGTGGGGGCAGAAGAGTTGTGGAGTACAGCTGTGCCACTACCTGCCCAGTTACCTTTACCAAGGACAGGAATATCTTATACCCTCTGTTTCCTCTGCTTTAATATTACAGTATTTAAATATGATGCTTGCTGTATACACAAGGCTTTACAATTTGCAAAGCATTCCCTTGCATGTGTTTTCATTTGAGCCACAGTACGATTCTTTGTGATAGATAAAGAAGGAATGTAGTGTGATCTCCATTTTACAGATGGGAAGAGAAAGAGGCTGGGAGTGACCAGCCTAAGAGTGCTGAAATTCCAAGTCTTCAGGCTCTTCACAATGCAACCCTGTAACCACAGTCAAGTAGTTAATGTGTGTGAAAGTAAGTTAAACACTATAATGTGTTATTTCCCTGAAAAGGTGTTGCTTATTGCCCTAGTAATGCTTTATAAATACATATCTAACTTAATTGATTCAGCCACCAAGATGTTGACCCCAGAATCAGTAAAGTAATCCCCTTTCCCTTTTAGTGGCATCCTAAAACTGTTACTAGGAACAGTTAATAATTAATGTCAGTGGTGAGGTACATATTAATGCCACAGAAACCCAGATGGAAGGAGCTGATTAAAATAGTTTCCTTCTTAAGAGTCTTCTGTAGAAAGTAATTGAGAGAATCTCACGTGTTTCTTTTGAGCTCTTTGGAGGAAATAAAATGGCTATCATTTCAATGAACTTCTTAAGTTCTACAAAATCCTTCATCCAGTTCCAGGAGGTAAACGGTAGCTAAAGGACAAGGACAATGACAAGACCAGAATTCAGGTCTTCTGTTCTCAAGATCAGTGTTTATTTTGAGGATTTGTTGTTGTTGTTGTTGTTTGAGATAGCGTCTGGCTCTTTAACCCAGGCTGTAGTGCAGTGGCGTAATCTCGTCTCAGTGCAACCTGTGCCTCCTGGGCTCAAGTGATCCTCCCACCTCAGCCTCCCAAGTAGCTAGGACTACATTGCACGCCACCACGCCTGGCTAATTTTTGTATTTTTTGTAGAGACAGGGTTTTGCCATGTTGCCAAGGCTGGTCTCGAACTTCTGGACTCCTGGACTCCAGCCTCCCAAAGTGCTGGTATTACAGGCACGAGCCACTGCAACTGCCCTTGAGTTTCTTAAATAATGAGTCTCTTCTGCTTTTTTCTCTAGAAAGATATACAAATTTTGTTTCCTCTTCTCTCTCTTCTAATAATAGGTCACACCCTATGGGTTGCATTTTTTTTTTTAAATCATCTGTCATGAATCCTCGGTCTCTAGTTTTCTGTTATTGTTATGACATAAAGTGAAAGCCTCAACACAGTTTTAAATTCGGGTCTCAGATCAAATATGGTTGGCAAATCCTGCCCAATGAAATAAGTTGTCAGCTGAAGCAGTGACAAAAGAATGAGTGCTTTTTTTTTTTTTTAACTGTTATGACATCCCTGCTCTGTAAGTAAATGATGGTAAATATTACTACAATGAAATCTAAACTGGAATTATTTTATTCATGTTCATTTTATTTGACTTTTTTGCAGGGAGAAGAATCCTTTCTGTTTAAATATATAAGTGTTGGTACCTATTTAACCATTTATGGAGTCTCTACCATACAAGAAGTACTGTGGTAAGCATTTTAAATATAGTATCTCAAATCCTCTTTGGTGTTATGAACATTTTATAGTGAATGAATAGCTATAATAATAATAATACTTGCTACTTTGTACAAGGTAGCCAGCAATAATGCTAGCTAAGCCGATTCACATATGCTATCTTGTTTGCCCTAACATCTTCCTTATGAGGTAGCTACTATTGACATTCTCATTTTCCAAATAAGAAAAAAGACGGATTGGAGACGGGCATCGCGCCGCCCGGCGTGCGCCGCACGCCTGCCTCGCGGCGCGGAGTCTCGCGGGCCCCGCTCCCGCCCTCCGCTCGCCTGGCCCGGACCGGAAGCGGCGCCGCACGGCCTCGGCCTGGCGCGGGGGACGGGCACCGGGGCCCGGTCGGACATGGGCAAGAAGCACAAGAAGCACAAGTCGGACAAACACCTCCACGAGGAGTATGTAGAGAAGCCATTGAAGCTGGTCCTCAAAGTAGGAGGGAACGAAGTCACCGAACTCTCCATGGGCAGCTCGAGGCACGACTCCAGCCTCTTCGAAGACAAAAACGATCATGACAAACACAAGGACAGAAAGCGGAAAAAGAGAAAGAAAGGAGAGAAGCAGATTCCAGGGGAAGAAAAGGGGAGAAAACGGAGAAGAGTTAAGGAGGATAAAAAGAAGCGAGATCGAGACCGGGTGGAGAATGAGGCAGAAAAAGACCTCCAGTGTCACGCCCCTGTGAGATTAGACTTGCCCCCTGAGAAGCCTCTCACAAGCTCTTTAGCCAAACAAGAAGTAGAACAGACACCCCTTCAAGAAGCTTTGAATCAACTGATGAGACAATTGTAGAGAAAAGATCCAAGTGCTTTCTTTTCATTTCCTGTGACTGATTTTATTGCTCCTGGCTACTCCATGATCATTAAACACCCAATGGATTTTAGTACCATGAAAGAAAAGATCAAGAACAATGACTATCAGTCCATAGAAGAACTAAAGGATAACTTCAAACTAATGTGTACTAATGCCATGATTTACAATAAACCAGAGACCATTTATTATAAAGCTGCAAAGAAGCTGTTGCACTCAGGGATGAAAATTCTTAGCCAGGAAAGAATTCAGAGCCTGAAGCAGAGCATAGACTTCATGGCTGACTTGCAGAAAACTCGAAAGCAGAAAGATGGAACAGACACCTCACAGAGTGGGGAGGACGGAGGCTGCTGGCAGAGAGAGAGGACTCTGGAGATGCCGAAGCACACGCCTTCAAGAGTCCCAGCAAAGAAAAAGAAAAAGATACGCTTGAAGATAAGTTTAAAAGCAATAATTTAGAGAGAGAGCAGGAGCATCTTGACCGCATTGTGAAGGAATCTGGAGGAAAACTGACCAGGCGGCTTGTGAACAGTCAGTGCGAATTTGAAAGAAGAAAACCAGATGGAACAACGACGTTGGGACTTCTCCATCCTGTGGATCCCATTGTAGGAGAGCCAGGCTACTGCCCTGTGAGACTGGGAATGACAACTGGAAGACTTCAGTCTGGAGTGAATACTTTGCAGGGGTTCAAAGAGGATAAAAGGAACAAAGTCACTCCAGTGTTATATTTGAATTATGGGCCCTACGGTTCTTATGCACCGCATTATGACTCCACATTTGCGAATATCAGCAAGGATGATTCTGATTTAATCTATTCAACCTATGGGGAAGACTCTGATCTTCCAAGCGTTTTCAGCATCCATGAGTTTTTGGCCACGTGCCAAGATTATCCATATGTCATGGCAGATAGTTTACTGGATGTTTTAACAAAAGGAGGGCATTCCAGGACCCTACAAGAGATGGAGATGTCATTGCCTGAAGATGAAGGCCATACTAAGACACTTGACACAGCAAAAAAAAATGGAGATTACAGAAGTAGAGCCCCCAGGGCGTTTGGAGTCCAATACTCAAGACAGGCTCATAGCGCTGAAAGCAGTAACAAATTTTGGCGTTCCAGTTGAAGTTTTTGACTCTGAAGAAGCTGAAATATTCCAGAAGAAATTTGGTGAGACCACCAGATTGCTCAGGGAACTCCAGGAAGCCCAGAATGAACGTTTGAGCACCAGACCCCCTCCCAACATGATCTGTCTCTTGGGTCCCTCATACAGAGAAATGCATCTTGCTGAACAAGTGACCAATAACCTTAAAGAACTTGCACAGCAAGTAACTCCAGGTGATATCGTAAGCATGTATGGAGTTCGAAAAGCAATGGGTATTTCCATTCCTTCCCCCGTCATGGAAAACAACTTTGTGGATTTGACAGAAGACACTGAAAAACCTAAAAAGACGGATGTTGCTGAGTGTGGACCTGGTGGAAGTTGAGGCTGCCTGGTATTTGATTATATATTATGTACATACTTTTTCATTCTTAACTTAGAAATGCTTTTCAGAAGATATTAAATATTTGTAAATTGTGTTTTTAATTAAACTTTGGAACAGTGAAAAAAAAAAGAAAAAAGACAGATTAAGAAACTTGCCCATAGTTCCTTAATTAGTCAATGTTGGAGCCTATGTCCAACCTCATGTAGGTTCATTGCCAAAGCCTGCTGGCATCCCAAGAACAGGTTACCTCTAAGTTTTGGTAAATTCTTCAAACACTCTTACCTTTGAAAGCCTAATACAGCATAGGCTCTAGCACCTGACCAACCTGGCTCCAAATCCTAGTGGATCTGTTTGGCAATTACCATCAACAGGGTTTCTCCTGTTCCCATAAGCAAGTCATCTTTGTAGCCAGTGGGAAGAGGAGAAAAGAACGAAAGCACATGCCCCTTTTTTATAAGAGCGTGAATGATCTGTTCCCATCCCATTCATCAGAACTGAGTTTTACAGATTATCCTGGGGAGGCTTGGGAATGCTGATTTCAAACTAGGCAGTTATGTGCTCAGCCAAAATTTACAGATTTTACTAATAAGTAAAGGGAAGAATAGATGTTGGATAACCAGGCAACCAGGAGTCTTTTCCTCCCTGAGTTTTGGTACTCTGTGACCTTGGACAAGTTTCTGATCTTGTCTGAGCTTCAGTTTTGACCTGTGCAAAATAGTATCATGCCTGTAATCCCAGCACCTTAGAA
This sequence comes from Homo sapiens, assembly GCF_000001405.40. NCBI lineage: Eukaryota > Metazoa > Chordata > Mammalia > Primates > Hominidae > Homo > Homo sapiens. The sequence continues at coordinate 160,103,540 of NC_000003.12, forward strand.
GGCCCATGTAGGCAGATTGCCTGAGCCTGGGAGTTGGAAACCAGCCTGGACACCATGGTGAAATCCTGTCTCTACAAAAAATCCAAAAATTAACCAGGCAAGATGTCATGTGTCTGTTGTCCCAGATACTCCAGACGCTGAGGCGGGAGGATCATTTATGCCTAAGAGGTTGAGGCTACAGTAAGCTGTGATCTCACCACTGCACTCCAGCCTGGGTGACAGAGCAAGACCCTGTCTCAAAAAATAAAAAGAAAAAAGAGTCTCTGAAGGAAGGCTATGTTTGAATGGGACTCTTCGCAACAGCCAACTGTCTGAATTGCAAGAAGTGATGGCTGAATCAATATTAGGCCCTTAAAAATCCATATTCTGACTTTGGAAGTATCTGCAACTTACATTTCTACAGACTGAAGTTAAAATGTGCATAAGTGGGCCGGATGCAGTGGCTCATGCTTTTAATCCCAACACTTTGGGAGGTTGAGGAGGGCAGATCACCTGAGGTCAGGAGTTTGAGACCAGCCTGGCCAACATGGTGAAACCCTGTCTCTACTAAAAAAAAAAAAAAAAAAAAAAAAAAAAAAAAAAAAAAAAAAATTAGCCTTGCATGGTGGCATGTGCCTGTAATCCCAGCTACTTGGGAGGTTGAGGCATAAGAATCGCTTGAACCCAGGAGGTGGAGGTTGCAGTGAGCCAAGATGGTACCACTGCACTCCAGCCTGGGTGACAGAGTGAGAGTCCGTCTCAAAAAAAAAAAAAAAGTGCGTAAGTGGTGCCTGATGGTGACCACTGGAACTGGGAACCAGAAAATTTCCAGATGTGGCAGTATAGTACATGTCATTATTGTGTTGCTGTTGTGCTGCTATTTTTTGGGCATTAATTGAAACTGCCCCAATAACTGAAAGACATATGATAATCTTAAAATCTGATATACCTATGATGTCTTGGGTGATGTCAGAGAAAAATTCTGATAAGGAAGCCATTGACCAGAAGAGCTGACTTTGTAATAAAATGGAAATGGTTTATACAGGAATATACTACTGGAAGAATGCAAGGAGGTTCTCATCGTATGCATGAATGGGTAGCCTCATTTCCTCTAGGACACACTTTGGAACCCTCTGAGAAACTACCAGACTGTATAACCACCTGGTGGTTGGGGGGGTCCTTATAAACAGCCCTTGATTGATCAACAAAAAGCTGCTTGGTTTACAGATAACAGTTTCACAGTGGATGGTCAGCATCCTGTTTGGAAGGCTCTGCACTATGACCAAATAATGCAAAAATTCTAATTGAAGAAGTTGAGAACAAATAAGCTCAGTGGCTTGATTGCCTACTGGTTTTCTCACCGTGATGGAAGAATTGAACAATTCCCCAAAGTCTGGGTGCATTCCAACTCATGGGCATTGGCCAGTGGATGGCTGGCTACATGGTCAGGAAAATGGGCAATGGAAAACTGGATTCTTAAAGGAATGTCCATATGGATCATGGCCCTATGAACATCAGTAAGAATTTAAAGAATGCAACCAGGCATGGTGGCTCATGCATGTAATCCCAGCACTTTGGGAGGCCGAGGCACGCGGATTGCCTGAGGTCAGGAGTTTGAGACCAGCCTAGCCAACATTGTGAAACCCCGTCTCTACTAAAAATATAAAAATTAGCCACGTGTGGTGGTGGGCGCCTGTAATCCCAGCTACTCGGGAGACTGAGGCAGGAGAATCGCTTGAAGCCAGGAGGCGGAGGTTGTGGTGAGCTGAGATTGCACCACTGCACTCCAGCCTGGGTGACAGAGTGAGACTTTGTCTCAAAAAAAAAAAAAAAGAATTTAAGGGATGCATTAAATAAGACACATAAATGCTCATGAGAAGAACCTCTTTTCCAGCCTGAAAGTGATTGCAACTTTAAGTCAAAATCTTGTTGCACTTACTTGAGGTGGCCAACTGGGTCCATGAAGTGAGTGGACATGGGGAAGTGGCAGCAATGCAGAGAGGGGTAATCATAGACACATATTCCTCTGCACCCTCAGAAGCACAAAGTGCCAGGAACTGTCCTGTCCGCCAGCAGGAAACATGAACACTGCAGACAGTAATGGGGCAGATTTCCTCAGGGTAGGTCCCTGGTGCAGAGCTGACAGAGAAACTTTATTATGCCATCAGTGCCAGTTGCCTTGGAATGGGTCCTGACAGGAATAGACACTCCGGACCACACTTTGCATACCCAGTGGTGGACGCAAATGCTCAAAACACCATAAAAGGAATGGAGCAAAAATACTACACCATGTAAAACCACTGAGTTACATTTCTTTAAACCAAAGAATATACTCTATGGCCCATAATGTCCAACAGTGGAAAAAGAGGTATCACACCAAATGGATACATCATGTTTCTTACCACCCTCAGAGGAATAGCTTGATAGAGAATTGGTAGGGGCACTGGTAACATTTATTGTCCCAAACATAAGGAGATAAGGTATGCGGGGCTGGCTTACACACATTCATGCTTGGGTGCTCAGATTCAACATGATGGGGGCCAGGGGCAGGTCTCCAGTCAGTAGATTCTTCTGCTTTTCTGGTGGATTTGGGGTAAAGGGGATGACTAGAATGCTAGTATGACTGTACAATTATTCCCACATCACTTTAACTTCCTCTTTTCCTAACTGATACAGTGTTCCTGCCAGCAGGGCTACAACTCTAGTGCCAGAAACAGGAATGAAGTAGGGATGATCTCTAAGCAAAAAGTGTAACTAAGCCTTTAAATATCTATGCCAGAATTCTGAAGGGCCTAATGGGTTGGATGGTGCCTTCACCCTAACTGGCATAATTGGGGTTGACAGTGAATGCAGCTATATTGCATGGTGGTTGAGAAAGCCCACTGGTCTATACCCTTTATTCCTACTCTATATGAATACTAGTGGTCTAAGAGGTAGGTACTTGCTAGAGTGGTGTTGCTGCCTGCAGTCTGGACCAGCACAGTGGTTGAACTTAATATCTCTTCCACAGGTGGAAAAGTCTGGGTAAAAATCAATGACAAGTGGAGAGAAGGAGCAATAGTATTGTTGGAAGGAAGAGAATAAAAAAGTGGGTTATGCAGCAAGGGAAATTCAATATTACAATTGTGCCTCTAGAGAGGCTTAGCGTAATAGAAAGATCCTGTCTCTTAGAACAATTAAACTAGATACCAGAAAGTACAGCTATATATTTGCCAAGATTATCCCTCCTTTTGGAACCCTACAAGGTCAAATGGAAATCTGCATACCTGAATGGCATTGCTCTGGGAGACACTTTAGCCATTAGATAAACTGAATGAATTGTTAGCGACTGAGTGGAACTCTAGTAATGTTCCAGTATTTTTTACTTTTATTTTTCATATCCTACAACAGAGATTATTAAGTTAGGAATTTTCAGGAACTGCATCCTGCTGGGCCACTGGGGAGATTTGTTTTGTAGCTTAAACAGATACAGTATTACTACCTTCACACCAGGAATAGATCAGAATAAGACATATCATGTGGAATACTTAGCAAGGACTGTTAGTATAGTTAGCCTACCTTCAGAACTGGCCATTGGCCAGCTCCCAGGAGACAACCTCTAAGCCCTTAGAATATTCTGCCGGATGAGAGTGCTTTTGTATGGCTGAGGTCTTGGGCCATGCTAGACTCATTTAACCACATAGGTTTATGCTAATAATGTTATATGTAGGGAATGCCTATTTTTGCTCTGGGAAAAGGGCTGGTGTCTTGTGTCTGAGGCCAGTCACACAGGGGCTACATGGCTGATCCGCAACAAAAACCCCAGTCCAATGTCTGGATGTGCTTCCCTGGTTGACAACACCTCTCACACGTTGCCACATATTGTTGCTGGAAGAGTTAAGCACACTCTTGTGCAACTCCAGTGGGAGGGGACAGCTGGAAGCTTGTGCCTGGTGTCACCTGGACTTTGCTCCATGTGCCTTTTCCCTTTGCTGATTTTAATGTATATCCTTTCACTGTACTAAAACATGTTTCACAAACTATATATATTTAGTAAACTACAACCATGAGTATAACAGCTTTTCTGAGTCCCATGAGTCCAAGTCAAAGTCACATCAATAAAAGGACTTTTAACTTTAACGGACATATGAGGAAGCAGGTAGGACGGCCTCCCTTGCTTGCTCCCACAGACCCTTGGAGTGCCCCAGGCCATGGATGACACAGCAGTGTCATCAGTGGTTTTCTCTCCACCCAGTGGCTTCTTCAGAAACACTGGGGTCCTTGAGAATAGAGATCGTCTCTTATCTCTGCTTCTGTAGTTTCTGGGGCAGCGCTTGGGATATAGTAGATACTGGAAATGTTTATAGTATGAATGCTTTACAAAAATATGCTTCAGTCTTACTTAGTTTGTGAATGTTAATCTCAAAGAGACTGACACATAACTTTATAAGATAATACTATTTTACCTAAAGAATGCTTCCAGTCACAAGTCTGAAGTGAAGTACATACGGGCAGATGTAGGATAGTTTTCTTAGCACTAGCATGCAAGGTAGCACTACAAAGGTTTATTGTGTAGTGCAGTGACAAAAGTTATCCAAGTCACTGTTAATTAAAGACATATTTTTATTAGACGCTGAAGGCAACTTCAAAATTAAAATCCCACTTTTTATTGGGCAAGCAGTCAAGGAAAGGCACCCTGTAAATTTATAAAACGGGTCCCCAATTAAACTCACTGTTTTTAGAGTCTGAGTCCAGAACATTCCTTATAAATTCTTGAACATATTTGTGTGCAATTTGATTTCTGTTTTTATGTCCAAAACACTAAAGTTCTACACAAACCAGAGAAGATTTCTTTCATAAAAGGTACAGTCTCCTGTATTTCAACTCCAGCCCCAAATATCTTCATCATGGGCTTGGGAGTCAGAAAGGTTCATCTTATATTAGGCGTTAGACTCTTATGCAGTCCGTCTGTTTCAGAAGACCCAAACCAACCTCATCCCCCTCACTTCCTGAGCTGCTGCTTAAATTACAGAGTTTTATTGGGTTGGGAGGAAGACAGGAAGAGTTCCAAACCATGAAGTAAATGGTAAACAATAAAATATTGATGGCGCCAAAAAGAACCTGAGGGAATCGCAGAGGGCTGACATTTCTCAATAGCCCTGTGGATCTTATAAAATTGCTTAGCCATATGTCTAAGAGTAATAAAACACAAATAAACTACACAAACTCCAATTATGAGAGATGCTAAGTCTTTCAAACAATAAAAAAATTAAATCCTTTATTTTAAAATGTTGCCACTTTGACCTGTTAGGAGCTATAGGCAGATAAATTTTAAAAATATTTAGATTTGAAAATAAGTACCTAAAAAAATCCAAACTCAGAACTGCACACCACAACACATAGCCTCCAATGTATCATTATTGTTTTGAAGCCTATAAGTTTCTGGGAAAAGAAAAAGGATAAAAGAAGCTTCTGATAAAAGAAAAAGAAAAGGATTTGAGATCTTTTGGAGAACATAGTATCTTGAAAGAAATTTAAAATGCATTCCTTGGTGATTTTTAAGTAGCTGAGTTGAGGATAAAGCATTGTCACATTTAGTTTCTGGTAGAGGGTATTTGAAAACTATTCTTATTTCTTTAGAAAGTTCAAAGCCCAATAGTTTTGGGTAATTGATTAAGCGTCTGGTAATACCAACTCTTTGTGTATTTTGATCTGATCTGAGAGAGAAGCAAACATACGCTGGAATGTTTCATCAATGTTTCCTTTGTTTATGTCTCCAAACTTCGACAGCCAAAGAAAGTAGTTTGATTTACTGGGATGAATAAAGGGTTTATGGACAGGTTTTTTTTTGTTTTGTTTTGTTTTTTCTGATTGATGTTAATGTTGCTACTATTATCGTGGTTTGTTTTTTTTTTTTTTTTTTTTTGGACAGAGTCTCCCTCTGTGGCCCAGGCTAGAGTGCTGTGGCGCGATCTTGGCTCACGGCAAGCTCCGCCTCCAGGGTTCACGCCGTTCTCCTGCCTCAGCCTTTAGTAGCTGGGACTACCAGCACCCGCCACCACGCCCGGCTAATTTTTTTGTATTTTTAGTAGAGACAGGGTTTCACCGGGGGAGTTAGCCAAGATGGTCTGGATCTCCTGACCTCGTGATCCGCCCGCCTCAGGCTCCCAAAGTGCTGGGATTGTTACAAGCGTGAACCACCACGCCCAGCCTATTATCGTGGTTTTACTACCACCTTTTCACAAATGTTTCCTGCACAGTGCTTCCTCTAGGGCCAAGGGGAATTCCTCTTGGGGGCAAGTATGTCCTCGCTCTGATTTGTGTGTATTCCCTCTAGAGACCAAAATAAGAGCCCAGAATTTTAAGGGATCCTAAGGTAAAGTTAAGGACTCCCAGCAAAACCCAAACACTTGATAACTTCTTAAATAAGTAAAAAGTCACAGTAGCATATGAACCATTGGATCTCGAATCTAGGCCCACATCAAAATCACCTCTACAGTTTTTAAAACAGGTGCTTACATTCTTAGGTACTGTAATTCAGTAGTTCTGGGTAAAGAACCAGGTATCTATATTTCATACCTTCATAGACTGCAGTCAGGAATGAGAACCTCTGTCTTGTATAGAATAGACAAGTTCCTAACAGCCTGAGCCAGAATGGGGAAGTAATCTTCATTTTATATCCAAACTTACGTTTTGATTTTTTTTTAAACATGTGGATGTATTATTATTATCATAGGCCAGGCACCACGGCTCACACCTGTAATCCCAGCTCTTTGCATTGAGGCCAAGGCAAGAGGATCACTTGAGCCTAGGAGTTCAAGACCAGCCTGGACAACATAGGGAGACCTCATTTCTATAAAAAAAATTAAAAAATTAGCCAGGTATAGTGGTACACACATGTAGTCTCAGCTACTCAAGAGGCTGAGGTGGGAGGATCCCTCTAGCCCAGGAGGTTGAGGCTGCAGTGAGCTGTGATTGTGCCACTGTACTTCCATCTGGGTGACAGAGACCCTGTCTCGCAAAAAGGAAAAATTATCATAAAAACAGTTTAATTTGCAAGTGACATGAATATATGATTGCAAATTGTGTATATACATAGATCCTATGTACCACATCTTTTCTCCTTTCACAGACTCTCAAATTATAAAATACAGTAAACTCAGTTGCCCTTCAACCATTTTGGACTTTGGGACTTTTTTCAAATGAATAATATATGTAAATCTCATGACATTATAATGAGAGGCAGAGCATACTAAATTGTAAGTTTCTAAGGGCAAACGGTTAGTGCTTTAATTTCCCAGTTTCAGTTGTTCCTACTGAGGGCCTGGCACGTGCCCAGTGGAGGTCAGTTGCCCATGAAAAGTACAATGAGCCCCCTGGGTTTTTGTGTGGTGTTTTGTTGTTTGTTTTGCTTTTTTTTTTTTTTTTTTTTTTTTTGAGACAGAGTCTTGCTCTGTTGCCCAGGCTGGAGTGCAATGGCATGATCTTGGCTCACTGCAACCTCTGCCTCCCAGGTTCAAGCGATTCTCCTGCCTCCCTCCCCAGTAACTGGGACTACAGGCGTGCACCACCACGCCAGGTATTTTTAGTAGAGACAGGGTCTCACCATATTGGCCAGGCTGGTCTTGAACTCCTGACCTTAGGTGATCTGCCCACCTCAGCCTCCTGAAATGCTGGGATTACAGGGGTGAGTCACTGCGCCCAGCCACCTCCTGGTTTTTTATTTCTAGCTTTCCTGAAAAGCTAGAGCCCATTCATTCAGGGCCTCAGTTGTTTTCTGGCAAACCAACACGAATTTTGGGGGCAAAACTTTGAGTCTAGTCCCTCTAAATGACATTTGCTAGAAAAAGGAAAACTTTGTTAAGTATAAGGAGAATCAATTCTAGATAACATCAAGGTAGAGTAAGATACGATGAATCTGTAATAAAAAATGAAGTAGAAAAAATCCAATACAGTTTTACAAAATCTGAGAGAATTTGTTGACATTGGGCACGAAGTGTATTTAATTATTATTCAAAGAGCTAGTGACTCTGTTCACAACTGCAATATGATATGAACATAAGTAACAAGATAGTATCAAAACTTAGAGGATTTTTAAGCCAATATTTTAAAGAAATATTTATTCAGGCATATTTTGACCCATATTTTATACATTCAAACAAGATTCATGAAATCATATGTACGAAGGTCACACTTAGATGACATTTACTTTTGCTTTTGAAATGGGGATCTCTCCTCCTTTAGGCAACATAGCTTGGTTCCCAGCAACATTTTTTCTTTCAAACCCATTCTCTTGGTTTAATTTTTTAAGTGTCTTTTGCCACTAGCTTTCAAATAAATTATTTAGCCCTCTGAAAATGTTTTAAACATGAATCCAGCCAAAGCTGATGTAAGTGAACCCAGAGGAATTGACAACACACAAAATGAAAGCTTTTGTCTTAAATGGGGCTATGAGAAAATGAGAAAAAAAAAAACTGATGGAAGAAGAACTTCAATTTTCAGTTGCCAAAGAGGAGAAATGAGTGCAAGACAAAAGTGGGACAAGACGACACCTTCCTAGACTTTTCATTCTCTATCCAGAAGCAATAATTAGAATATTCAGTGCCCATTGTAAATGGACAAGTTGCTAGCTTGCAAAAAGTTAATTGTTACATAGCAGAGTGCAAGGGTACTTTGTCAAAAACAGAAAGATTGCAACAGGCTACAGTAAATGTTTACTGGTACTTAGTTAACATGTAAGATTTAATTAAACAAAAAGTTATCAGCAGGCATAAATTTCACAAGGAAGTTTCATTTTGTGGCAAATGGCCAAGGATAGAGAAAAATTTAACTGCAATTTTCTCAAGTTCACAAAGCAAAAATGAAAATTTTTGTACTCTGACTCTTACCCTAAATAATTGTAGAAATGGGAACAGCTTTGAGCCAAAATGGCCAAATTAAAAACCATTCATGCCTAATCCGAGTGAGCTCCCACCTGAGTTTACAAAAATGCTCCCAGAGGATAAACAAGAAGTCTTACAAGTCTGTCTCACTGATGGTAAGGCACAAGGAAGATAGTAGGAAACACAACAGGGATAAGAGGAAACAGGGCAGAGCTGCTTCAAGGAAGCAAGCGTGGGCAAAGCAATCAGCTGAGATCTGTTTCCACAAGTAATGTTTATATCTTCATTAAATCAGAGACTCTAGCCAAGGAAATACCCCCAGGGACTATGAGCCAGGATTCTTGCTGATGCTTTAGCTTGTAATGAACTGCTAAAGAAATAAAGTTGGTACAGGAAGAGAACCAGGCTTATTTTCCTACCTACAGACCCCAGATTCCTAGTTCCAGAGTGGGAAGGGACCTTAGCATTCACAATCTTAATATTTTACCATTGAGAAAACTGAAACTCAGGAAGTTTTTTCCAAACTTCATCTCCCCTCAATGCCTCAGTCTAGGTACCTCCCAAATGCCCTCTGATTGCTACTGTTTGGACACAGTGCTGGAGCCCTCTTAGACTCTATATTTTTGGTCCGCAGAATCCTTAGAATAAAAGGTTACCGACAAGCTACCTACTCCCTTTTACACATGCCCACACACAAAAAAAAACACACACAGGACAAAGGCAAGAACAAATCTCTCACTGAAATAGCAGAATGACAAGCAGTTAGTACACATCATACATTGACAACGGGATGATGTGGAATTATTGCAAAAGGACAAGTTCAGAGATTGCTACTATCTAGAAATGTGAAAATGAAGTAAGACCGAGGAGAAAATAGGCAGACAAAATAATTATTTGTATTCACAGTGAAGAAACCTGCAAACACTATCTCAGCCAGATGATCAAAAGCCAGCATCAACAGTGGTAACTCATGGTGATAGTGTGTATCCTTGGTATAATGTGATGAAAATGGCACTTTACTCCATGGTCTTCCTTTCAAAACATGTAATCCCAGTCCTATCATGAGAAAACATTAGGTAAATTCCAACTGAGGAGCATTTTATAAACTACTTGACAGTACTCCTCAAAACTGCCATCAGAACTGAGGAAGTCTGATAAACTGTTACAACCAAGAGGAAGCTAAAGAGACACAGCAGGGAAATGCAATGTGGCGTCTTGGATGGGATCATTGAACAGAAAAAGAATATTAGATAAAAAACTAAGGAAATTGAAATAAAGTATGGACTTTAGTTAATACTAATGTATCAATATCGGTTCATTATTTGTAACAAACATGCCATAGTAATGTGAGATGTTAATAATAGGGGAACTTAGGTGCAGAGTATATAGGAATTTTCTGAGCTCTCTCTACAGTTTTTCTATAAATCTAAAACTGTTATGAAATAAAATGGTAATTTTAAAGAAAATTTTATTTACACAGTACACATGTTAGTGGTTTTGAAGTCATAGACACCGGCTTATAATTTAATTTCTGTTTATAAACCTTGTAACCCTTAATAACGCTTGGCTTTATTTTTCTCATCTCTAAAATGAGGCTGAAGCAGAGAGGTGGAGCAAGATGGTGGAATAGAAGGCACCACCGATCGTCTCCCCGACAAAGACACCAATTTAACAACTGTCTACACAGGGAAATCACTTGTGTAAGAACCAACTCTCAGGTTAGCCCTCATAGTAACAGGTTTTATCTTCATATCTCTGAAAGTGGCACCGAAGAGATAGAAAAACATCTTGAACAGCCAGTGCTACCCCTCCCCACTCCACAGCAGCAGCATGGTTCAGACAGCATTTCTCTCTGCAGGGAGAACAAGAACATAGTAATTCTGAGGCATTGAACTCAGTGCTTCCCTGTTTAACTGGACCAAACTCAGCTGCCTACCCATGAAGGGAGTATTTAAACCAGCCCTAGCCAGAGGGGAATCGCTGATTCCCGCAGTCTGAACTTGAATTCCCACAAACCTCACTCCCAAGGACTAAACTGCTCTGGGTCTCTAAGTAAACTGAAAAGGCAGTCTTGGCCATGAGGACTGCAACTCTTAGGCAAGTCCTAGTGCTGAACTGGGCCCAGAGACAGTGGACCTGGGGTGTGGAAGGCACATGACATACTGAGACACCAGCTGGGGTGGCTAAGGGAGTGGCGTCACCCCTCCCCTACCCCGGGCTGCACGGCTTGTGGCTCCAAAAGAGACTCCTTCCTTCTGCTTGAGGAGAGGAGAAAGAGGAGTGAGGACTTTGTCTTGCATCTTGGATATCAGCTCAGCAACAGGATAGGGAACCAGTCGGAGTTGTGAGGCCCCCATTTCAGATCCTAGTTCCTAGATAACATTTCTAGACACACCCTAGCCCAGAAGAGAATCTGCAGCCCGCCCAGAAGAGGATCTGCAGCCCTGAAGGGAAGGACCCAGTCTTGGCAGCATTTATCAACTGCTAACTGAAGAGCCCTTGGGGGCTAAATAACAAGCAGTGATACCCAAGTTCTACGTCAAGTGTCTTGAGTGAGCCTCTGAGACTTGCTGGCTTCAGGTGAGACTCAGCGGTTTATCAGCTTTGGTGGCTACAGGGTGAAACTCCTTCTGCTTGAGAAAAGCAGAGAGAAAAGTAAAGGGGAGTTTATCTTGCACCTTAGGTACCAGCACAGCCACAGTGAGGGAGAGCACCAAGGAGGCTCCTGGGGACCTCGATTCCAGGGCTTAACTTGGATGGCATCTCTGCACCTACCCTGGGCCAGAAGGAAGCCCGTTGCCCTGAAGGGTGAGTCCCAGGCCAGGCAGCATTCACCACAAGCTGACATAAGAGCCCTTAGGCCTTAAGGGACTATCAGTGATAGTCTGGCCGTACTACTACTCATGGCCTATGGTGGTGTACTTGGGATGAGGCCCCTCTGCCTTTAAAAAAAGGAGGGAAGAATGGGAAGGACTATGTATTGCGATTTGAGTGCAGCTTAGCTGCAGTACAATAGAATAGCAGCTAGACTCCTAAGGTTTTTGATTCTAGTCCCGGAGTCCTGGTTGGCACCTCTGGACCCACCCAGGTTCTGGGGGAACCCACTGCTCTGAAGGGAAGGACACAGTCCTGGCTGGGTTGCCACCTGCTGATTATAGAGCCACTGGACCTTAAGCAAACATAGGCAGTTGCTAGGGAGTGGTTACAGTAGGCTTTGGGCAAGACCCAGTGCTGTGCTGGCACTAGGTCTGACGACTTCAGGGTCAGACTAGTGGTGGTGGCAACAGGAGTGCTTGTGTCACTTTTCCCCAAGCTTTAGGTGGCTCAGAACAGAGAGGCTTCATTTGTTTGGGAGAAAGTAAGGGAAGAGAAAAAGAGTCTCTGCCTGGTAATCCAGAAAATTCTCTTGGATCCAGTCCAAGACTGTCAAGGCAGTACTTCCACAAGTCTTCAAGAACCACAGTATTACTAGGTTTGGGGACCCCTCTAAAGCAGATACAGCTTAGATCACAACACCTAAGTCCTTTCAAATACCTGGAAAGTCTTCCCAAGAAAAATGAGTACAAACAAGCCTAGACAGTGCCAACTACAATAAATATCTAATTATTCAATGCCTAGACACCAAAGAACAACTATTAGCATCAACAACATCCAGTAAAACATGACTTCACCAAACGAACTAAATAAGCTGCCATGGACCAATCCTGGAGAAACAGAGATATGTGACCTTTCAGACACAGAATTCAAAATATCTGTGTTGAAGAACCTCAAAGAAATTCAAGATAACACAGAGAAGGAATCCAGAATTCTATCAGACAAATATAAGAAACAGATTGAAATAATTAAAGGGAATCAAGCAGAAATTCTGGAGTTGAGAAATGCAGATGGCACACTTTAGAATGCATAAGAGTCTTTTTATAGCAGAATTCATCAAGCAGAAGAAAGAATTAGCAAGCTTGAGGACAGGCTATTTGAAAGTAGAGGAGACAAAAGAAAAAATAGCCTCAAGAGGGAAAATCTGAGACTTTTTTTTTTTTTTTTTTTTTGGAGATGGAGTCTTGCTCTGTCACCCAGGCTGGAGTGCAGTGGCATGATCTTGGCTCACTGCAAGCTCTGCCTCCCTGGTTCACGCCATTCTCCTGCCTCAGCCATCCGAGTAGCTGGGACTACAGGCGCCTGCCACCATGCCTGGCTAATTTTTTGTATTTTTAGTAAAGATGGGGTTTCACCATGTTAGCCTGGATGGTCTTGATCTCCTGACCTTGTGATCCTCTCACCTCGGCCTCCCAAAGTGCTGGGATTACAGGTGTGAGCCACCACACCGGGCTTTTTTTTTTTTTTTTTTTTTTGAGATGGAGTCTGGCTCTGTCACCTAGTCTGGAGTGCAGTGGCATGATCTCAGCTCACTGCAACCTCCACCTCCCAGGTTTAAGTTTCCTGCCTCAGCCTCCCAAGTAGCTGGGATTACAGGTGTGCACCACCCGCCCAGCTAATTTTTGTATTTTCAGTAGAGACGGTGTTTCACCATGTTGGTCAGGCTGGTCTCGAACTCCTGACCTCAAGTGATCTGCCCACCTCGTGAAAATCTATGACTTACTGGCCTTATAGAGGAGGTAAGGGAAGAGATAGGTGTAGAAAATTTATTCAAAGGAATAATAACAGAGAACTTCTCAAACCTAAGAGAAGAGAAATGAATAACACACAATGTAGCTCCAATATGTCTGGCAGCAGACCTTTCAGTGGAAAGCTTATGGGCCAGGAGAGAGTAGCATGGCATATTTAAAGTGCTGAAGGAGAAGAAAGTTTACCCTAGAATAGTATATCTGGCAAAAATGTCCTTCAAACATGAAGTAGAAATAAAGACTTTCCTAGACAAACAAAAGCTGAAGGACTTCATCAACACCAGACCTGTCCTACAAGAAATGCTTAAGTGGGGAGTACTTCAATCAGAAAGAAAAGGATGTTAATCTGCAATAAGTAATCACCTGAAGGTAGAAAACTCACTGGCAATGGTAAGTACTACCCAAAGCAATCTGTAGATTCAATGCAATCTCTACCAAAAAACCAATGACATTCTTCACAGAAATAAAGAAAACAATTCTAAAATTTATATTGAACCTAAGAAGACCTGGAATAGCCAAAGCGGTCCTAAGCAAAAAGAACAAAACTGAAATAATCACATTATCTGACTTCACATTATACTACAGAGCTATAGTAACCCAAACAGCATGGTACTGGCATAAAAACAGACACATAGACCAGTGCAACAGAATAGAGAGCCCAGAAATAATCCCACGGTGAACTCATTTCCCACAGTGAACTCATTTTTTACAACGATGCCAAGAACATATACTGAAGAAAAGACATTAATAAATGGTGCTAGGAAAACTGAAGATCCACATGGAGAAGAATGAAACTAGCCCTTTATCTCTTGCCATATACAAAAATCAAATCAAAATGTACTGAAGACTTAAATATAAGACCTTAACCTATGAAACTACTACAAGAAAACATTGGGGGAAAATCTCCAGGATATCGGTCTGTGCAAAAATTTCTTGAGTAATACCCCACAAGCACAGGCAACCAAAGCAAAAATGGACAAATGGGATCACATCAAGTTAAAAAGCTTCTGCTCAGCAAAGGAAAGAATCAACAAAGTGAAGAGACAACCCACAGAATGGGAGAAAATATCTGCAAACTATCCATCTGACAAGGAATTAATAACCAGACTATATAAGGAGCTCAGACAACTGTATAGGAAGAAATCTAATAATCTGATCAAAAAATGGGCAAAAGATTTGAATAGACATTTCTCAAAAGAAGACATACAAATAGTAAACTTGCATATGAAAAGGGGCTCAACATCACTGATCATCAGAGAAATGCAAATCAAAGCTACAGTGAGATATCACCTCACCCCAATTAAAATGTTAAAATGGCTTACGTCCAAAAGGCCATAACAAATGCTGTCAAGGATGTGGAGAAAAGGGAACCCTTGTACACTGTTGGTGGGAATGTAAATTAGTACAACCACTGTGGAAAACAGTTTACAGCCTCCTCAAAGAAGTAAAAATAGAGCTATCATTTGATCCAGCAATTCCACTGCTGGTTATATAACCAAAAGAAAGGAAATGCATATTTTGAAAAGCTATCTGCACTCCCATGTTTGTTACAGCATTGTTCACAATAGCTAAGATTTGGAAGCAACCTCAGAGTCCATTAACAGATGAATGGATAAAGACAATGTGGTGTAACATAATTGGAAGTAAAACACTCCTCAGCAAATGCAAAAGAACAGAAATCACAACAAACTGTCTCTCAGACCACAGTGCAATCAAATTAGAACTCAGGATTAAGAAACTCACTCAAAACCACACAACTACGTGGAAACTGAACAACTTGCTCCTGAATAACTACTGGGTAAATAACGAAATGAAGGCAGAAATAAAGGTGTTCTTTGAAACCAATGGGAACAAAGACACAATGTACCAGAATCTCTGGGACACATTTAAAGCAGTATGTAGACGGAAATTCATAGCACTAAATGCCCACAAGAGAAAGCACGAAAGATCTAAAATCGATACCCTAACATTACAATTAAAAGAACTAGAGAAGAAAGAGCAAACAAATTCAAAAGCTAGCAGAAGACAAGAAATAACTAAGATCAGAGCAGAACTGAAGGAGATAGAGACACGAAAAACCCTTCAAAAAAAATCAACGAATCCAGGAGCTTGCTTTTTGAGAAGATCAACAAAATAGACCGCAGGCCAGACTAATAAAGAAGAAAAGAGAGAAGAATCAAATAGAAACAATAAAAAATGATAAAGGGGTTATCACCACTGATCCCACAGAAATACAAACTCCTATCAGAGAATACTATAAACATCTCTATGCAAATAAACTCGAAAATCTAGAAGAAATGGATAAATTCCTGGACACATACACCCTCCCAAGTCTAAACCAGGAAGAAGTCGAATCCCTGAATAGGCCAATAACAGTAATTAATAGCCTACCAACCAAAAAAAGTTCAGGACCAGATGGATTCACAGCTGAATTCTACTAGAGGTTCAAAGAGGAGCTGGTACCATTCCTTCTGAAACTATTCCAAAGTATAGAAAAAGAGGGAATCCTCCCTAACTCATTTTATGAGGCCAGCATCATCCTGATACCAAAACCTGGCAGAGACACAACAAAAAAAGAAAATTTCAGGCCAATATCTCTGATAAACATTGATGTGAAAATCCTCAATGACATACTGGCAAACGGAATCCAGCAGCACATAAAAAGCTTATCCGCCATATTAAGTTAGCTTCATCCCTGGGATGCAAGGCTGGTTCAACATGTGCAAATCAATAAACGTAATCCATCACATAAACGGAGCCAACAACAAAAACCACATGATTATCTCAATAGATGCAGAGAAGGCTTTCACCAAAGTCAACACCCTTTTATGCTAAAAACTTTCAATTAACCAAGTATCGATGGAATGTATCAAAATAATAAGAGCTATTTATGACAAACCCACTGCCAATATCATACTGAATGGGCAAAAACTGGAAGCGTTCCCTTTGAAAACCAGCACAAGACAAGGATGCCCTCTCTCACCACTCCTATTCAACATAGTATTGAAAGTTCTGGCCAGGGCAGTCAGGCAAGAGAAAGAAATAACATGTATTCAAATAGGAAGAGAGGAAGTCAAATTGTCTCTCTTTGCTGATGACATGATTGTATATTTAGAAAACCCCACCAAGTCAGCCCAAAATGTTCTTAAGCTAATAAACAACTTCAGCAAAGTCTCAGGGTAAAAATCTCAGCAAAGTCTCAGGGTACAAAATCAATGTGTAAAAATCACAAGCATTCCTATACACCAATAACAGACAGAGAGCCAAATCATGAGTGAACTCCCATTCACAATTACTACAAAGAGAATAAAATACCTAGGAATTCAACTTACAAGGGATGTGAAGGACCTCTTCAAGGAGAACTACACAAACCACTGCTCAAGGAAATAAGAGAGGACACATATAAATGGAAAAACATTTCATGCTCATGGACAGGAAGAATCAATATCGTGAAAATGGCCATACTGCCCAAAGTAATTTATAGATTCAATGCTATCCCCCTCAAGCTACCATTGACTTTCTTCACAGAATTGAAAAAAACTACTTTAAACTTCATATGGAACCAAAAAAGAGCCCACATAGCCAAGGCAATTCTAAGCAAAAAGAACAAAGCTGAAGGCATCAGGCTACCTGACTTCAAACTATACTACAAGGCGACAGTAACCAAAACAGCATGGTACTGGTACCAAAACAGATATATACACAAATAGAACAGAACAGCGACCTCAGAAAGAACACCACACATCTACAACCATCTGATCTTTGACAAACCTGGCAAAAACAAGAAATGGGGAAACGATTCCCTATTTAATAAATGGTGTTGGGAAAACTGGCTAGCCATATGCAGAAAACTGAAACTGGACCCTTTCCTTACACCTTATACAAAAATTAACTCAAGATGCATTAAACACTTAAACGTAAGACCTAAAACCATAAAAACCCTAGAAGAAAACCTAGGCAATACCATTCAGGGCATAGGCATGGGCGAAGACTTCATGTCTAAAACACCAAAAGCAATGGCAACGAAAGCCAAAATTGACAAATGGGATCTAATTAAAATAAAGAGCTTCTGCACAGCAAAAGAAACTATCATCAGAGTGAACAGGCAACCTACAGAATGGGAAAAAAATTTTTGTAATCTATCCATCTGACAAAGGGCTAATATCCAGAATCTACAAAGAACTTAAACAAATTTACAAGAAAAAAACAAACAACCCCATCAAAAAGTGGGTGAAGGATATGAACAGACACTTCTAAAAAGAAGACATTTATGCAGCCAACAAGCATATGAAAAAAGCTCATCATCACTTGTCATTAGAGAAATGAAAATCAAAACCACAATGAGATACCATCTCATGCCAGTTAGAATGGCGATCATTAAAAAGTCAGGAAACAACAGATGCTGGAGAGGGTGTGGAGAAATAGGAACGCTTTTACACTGTTATTGGGAGTGTCAATTAGTTCAACCGTTGTGGAAGACAGTGTGGCGATTCCTCAAGGATCTAGAACTAGAAATACCATTTGACCCAGCAATCCCATTACTGGGTGTATACCCAAAGGATTATAAATCATTCTACTATAAAGACACATGCACACATATATCATTCTATTATAAAGACACATGCACATGTATGTTTATTGTGGCACTATTTACAATAGCAAAGACTTGGAACCAACTCAAATGTCCATCAATGATAGACTGGATAAAGAAAATGTGGCACATATACACCATGGAAGGCTATGCAGCCATAAAAAAGGATGAGTTCATGGCCTTTGCAGGGACATGGATGAAGCTGGAAACCATCACTCTCAGCAAACTAACACAAGAACAGAAAACCAAACACTACATGTTCTCACTCATAAGTGGGAGCTGAACAATGAGAACACATGGACACAGAGAGGGAAACATCACACACTGGGGCCTATTGGGGGGTGGGGGGCTAGGGAAGGGACAGCACTAGGAGAAATACCTAATGTAGGTGACGGGTTGATGGGTGCAGCAAACCACCATGGCACGTGTATACCTATGTAACAAAACTGCATGTTCTGCACATGTACTTCAGAACTTAAAGTATAATAATAATAAAAGAAAATGTGGTATATATACACAATGGAGTACCATTCAGCCATAAAAATGAATGAGATCCTTTCATTTGCAACAACATGAATGGAACTGGAGGTCATTATGTTAAGTGAAATAGGCCAGGCAGAGAAAGAAAAACTTCTCATGTTCTCACTTATTTGTGAAAGCTAAAAATTAAAACAATTGAACTCATGGGGATAGAGAGTAGAAGGATTGTTACCAGAGGCTGGTGAGGGTGGTAGGGGGCTGTGCTAGAGGTGGGGGTGGTTAATGGGTACAAAAACACACTTAGAAAGAATGAATAAGACCTAATATTTCATAGCACAACAGAGTGACTATAGTCAATAGTAACTATATACTTTTAAATAACTAAAAGACTGTAATTGAATTGTTTGTAACACCAAGGATAAATGCTTGAGGGGATGGATGTCCCATTCTCTATGATTTGATTATTTCATATTGCATGCCTTATCATCTCATGTACCCCATAAATATATATACCTACTATGTCCTCACAAAAATGAAAAATTAACATTAAATTGCAGAAGGAAAAAATGGGGCTAATCAGACCTGCCTCAAAGTGTTGTAGAAACTGAAGGGAATATGAATGTTACCCCCAAAATATGCCACTTTGGCATAAAAATTACTTTTAGCTGAAGGCAGTTGCAAAACAGCAGATGTGGGAAGACCTCTCTTCCCTCCCCCTTTTTGCCTAAAAGCAAAGCATAGATTTCCATTTGTTAAGGTATCCCCCCCGTACCATACCAGGGAGAGGAGCCTGACTCTTGGCACCAAAATGAATCTGCATAACAAGCCCTACTAAGCAATCCTTATATGCCATACATTTCCTCATCGCCTCCCGAAAATTCACTGTGCCTAGGAGTCTTAATCCTCTTTTCCTTTATCTAGTTCCTTCACAAATTGTTATTTGTTAGGATGATATACAAGCCCCTGTGTCTTTGAACATCTTGTGCGTGTAAAACTGTTAATAAAAGTTGTATGCCTTTGCTCCTGTTAATCTGTCTTTTGTCAGTTCAATTCATAGTTCCCAGCCACACATCCCAAAAGGGTAGAAGGAGAGTTTTTCCTCCCCTACAAAACCAACTGAGATAATTTAAACTGTATTTAACATTGTAGCTCAGAGCATAGGAAACTTCAAATTTTTTCCTATTTGTTATACTATGACAGTTACATTTTTTAGTATTCAGTTTCCTCATCTGTAATCTAGAGGCAATAATATCATCTTTATCTCAGAGATGTTACAAGCAGCAGATGAGACAACACTGATGTAGAATGCCCACCACAATTCAGGACACAGGAGCCATTATTGTTAATAGTCCCTGCCACACCACTGATCCTTAAAGTCGTTCCCCTGGACTCCCAGGTAATGGCAGTTAATGTGATCAGGGCCAGGGAAACTGAATCAACTTAGCCAAATATTCAAGAGATTCTCTCACAAAGCGGGCTGAGGCATTAACTGTTATATTTTTGCGGGGAATATAACAGTTCAAGAGATTGTGTCTGGCTGTGAGGCTGGTTCCTCCTAGTTGAAATATCCTCATGAAAAACCAACTCAGGCTCAGAGCCTGCTCAAGAAGGACCAAGATGGAGTGCAGGAATGTTCGGGTCTCCATGGAATGTGTAGCTACTTTTGGTATTTTATGTCCCTGGCCCACTGTTGTAACCACCCAATGGGTTCACCTTGCCCACTACCTAGACAGAGCCGGTTTATCAAGACAGAGAAATTGCTATAGAGAAAGAGTAATTCACTCAGAGCCCGCTGTGTGGGAGACAAGAGTTTTACTTTTATTCAAATTAGTATCCCCGAGCATTCAGAGAGTTTTTATGGACAACTTGGTGGGTAGAGAGAAGCCAGTGAGCCAGGAGTGCTAATTGGTTAGGTAGGAGATGAAATCATGGGAAGTTGAAGCTGTCCTCTTGCACTGAGTCCGTTCCTGGGTATGGGCCACAAGATCAGATGAGCCACTTTATCAATCTGGGTGGTGCCAGCTGATCCATCAAGTGCAAGGTCTGCAAAATATCTGAAACACTGATAGGAGCAGTTTAAGGAGGGTCAGAATCCTGTAGCCTCCAGCTGCCTGACTCCTAAACCATAATTTCTAATCTTGTGGCTAATTTGTTAGTCCTACAAAGGCAGTCTAGTCCCCAGGCAAGAAGGAGGTTTGTTTTGGAAAAGGGCTGTTATCATCTCTGTTTAAACTATAAACTAAGTTCCTCCCAAAGTTAGTTCAGCCTACACCCAGGAAGGAACAAGGACAGCTTAAAGTTAGAACCAAGATGGAGTTGGTTAGATCTCTTTCATAATCTCAGTCATAATTTTGCAGAGGTGGTTTCACTGTTGTGAACTGAATTGAGTCAACCCAAAATTCATATGCTGAAGTCCTGATTCCTCAGTGCCTCAGAATGGAATTGTATTTGCAGATCAGTTAAGTTTAAATGAAGTATTAGAGTAGGACTTAATCCAATATGACTGGTGTCCTTTTAAAAGGAAGAGACTAGAACACAGATGTTTGCAGAAGAAAGACCACATGAAGATACAAGGAGAAGGCAGCCATCTGCAAGCCAAAGATGGAGGCCTCAGAAGAAACCAGCCCTGCCAATATCTTCATCCTGGCCTTCCAGCCTCCAGAACTTAAAACAATTTCTGTTGTTTAAGCCACTTAGACTGATAGCCTGAGCAGACTAATACATCTGCTATAGAGAAACACCTAGGGAGCCTGGCTCAAATTCTTCCTACTCTCTCACTCTCCTTATCAATCCTGCTTCTCAGATTAGAATTACAGTGCATACTGAGACATGTGACAATTCATCTGTATAAATAATCTTTTCATATAAACTTAATTGTATAAACAGAAATGTATTTGTATAAATAAATTTATTTATAGAAATATAAACCGGTAGATAATGTGAATCCCTTAATGTGAAATTAAGAAAATACTCTAGTAAGGAGTTTGCCAAAGTAGGTTTGTCTACAAAAATTAATTATCTGGTAACATATATTTGGAAAATACTGTATACCATAGGTCTTGTTAGAACCTCACAGTGTACATGAGCATATTAAAGGTTTTGAGAAGTACTGCAATAAACAAATGTGTTTGAGCAATATTTAACCCAGCATTTGAGAAAATATTTGACCATGGAACTCTTTCTTTCAGGAAGGTTTCTAGTGACAATTCACTTTGATAAATGTTCTGATCTAAACTGCCTCCCACTTACCAATCATCACGTCAATGTGTTATTTCCTCAGAAGTCAGTTAATGTCATCCTTTTTTTATTCTGATGATATTTGTTTTTCAGAGGGTGACATTTATTGGCTGCCTTCCCAGATTCTGAAACTTCTAGGCTTTTATTCCTAAACTATAGAAAAATAAAATTCTCTTAGTAAGGCAAGGAGAAAGGAAAAACAGAAGTTAGTATAATTAACTTGTCTCATCATCAAAACGGAAGCTAGTGTCATTATTTTGTCACATCATTTAACTATAAAAGTTTCAACAGAAGCCAAGAAAATATAAGAAGCTCCCACTTGATGAAATATACTTTGGGAAAGGCCATCTTTTTTGAGGCTCTCTTAGAACCTCTGATTGTAGCTGGTATTTTTAAGAGCCCAGGTAAATAAGATAACTAGAGCCCAGGTAAATAGAGAAGTGTGCCTTTCCTCCCCATAGTAAGGGGTACGCCAACATTCTATAAAGACAGGTTAATGAGAGAGATGCAAAACTAATTTATTTAATCAATATTGTATGTGACACAGGAGCCTTGAGAAATACAAATACCCAAAGACCCAGGGAAAACTGCATTTTTAAGCTTAGATTCAATGA
The DNA here is from genome assembly GCF_000001405.40 of Homo sapiens. Lineage (NCBI taxonomy): Eukaryota > Metazoa > Chordata > Mammalia > Primates > Hominidae > Homo > Homo sapiens. Next base: position 160,125,924 of record NC_000003.12, read on the forward strand.
AGAATGGATAGCCATGTAGAAATGTGATTGGACAGAAGGTTATAATCTAATGGCAATAGACTGAGGGGGAAACCCAGAAGGTTATGATCTAATGGTAGTAGACTGAGGAGGAAACCAAGCAAGGCTTGTCTGTTCAGATTCTTCTTGGCCTGTCTGTGTAGCGTTTCTTCCCTCCTGGGTATGGGGCAGGATCCCTCTGGAATAAGAATCTTCAAGGGAGAAGGAGGAGAGTGACCTTTCTAGGTTTTATGGCTTGTGTGTGGGGAGAGGAATTCTAGTTTCTATGATCAGCCCTCGGGAAGAGGAACTCTAGAGTCTATGACTTAATTCAGGGAAGAATGAGGCGTGGGAGACAGGAGAGTAGGCGAAGGTCAGAGAAACCTTGCTTCTTAGTCTTTGCAATCTCCTTCAGTTCAAAGTACTCAGCATGCCAAGGTGCCATATTTTGAGGCACTGTGTTCTGAGCCCTGATAGAATCTATCTGTTACTCATATGACTGCTGAAGGGGCCTTTCTGGAAATTAACATTTATTCTATCTCTAGCCATCTACAATTTGGCTTTTATCTTGATTTTAAGAGAAAAGATAGCTCAATGAGTTAAAAGCTATTGTTATTTATAATTGATTTTTGTCTTGCTCCTTGGCCAAGAGATCGATAGAACAATTAGAATTATTATTTTGTCTTTTCTTCACCTTCATGTCTCTTAAGATCCTGATTGTCATTTTAGATTCTTCACTGTGGGAGACTACGGCTTTTGAAGAGTCAGCCAACCAGCTTGAGAGTGAATATAATCACCCATTTTCTAAAATGAGTAAGTGAGGATGTAACTTACAAACCTGCTAGATTCCTCTGTTGAATTGCAAATAAAACTAGAGAAGCTGCCCAGAATCTCAGAATTGAAAAATGAAATGATGATTATCCCATTTTTCTATTAACAGAAGAGGAGACTTGGGACCAGCCTCCGCTGTGTGGTACCGAGCAAGAGCAGCTGCAGACATGCAGAGCTGGTTTTCAACTCAGGCGAGGCAGTGTATCAGCTGTGTAACCCTAGCAATTCCTTCAACCCCTCTGCAGCTGTCTCTCCCCCTGCAAAATGTAACAATTGCTGCTGTGCCCCCTTACGGGATGCTGAAAAAAGTTAAGTAAGATCAAATGAGTTTGTATCTGGAAAACATCATGATGGGAGGTTGAACTTGGTGGTATAAGGGTAGAAAATTGTGATATCTTTCCTTCCCATAGAAGGCGGACAGCTAACACTCTTAAAGCACAAGACAGGTTAACAAAAGAAAAGCATAACAAATCTATTTAATCAAAGTTGTGTGTGACACAAGAGCCTTCAGAAGTGAAGGTCTAAAGATCCAGGGGAAACTGTTTTTATGTTTAGGTTGGATAAAGAACGGATAGCCATGTAGAACTGTGATTGGACAGGTTATGATCTAATGGTAATAGACTGAAGGGGAAACCCCGCAAGACCTGTCTGTTCAGGTTCTTCTTGGTCTCTCTGCATAGCATTCCTTTCCTGTCCAGTAGAGGTTAGGACACCTGTTACATGAAGGTCCTCAAGAGAGAAGGGACAAAGTTACCTTTCTAGGTTTTATGACTTGCTTTGCGGAAGAAGACTTTTAGTTTCTATGACCCAACTTGGTGAAGAAGAATTCTGGTTTCTATGACTCACTTTGCAGAGGGTAGTGGGGAAGACAGGAGAATGGGAGGAGATCAAGATGTTGAAGAGATCTTGTTTCTGAGGCATGCATGAACTCCTGGGCTCAAGTGATCCTCCTGCCTCAGCCTCCCAAGTAGCTGGCACTATAGGTGTGCCACCATGCCCAGCTAATTAAAACAATTTTTAAAAATTTTTTTGTCTGTGTTGCTTAGCCTGGTCTCAAACTCCTGGCCTCAAGCAATCCTACTGCCTCAGCCTCCCAAAATGCTGGGATATAGGTGTGAGCTACCATACCTGGCCCATTTCACTGTTCTTGATCTATAAATGTCTGTTCTTCAGGTTATAATGTATGCCTGATTCAATCCTTCACTGATCAATGAATAAAATATTTAACATGTATTTATCTATCTATCTATCTATCTATATATATATGAATGACAGTGATAATTTTAATTTTCACAGAGGGTAAGTAAGACCCTGCCTGTTTCCTTCCAAATTTCTTCATGGTCCAAGTATCTTTATGTAATCACAGAAGACTGAGGGAATAATGACACCATTTCAGGATTTAAAAAATAATTGTGAAACATTCCTTGAAGAGACCTTCCTCCACATAAAGACAGCAGCATCAGCTGCTCAACAGACACCCCTTGGTGAACAAGATAGAGGCTCTCCAGGCAAGTCACAAGCAAGACTGCAACTGCAGTCAGGTTCTGTGGTCAGCCACAGAGGGACCTAAGGCAGCAGCAGTGGCTCAAGGAGAGCTGCATCTACAGCTGAAGCTGAAGGATTCTGATGGACATCAGACCTAGCTATGGACAGAGGGGTAACCTGAAGAACTGAGGAATGCATGAGTCTGAGCCAAGGGGGCCTCAAGCCTACAGATCTTTCTTGTCATTATTAATGGCATCCACATTCTTTGAATATCCTCCTTAAGGCAGATGTGGGGCTGAGGGGAATTAAGAATTAGGTTACTGTGTACTATATTCAAGAAGTTCTTATTGTCAACTTAAATAAAGACAGAGAAAATTATGTCTGAATATGTTGCGTTTACTCAGGATTATAATCTGGAATGCACAGAATGGCAAGCCACCAGCCTGTTTGGTGAGAGAAGGATAAGGGGAGATTTTACTAGCAAAAAGAGATTGACATAAGCTGCTTAGAACAGAGTTCATTGATTCCAGAGTTTCAAAGCCAGAGTAGTTGTCAGTTATTGGTGGAGATTCCACTACTGGGCAAGCGTTCTTCTGAGAACATCTTGTCTGAATTACTGCCAATTCTAAAGCATGTCTAATGATAAGCTTTATCAAAGCAGGTGTAAAAGGGCTTCTAGAAAGTCCTTGGACTTTTTTTTTTTTTTTTGATGGAGTTTTGCTCTTGTCCCCCAGGCTGGAGTGCAATGGCGCAATCTCAGCTCACTGCAACCTCCACCTCCCGGGTTCAAGCGATTCTCCTGCCTCAGCCTCCTGAGTAGCTGTGATTACAGGCACATGCCATCACACCCAGCTAATTTTTGTATTTCTCGTAGGGACGGAGTTTCACCATGTTGGCCAGGTTAGTCTCGAACTCCTGACCTCAGGTGATCTACCCACCTCGACCTCCCAAAGTACTAGGATTACAGGCATGAGCCACTGTGCTGGCCGAAAGTCCTTGGACTTTCTTATCTCAAACATGTAAGCATGGACCTCCTCTCTTTCAGGTTTTTCTGGCCCTATTTTGTCTGGGTCTGACAAACGTGATTTCATCTTGCTATCTGCAAATTTCACATCATGATCCTAGTAATCATTATATAAGAATTTGGGTTACCAGGTTATGTAGGAAAGTAAATACGTTATTAAAATGCCCTCCTGAGCTGTCCATTTATTTAAATCATCCCCCATGAAACATCCCTGCCCAAACACACTAGTACCCATGCCAGCTATCAATCAAAGATCTGGGGTCAGTCTCTCATCGGCTGTCAGATACTGTAAATGTACCTGCCACTTTCAGATGATATTCACGACTACAAAGACTACTATGCAATCAATTGCAAAGTGAAATTGCAAGTCTCATAAAAGATGTGGTTCATGAAGCAATGAGTGTGACATTGGAGAATTATTTGAATCACATACAAAGCCGCAACAGACAGGAAGAAATAATTAGCAACAGGGGAAGAGGAAACTGACCAGACAGATTTGGCAGACATCACAGTTGACTCATTCAGTATCTCCCAACTTTGCTTGCCTTACTCTGCTTTAAAGGCTGGAAAAGTTGAAATAGCCTCTTTCCCTGTCTTCCCTGCAGCCAGCAGGAACTAGATTGCTCAGATTCAAATCTGGCTTTTTCTCTTACGAGCTGTGTGACCTTGAGCAAGTCATTTAACCTCTCTTTACCTCAGTTTTCTCATCTGTAAAATGTAACTGCCTCATAGAGTTGTTCTGAGGATTAGATGAGTTAGTATATGTAGAGCTCTAAGAACAGTTCCTGGCACACAGCAAGTCCACAGTAATTGTGACCAGGAGTCTAACAGATGTAGAAGTCGGGTTGCACACGTGCGCAACTCTTGTGGTGGAAGTGAGGAGCCATGGTTGACATTCCCTCAGACTGCATATTTTGGAGGAGGGCTAGTTCCCTGTAGGACACTCTGGATGCTGGGTGGGCCAAAACCTAGAGGTCCAAAAGTTCTCTGAGATCACCAGGGACAGCTCAGGGTGATTGTCATATGTCATGTCTTTAGTCACCAGTGGCCCAAGGAGAAGATACATAACTGTTGAATTCCAGAGTCATCACCACTGCTATCTTGCAAGGCTAGTTCACATCCAACCAAGTTTGGAAGTGTTTTTCTTCCTACCCTGATATTCCCCTTACATTTTCTTATGCTTACTTTTCTCAGCCCTCTATCTATTCACATACAATTATGATAAACACTCCTTTTCCCCTCCATAATGTTAATCTGTCACTATTTGGAATGCATAATCTTTTTTTTTTTTTTTTGTCAGAGTCTCACTCTATCTTCCAGGCTAGAGTGCAGTGGTGTGATCTCGGATCACTGCAACCTCCACCTCCTGGGTTCAAGCAATTCTCCTGCCTCAGCTCCCCGAGTAGCTGGGACTACAGGCGCGTGCCACCACACCCGGCTAATTTTTTATAATTTTAGTAGAGATGGGGTTTCACCATAGTGACCAGGCTGGTCTCAAACTCCTGACCTCGTGATCTGCCCGCCTCGGCTTCCCAAAGTGCTGGGATTACAGGCGTGAGCCACTGCAGCTGGCCCGGAATGCAGAATCTCGCCAACACTTGGTTGACAATACATTATAATTATCAAAATAATTAAGCTCCATTTCAGTCCTATTTATCAAGTTTCTACTATTCATATAACTCATACCTTTCTCCCTTAATAATTTTTCTTAGGAAGCCCCTCAATTTCTTTCAGGTTTCTGGTTTCTGTTTCCCTAGGAGTGCCTCAATTTTCCTGCTTCCTTCCCTGGACCCTTCAGGGACTTAGCGGGGCTTTTGTTCCCTGAGTGCAGCCTGGCTGAGTATCCTTGTCTGATTTCTTGACTACTCTTGATCCCTTGGCTATTTAGTTTTCCTCTTGAGCGTGGTGGTGAGTAATCACACTCAAGACTCTAGCAAAAGCAGTGCCAAGAACTAATAGAAGGCCCCTTGAGCATAAGATTACAATTTCAAACTAAAGAAATGTTTCTAATCATGTCCTACCTTTCCCAACTCCCTCCATGTCATTTGTAATCATTCATCCTAAAAAAATACAATAAAATCTGATTATAGAATTCTTGAACTTAAAGCAGATTCTGAGCCGGGGGCAGTGGCTCACGCCTGTAATCCCAGTACTTTGGAAGGCCAAGGCGGGCAAATCACTTGAGGTCAGGAGTTCGAAACCAGACTGGCCAAGATAGTGAAACCCCAGCTCTACTGAAAATACAAAAATTAGCCAGGCATGGTTGCAGGCACCTGTAATTCCAGCTACTCTGGAGGCCGAGACATGAGAATTGCCTGAACCCAGGATGGGGGTGGTGGGGTGGAGGCTGCAGTGAGCTGAGATTGTGCCACTGCACTCCAGCCTGGACAACAGAGTAAGACTGTCTCAAAAAAAAAAAAAAAAAGCAGATTCCTAGTAACACAAGTTTGTAAAGCTTCCATTTTGTGTAAATTCCCAGCTTGAAGAGAATATGTGTGCAACCCATGTGTGAAATCAATAAAATAGCATTTAATTTCATTAATAGGCAAGCCAATTTAACGTATATATGTGGCAAGAATGGTGACGAGTAACTCGTGATATATGCAGAACTTGAAATGACAGTGTTAGTAGCCATCAAGTCGGCAAAGCAGCATGAACAGGTAAGGCACACTGGCGATTTGGAGAAGGGACTTCTCAGTTGCTGCTTCATGTCGTCATGGATATTTTGACAATATTGTTCAATTTGCATTATTTGATTAAACATTCAGAACATAATTTTAATTTATTAATAAAGTATTATGGGCCAATTTAAAGAACAATCACTATCATAGAGAGCAGAAAATCTTTTTTTTCTTAGAAGATGTCTCCATAGTTAATCTTAAATCATTTACGCTTTCACTACTATGAATAGTAGCAAATAAGGACTGTCAAAACCAGGCTGGTTTTCTTCCTTGAAGCCATCTAGTATCAGCCACTCTTAGATGGACTTTACTCGTAGGCAAGTGGGAAATCCCTTCTAGGTTTAAACTAGTTCTTCTGCCCATGTGCCTGTTGTGGCAAATCTCTATCAGCTCCACTGGGAAAGGCACCAGTTTCAAGAGGCCAAAGAGGCCCAGAGCCAGCAAATGAGGCATGGACTTTTACTGGGAGCTTACATACAGGGCAGAGAGTCCGGTGACGGTGAGCTGGGCAGAAGAACCCAACTGCTTGCAAAAGGCATGCAGTTTATATAGCGTTTTCACTTAGCATTCCTTCCCTAACAATCTCCATCTGGCAACCTTCATTCAAGCCAAAGCTCAGGGCCTTGATCCCCTGTAGGGCCCATGTTCCATGGGATGGGCTGCAGGCCCAGATGCTCCTCATGGACAAGGAACAAATCTCCAGGTTGGCCACTCCAGGATTGCCTAGCTGGGAACATACACTCCGGTGCACCTGCCCTACAGGGTCATTATCACGATATGCTTAAGTTACTGCTACCATGTGTGTTTACCATACAGCACCCTATGGCATGACTCTTCACCTTGAAAAAGAAGACTCAAGCAGGGAGCTGAAATTACTGTATTACCCTTGATAGAGGAAAAGCTCTTCTGTCTCTGGGAATTGAGCTTCTAGATTCAGGAGTAATGTCCATGGAGCTATGAAGCAGCAAAATGCCCATCACCGGCACCCTCAACTTTTCTTCCATCTCGGCTGCTCCTCTCCCCCAGACAGCCAAATAAGGCCATATCAATGACTGCCATTGGTGTGCCGGGCACAAGCTAGGCACTTCATATGCATTAACTCATTTAATTCTCTCTAACAACTACATAAGGCAGGTATGGGTGAGATGCTTATTCTACAGATGAGAAAACTGAGGCTTAGTGAATTTATGTAATTAACTCAACATACATGGCCAGTAAGATGCAGAGCTCGGATTCTGAACCTGGCACTCTGACTCCAGATCTGAACCCTACTCCATAACACAGAAATCCCTGGAGTTGGCAATTCCTTGGTTAAAATGACCCTCATCTTCACTTAATATAACACAGGCATTACCTTGGATTCAGCGTCCCCCCTGTAACCCCAACAGGGTGGCGTGAACTCTGGAGCACTGGGCAGGGAACTTCAGCCCCTCGGGAGGGAGGGGAGCTGGTCAAGGGAAGGAAGGCACATGTTTCCACAAAGGCTTTCCTGGCTATCTGAGTCCCCATAGAGGGGATGGCCCAAACCCTCCTGGATAAAGCCAGATCCCAGAGGGGATTTGTTTTCCTAGTGACACTGCAGGAAGAAAGTGTTTCAGATTTAAGATCTCAGTCCTGGCCTGGTGTGGTGGCTCAAACCTGTAATCCTAGCACTTTGGGAGGCCAAGGCAGGTGGATTACCTGAGCTTCGAGTTCAAGACCAGCCTAGGCATCATGGTGAAATCCCGTCTCTAATTTTTTTTTTAATTTAAAAAAAAGGGTGGGGAAAGGTCTCAGTCCTTAGGAGCATGTCTGTTTCTCACTCTTTGTAGAAGCTACAGGCTTTTTGTCATAAAGATCTGTGTTAGCGGCATCATCAAGTGACTCTTGTGAAGTCCAGCTCCAGGCCAAAATCCTATGGGTGATTTTTCAGGCCTGTCTATGAGCAATGACAAGGCTTAGCCTGGCAGGCCTCATGGGGAGGCTGCCCCCTGGCTGCCCGCGCTGTTATGCATCACTGATTCCTAGCCCAGGTGCCTCCATTTGGACAGCTCCTTATCAAGGAACTTCCAAACCACTTTTCTCTACTGTGACTCAGCACTTCTCCATTCTGAGCCCTTACCTGCCATGCCCCTTATCCCACACCACTCCCAACTCATCCATAAAACTGCCAGAGCTTTTTATGAATGAGTGGGGGTGAGATGATCCTCCATTCCTTTACATCCATGCTGATCTACCTGAGCCTCCACTGATATACTGTTCCACGGGGAAGATGGAACACAGGGGAGTCGGCACTTTCTCCGGTCTTAGCTCTTGCTTATACAATCGCAGTAAGTGACTAAGGGCTTGACTGTGACTCTCATTTTTGGCTTGTTTCTTTCATTGGCTACTCTAACTCCTGGCAGCTCAACGGAGCCCCTGACAACTCCAGTCTGTAAAGAGGACAGACTGCCCCAAACACATTGGCCTGTGCCATCCCTTTCCTCTGGTCAGTCTTCTTACCCACAGCTAGTGCTCTTTCCTCTCCTCTCTGCTACATAAGAAAGCTCTACATGAACCTCTTTCTTTATCATCTCTGTGACTCTCAGGACAGTAAGTGTGGCTCTCTCAGTGTCCAGATATTGCTACTGCTCAGCTTTCACACCTGCAATTCATAAGAATAACTCTCAGTGGGTGGTGACCAACGTCCCTGCATCTTACCTGGGAGGAATCACATAGGCAGTGTCCTCCTACTGGGCGAGTGTGTCACCTGCAAATAGCAAGGGCCACTTACGATGAGTCACAGCGTTAAGGGATGACTAGCTGGGAGGTGCCTGACCTTTCCTGAGTTAGGGTGCCTTAGATTAGAACTTTGGGGACAGTGGCCAGGCACACAGAAGCTCATACCTGTAACCCCAGCACTTTGGGAGGCCAAGGTGGGAGGCTCATTTGAGCCCATGAGTTTTAGACCAGCCTGGACACTATACTGAGACCCTGTCTCTACAAAAAATAAAAATAAAAAATTAGCCAGGCATGGTGGCACATGTTATAGTCCCAGCTACTTGGAAGGCTGAGGCAGGAGGCCCACTTGAGCCCAGGAAGTCAAGATTCCAGTGAGCTGTGACTGGCCCCTGCACTCCAGCCTGGACAACAGAGTGAGACCTCCATCTCTAAAAAAATAAATAAATAAAAAATAAAGAACTTTGGAGAGAGAGAAGCTCTGTGGGTTTGGCATTATGCAATTCAATTCAACCTTACGCAAGACCACTACAGCAGAAACAGTTGTAAACGACTCAGACTCAGACTCATTGTAGAGAAAATGTCCACTTCCCTGACAAGACCATGAATTCCTCAAGGACAGGAACCCTGACTGTGTTTCACTTTTGTGTTCCCAGTGTTGGGTATAACTCAATAAATGTATGCTGACTATATGAAGCAAACTATAAAGATATGTTACAGGCACATTGAAGAAGTGGGTCTTCTGGAATGTTGGCGCATAGCAACTTAATTTTGCCTGCCACTGTTCCTTTAAAATTTCACTGGTACTCCTTCTCCCCATGCCCTGCATAAAAGGTCAGGTGGGTCTCACAACTTCTTTGTTCACTTCTTAAGTCACAAATCCCCTCTCACATCAATACTGTTCTTAATATATCTGGTCAGGATCAAATTAAACACTCCAACTGTGACTTAAAGTTGAAACTGTCCCTCTTGGGTCTGTGCCCACCCAGACTCACTGCTGACAGGAAACCTCAATTTGGGGAAAGCCTGTGCTGGTCTCTCTGGCCCCTGCCTTGCTGATTTCTGGCCCTGCCCTTTTGCTGCAGTAGCTTCTGATCTCTCCAGGGTCAGAGGGTCACAGAAAAGTTCTGAATTGACTTGTTCTGTCATCTTCTGGCTCCAAGCTTTCTAGGTCTGGTAGGTGTTTAAAGTGCAGGCTTCCTCCTGTAGGTATTTTGTGGATTCTTTGGAGAGCTCTGCCCACCCCCATCCTACTCCCCAAAACAAGAACATAGGTTATCCAGCTGGCAGCTACCATGCTGCAGGTGAATTCATCTCTATTCTGCTGGCACCTGACTTCGGATACTAGCCTCTAGGAATCCAGCCAGACCTTCACATCCTCTCAGCTCTGTTTGCCCCCAGCTCTCTCTCATGCTGTGACCTACATTTGGAGAACACAAAACATGTGTTCACAAAGTCTGTGAGTGCCATCTGGTCCTATCCGGGCCCCACTCCTTTGCCCACAACCAAAGCTGTTGGCCAGCCCACCCTTCAACATTTAGTTTCACTTCTCAGACCAAAGTTAACCCCAGACTGCCATGACCAGCTGTAGGAGACCCCTCTGCCCCCATCTCGCTCCCCCAAGGTTTTCTTGAAGCCCCTTTCATTGGGTTTGAGATGGGAGGAGTCCTTGCTCTTTGTTGGGGATCAGACTCTTAATGCACCAACAACGCTTTCCAAAAATCCCCTTCACCAACTCTCTGTCCCTACTCTCATCAATGTTTTATGTGCCCTTGACATAGGTGAAGAGTTCGGGAGTCTGTAAGCACTTTTTTGCTAAGTCTTCTGGAAGCTTGCGTGTTGGAATGTGGTACCTGTTATATCTCTGGTGGCTCAGCAGTTATACATATATCTAAAGGGACTGAAGCATAAATGCTATCAACCTTAACATAAAACTAATTTGCCTGCTCAGTGAGGTGAGGACTGCGTGAAGAGTTGTCATGACAGAATGCCTCCAGATGACTCACATGTGTGTCCTGACAGCTTCGAGGGTAAAAAGGGGGCCCCACAAACATGAGATCAAGCTTTTTGTAGATGAAGCATCTACATAGAAGAAGAAGGGTTTCCTCCTAGAGGAGTCTCTAATGGCCAAGGCTCAGTGAGAACAACTGGAATGAAGTGACAGGCCCTACCCTGCAGCCTTGTGTAGCCATGGTCACAGAGAACTTGGGGCCTGCTAAAATAGCCTTTCCCAACAGCCCTGAGGTTTATATTGCCCTTAGTGAATGGAAGTTACAAGTCCAAGATAAGGTCTTCTGGGAAGGTCAGGGGGTTAGAGGGAGCTTGTGGATAGCAGGGGCTGGCTTTAGGAACATCAGGGGCCAGCTATCCCTCTGCCTGTGGCAAAAAAAAAAAAAAAAAAAAAAAAAAAAAAAAAACATAAATGGCTCTTATGGAATTCTGCTGGACTCACAGTATAGGTGGCATGCTAGGATGGGTGACCAACAGACTTGGTTGACATTTGTAGGCAAGACACAAACATTTGGGTTGTGACAGTGGTTTGGGACAATGGGACAATGCCAGGTCATAATGCCTGGTGGAGCTTTATTTAGACGATCGCCCCATTACAAGATGGAAAACACAATGGGATTTAGGACCAGAAGTAATATCCCCCCAGACCATTGGGCAGTGGAAGTCATTGCTGCTTAGAATTTCTTGCTCTCCAGCACTACATATAATAGGTCAGGATTCTGAAAACAAAAACCCACGGGAAGATTTAGGGCCAGGCTTTTACCAGAGTCCCTGCCCCTCCTCCAGGCTTAGGAAGTGGGTGAGACCATTGAGAAGGAAACCAGAAGGCTCTCTTTATTTCTGGGGCCTAAGACATAAAAAGCCTGCTCTTGGATTCTTCCTACCTGAGCCACAAATCAAAGACACCACCCCGGAGTTCCCCAATCAAAAACCTCCCATAATCCTTTGATAAACTCTTTGACTTTAAAAGTTCACCAAAAAAGCCTCACTAGCTTTCATAGTATCTTTACTTTTTCAGGTAAAATCCCACCCAGCTATCAAACCCTCTCCTCCCCCTCTTCTGGGGAGAAACCAGGAAGGAAGGATCCAGCTGCTAGCACTTCTGAGCCCAAAGGCAACCAGCCTTTCTTTTCCCCATCTTAACAGATAGTATGGGTCCCAAGACCTTATTTGTGAAGATTAAGAAAAAGGGGAGCAAGAAGAGCAAAAATTTCAAAAGAACTAGAATAAGAAGTCCAAGAACTGATGGAGGTGAAGGTTCAGGCTGGGGAAACGCTGAAGACCCAGGAGTTCAAGATAGATTAGGCATGGAACAAATGGCATGGATGTCAGGAGGTTTCAGAGGAGCGTTTAGGATTTGCAGCTCAAGTTGCCAACCAAGGCTCCGGTTAAAAGACCCAGCTTCCCCACAGGTTAGGGCTAAGACAATGGGTGAAAGAGTTTAGACTAATGCATTATCCTGCCAAGCTAAATTCTGTGACTCTGCTGAGTTGCTGTATATGATATCCAGAGATTCTTTACCCCAAGTATACTGACTTGTATGACTCACCCAGAAGCAAGAACAGGACTGTGGAATGACATGAGGTCCCAGCAAGCAGTGTAGAGTTGACACTCGTCTGTTTGAATGGAGGGTAACTGGGAGGCTTTTACATGGGAGAAGGCCTTAGATTATTGTATGTCCAACTGAGACTTCTCAGCAAACTAACACAGGAACAGAAAACCAAACACTGCATATTCTTACTCATAAATGGGAGTTGAACAATGACAGCACATGGACACAGGGAGGGGAACATCACACAGTGGGGCCTGTCGGGGGGTGGGGGACAAGGGAAGGGAGAGCATTAGGACAAATACCTAATGCATGTGGGGCTTAAACCTAGATGATGGGTTGATAGGTACAGCAAACCACCGTGGCACATGTATACCTATGTAACAAACCTGCACATTCTGCACATGTATCCCGGAACTTAAAGTAAAATTAAAAAAAAAAAAAAAGACATTCATTTAGCTATTAGCTATCATGGGAGAATGAAGGAGCCATATTTTTTTTTTCTTTTGCCGTAACATAAACCCTACATAAAAACAGATGATTAAATGACATGGGAGAGACTGGGTGCCGTGGCTAACGCCTGAAAATGCCAACACTTTGGGAGGCCAAGGCAGGCGGATCACTTGAGGCCAGGAGTTTGAGACCAGCCTGGCCAGCATGGCGAAATCTTGTCTCTACTAAAAATATTTTCAAAGTTAGAGCCAGGCATGGTGGCAGGCACCTGTAATCCCAGCTACTTGGGACAGTGAGGCAGGAGAATCGCTTGAACCCAGGAGGTGGAGGCTGCAGTGAGCCAAGATCACGCCACTGCACTCCAGCCTTGGCGACAGAGCAAGACTCTGTCTCAAAAACAACAAAAAAAAAAATATGGGTGTGATAGTGTAATTCCGTAAGGATTTAATTTCAGATTAAAATTCAAGTTTACCAATGTTTAAACTAGAATTTATTTGTTCAAGTATATTCCCAATTAAAATTACAAATTTTCTCCTACATTATGATGTATTTTTAAAATTTCCCCCTCATTTTGCCAAAAGCTTCCAGCCATTTGAAATGTAATGATTACTCCTTAGATTGTTTATTTTCTTAGCATGTTCTTCACAAACCTAACCTACTTGTTAGGAGGGAAAAGGAAGCTCTGAATTACCTTTCTTGTTGGGGATCTGTAATTCACAATAATCTGACAACTAATTTATTTCATGATGTAAATATTCTTAAATTTAACTTATCGTGTGTGTGTGTGCGTGCATGTGTGTGTATGTGTGTGTGTGTTCATCACGAGACTTGGCATCCCTTGGGGTTTGAATTGCAAATTTAGAGCACTTTTAGCAGTGTGTTAAGAATTCTCAGCAAGCCAATTCTTGTAGGATATTGAGCTCCTTTCATTCAAATGAAAAATGAATCCAATGCCCTTTAATGGAATTTATATTCAATAAGTCAACAAATGGAAGAAAGAATCTACCAGTGAACACATTCAGGTAACAGAATTAAGCTAATTTACCTCAACTTGATACTATTTTTTCCTCCTAGAACACAGTGTACATTATAGAAAATTCTAAAATTTCCTTTAATCTTCACAGTTCTTTCCAATTTTGTCTGTGCCTGAAAACACAGATACCCCCGAATTATTGTGTTACCAAATGTTATTTTACTTTCTTAAATTAGAAGAGACCTTAATGGAAGAAACTCGCTATTTACCATTAACCCCTAGCCACCAGAGTATACCTTTCTGCATCTGTGCAGAGCTCGGTCATCAAGGCCAATTTGTTGGTCAAGGTGACTCACGACAGTCTCTATGGACTAAAATAGTTACTTTTTCCAATAAATGATGTTTCAGGGTTTAAATGAACTTCTATAAAACATACAAGGTCAAATAATAAAATTTAGATAAACCACTACACAAAAAAAATTTGTTTAAACAAGCCATTTACCCTTCCTCTGTACAGTGGAGCCATATGCAATGACATGGACTTATGTGGATGTTCCACCCCCACAGAGGCACTCTTGCTGAAGTTCCAAATTGTAGAGCTTTAAAATGGATTCAGTTTTTGAAAATTACATTAAATACTGAGTAAAGACATCGCCTACCAAATATGTTCACAACTAAATATATTTAAAAATGCATTTTGGCAGGGCATGTTGGCTCACGCCTGTAATCCCAACACTTTGGGAGGCCAAGGCAGGCGATCACCTGAGGTCAGGAGTGTAAGATCAACCTGGCCAGCATGGTGAAACCCAGCCTCTCCTAAAAATACAAAAATTTAACAGGTGTGGTGTGGTGGTGTGCACCTGTAGTCCCAGCTACTCAGGAGGCTGAGGCACGAGAATCACTTGAACCCAGGTGTAGGTAGCAGTGAGCCAAGATTGCACCACTGCACTCCAGCCTGGGTGACAGAATGACAGACTTCGTCTCAAAGAAAAATAAAAATAAAAATGCCTTTTTGTTCAAATGATCATTCTTCCCAGGTTTCCCTTGACAAATGTCATAGCCTTGATAATCTGGCTTTACTACAAAGCAACATCAATAACAGCAACCAAAATTATAGAAGTGCTTAAGCCTCAGGCAAGCAAGAGTCAGGCCTGAGTTTTCTTCAAGTCTTCCCTCTAGGATAATGCATCAACCAATTAGCATTTTTTGTTAGGTTTAGGGGTTTGAAGGAAGTGGGTGTATCGCCCACTCAGCCACATAAAGTGCCATTTTCATTGGTGATGTAGGGTGGTGCAGGGTTCTGCCATTGGCCTTGATGAGATAAACACCAGCTTTTGTGAGGTTTTGGTGAGATAAGTCACTTCATCTGTTCTAGATTTGACTGAAGGCTGACTCATGTGTCTCAGTCCATAGACTGATTGACTTATAAACAACAGAAATTTATTTCTCACAGTTCTGGAGGCTGGGCAGTACAAGCTCAGGGCACCTTCACATTTGGTATCTGCTGAGGGACTGCTTTCGGATCCACACATGGTGCAATGGTTAATAATGAGTGTCAAATTGATTGGATTGAAGGATACAAAGTATTGATCCTGGGTGTGTCTGTGAGGGTGTTGCCAAAGGAGATTAACATTTGAGTCAGTGGACTGGGAAAGGCAGACCCACCCTTAATCTGGGAAGGCACAATCTAATCAGCTGCCAGCACAGCTAGAATATAAGCAGGCAGAAAAGTGTGAAAAGAGAGACCGGCCTAGCTTCCCAGCCTACATCTTTCTCCTGTGCTGGATGCTTCCTGCCCTCGAACATTGGACTCCAAGTTCTTCAGTTTTGAGACTCGGACTGGCTCTCCTTGCTCCTCGGCCTGCAGAGAGCCTACTGTGGGACTTTGTGATCATGTAAGTTAATACTTAATAAACTCCCCTTTATAAATATACAGTTATTTCCCTCTAGAGAACCCTGACTAATACACATGGCATCGTCTTTCTGTGTCCTTACATGATCAAAGGGGCAAGGCAGCTTTCTGGGGCCTCTTTAATAAGGGTACTAATCCCATTCATGAGGAATCTGCTCTCATGACCTAACCACCTCCCAAAGACTCCCATGCTGACGTACAAAGCCATGGCTCATTTATTAACTTCCAGAGAGAAAGGAACTGTTGGGTAATTCAGATAATATGCCAGCTTGAACAGCCCCTTCTTCCCCAAAGGCAAGCAGGGGAAGCCAGTTTAACTGGTGATTATCTGGTTAGCATGATTTCAGGGCGACAGATGAGAGTTATATGAATTGGGGGCTTGGTCCCAGAAGATTTTGGTAGCCACTGGACCATTTCTACAATAGTCATTCCTACCCTGCACGCTGGCTGGGCACCCCCTTCCCTAAATGACATTTGAATGGCACCAGCAACATTTGCTTCAGGGACTGTCCCTTTTCTAATTTCCCTGGCTGACCAACCCCCTCTTCATGATGGTTTCCTTCTTTAGATACTTTAGTACATTCAATCAAGTTACCAGCAGTTGGGCTACCTGGGAGCCACTCTATCTCTTTAAGATGACTTTGCATATCTCTGCTCTGAGCCCTTTCAGGTTCAGAGGATCATTTATTTTCTTTTTTTCTGAAAGTGGCAGGGGAGCAGCACTTAGCTCATGGTTGCCTTCACTTAAAACCTATACGTAACAACAAGGGAAAGTAGAGAAAAACCCCTGGGGATTGTGTATTCTCAGGAAGGTGGGTTATTCCAGGTGGGAGAGCCTTCAAAGTTAGATAGACATTAACCTTGTAGAGATGAGATAGAAGTCATGCCAGATGGTAGGTGGTAGTAGGGGATGCTAGGTGGGGGTCTTGGGGTGGCAATGGAGATACTATTTGGGCAAAGGTAAGGACAGATGCATACCTACTTTCTCTGATAGTTTGTAGGGCTGGGACCCTATCTTTTTTCTCAAAGATATCTCCAGCACCTAGAAGTGTCTGACACACAGTAGTTACTCAATAAACATGAGAGAAGAACAGAGATTAAAGAAAACAATTTATTTAGAGTAAAGGATTAATCCTAGAATTTTATGTTGGGAAATCCTGAATCAATGGAAAGAATAATAGAAGATCTGAGTTGTATGATCCTGTGTGTGACTTGGAGCCCAGCTAACCTCTTTGAGCTCAGTTTCCTCACGTGTAAAACAAGGAGGATAATCCTTATTGTATTCACTTCACAGGATTACAGTGAAAGGCAAGAATAATAGTGAGTGGGAAAGCTGCCCTGTGAAAGAACTGTACTCAAAAAAGGTAGTTGCAGTAAGGATAAATAACCAAGCTCCTCTGCCGGTCCACGGAAAAGCCACTATGGAGGAGAATGTGGGTCTGTCTCATCTGTTATGCAAGATCATGGGGGAAGCCTATCAATGGGACTGCCAGGGGCTGGAGAAGGAAGAGGGATGGTCATCAAAGGTTGGCAGACTCACCAAAATTAGGACAGCAAGCAGAGCTGAAAGGCAAATGAAAAGCTCAGTACAATAAAACGAAAAGGACATTTCAAACAGGGCAATGAAAGGAAGGCATTAAAAACAAGCCCGGAATATTAGAGCCATAAAGAGGAGACCAAAAACAGTGTCCTAAATATATGCACATGCCCAGAAAAGAATGACTGCCCATGAATACTTAAAAACAAACAAAGAGGCTTACGGAGATATAATTCACATACAATGCAACCATTTGAAGTGTACAATTCAATTCAATGGCTTTTATTGTAGTCGCAGTTAGGCATCCATCAGCACGACCCATTTTAGAATATTTCATTAGCCCAAGAAGATAACCCACACCCCATGGCTACCATTCCTCAATCTCTCCACCCCACTGTCAACCCTAGGCAACCATTAGCCTACTTTCTATGTCTATAGATTTGCCAATCTTAGCTATTTCATATAATTGAATCATATGCTATGTGGCCTTTTTTATTTTTCTTCTTTCACTTAACATAATGTTTTCAAGGTTCATCCAATGTTGCAGCACATATCAGTACTTCATTTCTTTTTATTAGTGAATAATATTCCATTTCATGGACATACCACATTTTGTTTACCCACTCATCAGTTGGTGAACAGAATTTTACACCCAGCTGAATTATCATTAAGAGTGAGGACACACATGTGTAACAAACCTGCATGTTGTACACATGTACCCTAAAACTTAAAGTATAATAATAATAAAATAAAAAAAAACTAGGAAAAAAAAAGAGTGAGGACACGATGAATTCTTTTATTTACCGCATGCTGGTATTTTCAGTCCTGTTAAGATATGCCTAAGGCTTATGCTGAAGAGAAAGACTGAAATTGTAATAAATTGTAATTGCTTGTTAGCCACGTTTCATTCATTTCACATTTGAGTATGAAAAAACAGCCCATGTTATTCACTTTAAAAGAGCAATGCCTCTTCTTCCTCAAAGGGGCAATGTGCCACAGAGCAAATACTCACTTGGGAAGTGCAATGAACTACTTAAGAGTGGAGTGCTGTTTTCATTGATGGCCATGAAAAAATTGAATGTCTACCTAACTCTACTTAAAAGAAAACTATGGGCCACTAGAAAGTCCATGCAGTGAGAGACCCTTCCTTTCATTTACACACCATTAACAGAGCTGTGATATGAGCTATTTTTCCTGTTGTAAGAGTTGCAATGAGTCCTCATCTGATGCCCTTGACTCTGAGTGTGACCTGAGCCACCAAAGCCAGGGCTTCTCTGGGACAGAAGTTCTGGAGCTTCCATTGCATAAAACTCACAGATTCATCCTGGCATTTAACCTCTCACTATTTCCTCACTAGCAGCATGCTAGACCCAGACTGCAGGCAATAACTGTGGTTATGCCAGAGGGTTCTAGAGGAGGGAGCCCCAATCAATGGTGGGTGCCCTGGTCAATGAGATGAGGGAGGTTGTATGTGGCCTGCTCAAGAAGAGGACCACAGTCAGTGGAACTGCTTCAGCCTTCCCCAGATGTGAAAGTGACCTAGAAGCAAATGAGTAAACCTATCAAGGCATTTTTCTTGCAGATGATGCTCACCTTTGGCTGCAAATTAGTCACACATGTTCATTTCTGGCCTTCAGCCTGGGATCCTCCCTTAGTTCTGTAAGATTTTCTCTTTCAGGGGGGTTCATTCCTGGTTCATTCCTGTAATTCCAGCACTTTGGGAGGCTGAGGTGGGAGGATCACTCAAGGCCAGGAGTTCAAGAACAGCCTTGGCAACATAGCGAGACCACCTCTCTACAAAAAATAAAAAATTAGCCAGGCATGGTGGTGTACACCTGTAGTCCCAGCTACTCGGGAGGCTGAAGTGGGAGGATGACTTTAGCCTAGCAGTTTGAGGCTGCAGTGAGGTATGGTCACGCCACTGCATTCCAGCCTGGGTGACAGAGCAAGACCCTGTCTCTAAAAGTAAAAATTTAAAAAGAATATTTTCTCTTTCAAAGGCAGAGCATATAGGGCCTCTACACAGATTTTCTTGTCTGAGTTGTGTGCTTTTTGTAGTTTGTAGTTTTCTGAGTTTATAAGTAGCACATTCCATGATAATTTGAAGGAGAAGAAAGCAAAGCAAAAAGTATGAAGAAGAAAATAACAGTAACTTTCCACTTGGATGTAATCACAGCATCTGCCCTGTTTTCTCATTTTGGAAGACCCTGTTTTACAGATTTGGATTTCCTGGACTTGTGCATCATGGCTTCTCTCTTCTCTGTGTCATTTTTGCCTCTATTCAACTCTGGGAAAATGTCTGATTTGTCTTCTTGCCCTAATTTAGCATCAGCTGTGTCTCCACTGACTATCTCCACTGCATTTCCAGCCATGATATTGTGTCTTTCACATGTACCTTAGTTAGTTCAGGCTGCTATAACAGGATACCATAGACTGAATAGCACTTAAGTAATAGGAATTTATTGCTCACAGTTCTGGAGTACAGCAGAGATCAGGGTGCCAGCAGGGTCAGGTTCTGATGAGGGTCCTCTTCTGGGTTGCAGACTGCCATCTTCTCATTATGTCCTCACATTGCAGAAAGAGGGTGAGAGAGCTCTCTGAGGTCCTTCATATACAGACACTAATCCCATTCATGCAAGCTCCAATCTCATGACCTGGTCACCTCCCAAAGGCCCCACTTCCTACTTCTGTCACATTGAGGGGATTAGGATTTCAACATAAGGATTTTGGGAGACACATTCAATCCATTGCAACAGGTAAACAATTTTCCTGCCCCAATCATTCCCCGTGTCCTGTCTGCCTGCTCCTGTGTCTTGGGTGCAATGTGCCCCTGACTTCCTAGAGGATACGAATTAGAGCTGGCTTAAGGCTTCCTAATGGTCTTGAAGTAATACTTTCAGAGGGGAACATTGTTGTTCTGATTTTTCAGGTTAGGCCCCTCTTGTGTCTTAAAAAATATCTATTAATGGCCAGGCGCGGTGGCTCACGCCTGTAATCCCAGCCCTTTTGGGAGGCCGAGGCGGGTGGATCACGAGGTCAGGAGATTGAAACCATCCTGGCTAACGTGGTGAAACCCCATCTCTACTAAAAATACAAAAAATTAGCTGGGCGTGGGTAGTGCTGGGTGTCTGTAGTCCCAGCTACTCGGGAGGCTGAGGCAGGAGAATGGCGTGAACCTGGGAGGTGGAGCTTGCAGTGAGCCAAGATTGCGCCACTGCACTCCAGCCTGGGCGAAAGTTCGAGGCTCCGTCTCAAAAATAAATAAATAAATAAATAAATAAATAAAAATTTAAAAATAAAAATATCTATTAATGTGTCCAGTGGTTTTTCTCCATATAAAGGATCAGTCTCTATGTGTCCAACGCTGGAAGGTGAGATAGATTCTAGCAACAACTGTGAGTATCCCTGATCAAATCCCACAGGCCTGTTGACATAAACGGTTTTAGATTTTCTCTAATCCTGCTTTTCCAGATTAGAGTTCTTGTTTCAAGAGGGAAGTAGAGGCCTGGCAACTGGAGGAAGCTTTCAAGATGTTTCTTTTTTGAGTTTCCTTTGTAGCCCAAGGTTCATGGGGCGTCTTACCCTTCCTCAGCCATGACCGCCCTGGTTAGGAACCTGCTTCTTATTTGGAGATGCTTTCTGCTCCTGCTGGGAGCTGGGAGTGAGTGTCACGGAGGGCTTCTCCCTGTGCCAGGCTCTGACACTGATGGGACTGAGATTTAACACCTTGCCTTGAGTCCTCCTGTCACTCACTTTGACTTCCCCATGGATGCTCATCCCTCCACCTTCTCTTCCTCCAAGATAAGAGGTCTTGTGGGGGTGGGGCCTGCTTGGGCTACTTTCCTCTAATTCTTAAGTTACAGTTAGGGCATTACTTCGAAATTATGAATTTAAATGGGTTATATGATTTATTCATTGCCTTTAAGGATAAAAGAATATTACAAAATATTTGTTTTCTATTTTTAAATTTTTTTAAATTATAAATTCAGGGGGTACATGTGCAGGTTTGTTACACTAGTGTACTGAATAATGCTGGAGTTTGAGCTTCCATTGAACCCATCACTCAAATAGTGAACATCGTACCCAATAGGTAGTTTTTCAACCCTTTTCTCCCTCCCTTCCTCCCTCCCTCTGTCTCCCCTTTTGGAGTTCCCGGTGTCCATTGCTCCCATCTTTATGTCCAAGTGTACTCATTGTTTAGCTCCCACTTATAAGTGAGAATATACAGTATTTGATTTTCTGTTTCTGTATTAATTCACTTAGGATAATGGTCTCAGGTTGCTTCCATATTGCTGCAAAGGACATGATTTCATTCTTTTTTACGGTTGCATAGTATTCCAGAGTGTATATATACCATATTTTATGCTTTCTTGCTTTCTTCCTTTCTTCCTTCTCTCTTTTCTTCCTTCCTTTCTTTCTTTCTCTCTCTTTCTTTCTCTCTTTCTTTCTTTCTCTCTCTCTTTCTTTCTTTCTTGTCTCTCCCACTGTCATCCAGCCTGATGTGATCATAGGTCACTACAGCCTTGACATCTTGGGCTCAAGTCATCCTCCCACCCCAGTCTGCCAAGTAGCTGGAACTACAGGAATACAACATCATGCCCAGCTAATTTTTAATTTTTTTATACAGACAGGGGGTCTCACTATGTTGCCCAGGCTGGTCCTGAACTCCTGACCTCAAGCCCTTCTCCTGCCTCAGATATTTTCTTTATCCAAGCTACCATTGATGGACACTTAAGTTGATTCCCTGAATGCTATTGCGAATAGTGCTGCAATAAACATTCAAGTACAGATGTCTTACTGATAAAATGATTTACTTTCCTTTGGGTAGATACCCAGTAGTGAGATTGCTGGATCGTGTGGTAGTTCTATTTTTAGTTCTTTGAGAAATCTCCATACTGTTTTCCACAGGGGCTAAACGAACTTACATTCCCACCAACAGTGTATAAGTGTTCCCTTTTCACCATATTCTCACCAACATCTGTTATTTTTTTACCTTTTCATAATAGCCATTCTGACTGATGTGAGATGATATCTCATTGTGTTTTTTAATTGGCATTTTTCTGATGTTAGTGGAGCATTTTTTCATGCTTATTGGCCACTTGTATGTCTTCTCTTGAGAAGTATCTGTTCATGTCCTTTGCCTACTTTTTAATGAGGTTATTTTTTCCTTGTTGATTTGTTTAAGTTCCTTATAGGTTCTGGATATTAGTCCTTCATTGAATGCATTTTTTTTAAAAAAGAGGGAATAAAACGGAAGACCTATCTTGATAGTTGTTGTGCTGAACCCCTATTAACCTTAATAGAGAAGGCAACAGATTCTAGAGGCCAATGAAGAGACCCAGATCCAGCAAACAAGACATAGGGTTTTATTAATACTAGGGGCTTACATACAAAGCAGAGAGTCCAGTGGCGGTGGGTTAGGCAAGATATCCACCTTCCTACAGTCCAAGGGCCATGGGCTGGACAAAATAACCTCATGGCCCAGTGGTGATGGACTGGGCAGGAAAACTGCAACCACCTACAGACATCATGCAGTTGATATCACCTTTCCACTTAACGCTCTCCCCTAATGACCTCTGCCTGATAGCCCTCATTTAATCCAAAACTCAGAGCCTCAATGCCCTGTATGGCCCATGTTCTACAGGATGTGTCAGGGACTCAGATGTTCCTCATAGACAAGGAGCGAGTCTCTGAGTTGGCCACTCCCGGATTCAGGTGCATCTGCCATACAGGGTCATTCTAAGGGTATGCTTAAATTATTGCTGTCTGATGTATTTATCCTACAATAAGACGAGGTCTAAAGCAAATATGAAACTCCTGTCCTCCACTGTCCTGTACTTCCTGACCTGGGTGGCCATGCAGTGAGATCTAAGCAAGGTAGAGGGATCTGAGAAAGCCTTGTTTTCTCTTGATAAAGCATGCCATATGTGGCTTACCTGCCTTTTCCCCTCTTGTCACCTGGACTGCTGATGTATGGCTGGCATGCAGCTTGTGACCATGGTGGGAGGAGCCTAAGGGTGAAGGCAACATCACAAGATGGCAGATGGAAAGAGAAAGCACCTGCGTGCCCATGTGACATCTTGGGCCTGAACCAAGACAAAGAACCATCTACTTCTGGATATTTGATGATGTCAAAGGGAAATTGTTTAAGCTATTGTAAATTGGGTTTTCTGCTATGAGCTTCTGAACACATATCTAACAGATAATTTACTAATCTTTTGCCTACACTGAATCACCTGCAATTGACACCCCAAAGATTTTGCAGCATCCTGAATCAGTAGTGATGTGAGGATCACTACTCTAGAAAACTCTGGAAATAATTCCTCCAGTGTGCACTACTAAGCTTGGTGGAACTGCCCATATTATCTCCAAAACATTCTGTTCTGAATGCTTATTCAACTTTATGAATAAATCACGATCTGGTGATTATTGCACTTTGACACCTCTTTAGGTGCCTTCTTAGGAAGAGAGTTGGACAGTACTTATATGGCACAGAATCCTAAATTGCTAAGCCCAAAACTTTCTATAGAACACCATGTCACCAGTGTTCTTTTGTCAGGCAGGCACCAGTGACACAGAGGAAATAAAAGAAAATCTATTAACTCTGTTACTATGACCACTTCAAGCTAATTATTTAAGTGAAGTAGTTTTGCCTTAATTATGGAACATTTTTCAATTAAATTGATGTGACTATCCATAACTTTTGTTCAAGGAGCACTTCATATTCAGACATCTCTAATCAGCACAAAGCTCTTCAACAAATACTTAATCCAGTTAAATGGAAGTGAAAACCATAATGCGTGACATTCCTCCTGCTAAGGGGAATCTCTGGCTATTATGTCTGTGCGAGATGAGGGTTTAGAAATAAAGAGCAGCTTCACTATCTACTTAGAGTATTTTGAGGAGTATGGAAATGGCACCCAAATCATATTTGTTCTTCAAAACCCAAAAAAATCC
The DNA here is from genome assembly GCF_000001405.40 of Homo sapiens. Classification (NCBI taxonomy): domain Eukaryota; kingdom Metazoa; phylum Chordata; class Mammalia; order Primates; family Hominidae; genus Homo; species Homo sapiens. The sequence goes on from NC_000003.12 coordinate 160,150,030, forward strand.
TTGAAAGCATCCTTGTACCAAAATATAAAATAATAGACATTATAGTACAGTTGATTTAGTCTCTACACAGCTAGCAGAGAACACAATAAGGACTTTAAGAGACAATTTGCCACAGCACATGGAATTTATTTTATCCAGAAAATAGGTCACATGCTATCGTTTTATGGAAAAAGATTAGTTGGAGCTCCGCAACTGCTTTTTCATTCAGTGCCTGACTTGCATCAGGCCATGTGCTGGGCATTGGGCCTACATCAATAGCAGGAGAGACACTGCTGCCACTATCCCAGACTTGACAGTCCAGGGGTGGGGATGGATGATCAAAAAAGAAAGAGCAAGGGTTGGTGCGGGGAAGATCAAGATGAGCCCTGGGGACAGACAGGTTAAGAGTTTAGACTTTATTTTAAGGACAAAGAGAAATCACTAGAAGCTTTGGACAGCAGTCTTGGTGTCATGTTTGCATGATAAAACTGTCTCTCTGGTTGCAGAGTGAAAACTGGGTGAAGAACAAGCAAGACTGAAAGCCTGGAATGCAGTCAACAGGAGAAAAGGGCAAACAGGAGTGGGAAAGGTACAGAGGTAGGGGCGGTGGGGAGGAGAGAATGAGCTGTCTTGGGAGATGGTTAGGAAGCAGGCTGGAAAGGATTTGGTAAATTACTGGACATTGGCTTAGAATGATTATGATTCACTGGGTCTGAGTTGGTGCCCAGGAAGCCCACTATCTTTAGGAAATATGAGTCAAGAGTTCTTGGAGAACATAGCATTTTCCCCATCTTCATTTCATGACTGAGAACTGGAGAGCTAAAGCTGGTGAATGGCGCTGCCTAGGTCACTTAGCCTGAAAACATGGCTCCTCTCTTGGCACTTTGCTTGTTTCTATTTGGGTTTTCTCCTGGCTCTCTTCCCCCTCCAGTAAACCACTGAGCAAAGTAGAGTGATAGATTTGTCATACGGGGTACTAGATTGACAGCCTTTGAAGGAAACCTCACAGGGCCTCTGTGCTAGAAGGGGTTAACATTTGAGGGTCTGCCCTCAGGTCAGGTTCTGGGCTAGATGCTATATACTCTCTCATTTAATGGAGTATTATCATTCTTCTATTCTGATGAGAAAAACTGAGATTCAGAGAGGTTAAGTAATCTTTCTAAAGTCACATGGTTAGTAGTTTATGGGGTCCAAATTCAGATCTACCTGGTTCTGAAGGACATGCACTGTCTTATCCTGTTGCCTGGCGTCTTCTCTGAGCAACAGTCATAGTGATGGTGTGAATAACGTGGCTATTTCTTTTTTTTCTGTTTTGTTTTGTTTTGTTTTTTCTATCTTAAAACTACAAGATGGCATGTGACAGCCCAGTTCAACAAAATTCCCATCTTAAGTCTATGACTTGTGATCTCTCCCTATTGACGAGCACGTCAATTAACACATCTGGGGAAATTTAATACTCTAGTCAGTCCTTGGCTGGCACTGTAGATCTGACCTTGACACCCGCACAAAGTATGGAGGGCTTCTCCACGGGCAGAGGCAAATGAAATCCAGCTGCCTGTGACTTCAACCCCGGGCCAGATGTGTTAAATGGTAAGTTTCCTGCCCAACATCTCTTTTCCACTAACCAATTTTGTTTTAAAATGCAGGCTGCAACCCATTAGCAATCCTGAATTTATTAGTAATTTACATTTAGTGGATCATGACAGCCTTTTAAAATATGGAATAGAATATTCTAGAATAGAACAGAAGAGAAAATATCAGAATGTATCCCATTTGGTAAAGGGTGTTATTTTGTGAAACTTACATTTTAGTTATGATTGTCTATGATGATAAAAATATATATCTTTTACACTGGGTTGTGGTCAAAAAAATTGAACGCTGCAGCTTTGGAGGGCTCTCTCATCCTTCCTCTATGGTTCCTGAAAGAGAAGCTCCCTCTGCCTATGGGAGAAAGTTAACTTGCCAACGAAGAAATGGGAAGAGAAAGATGTGGAAGGTGGAGTCGTCAGACAGGAAAATAGCGCACAATAAAGGGAGATATTCTGGTCAACAAGGCATCCAAGGCCATCAACAAGGCATCCAAGGCCAGTGTGCTCATAGAGACCCTACCATGTACAGTCAATTATTTAGCTGTATCAAATTTACTGTTGTCCCACATCTCAGGGATGCTTTATGGATACTGCCTTGTGGGTATTCAACTTGTGCTCTCTGGAGACTCAACAGTTCAGTTTTCTGAACGCCGCAACATGAAAAAAAAAAAAGTGTGTGTGTGTGGCTTTTTCAACTTTTCATTATGGAAAAATGTTAAATATACACAAAAGTCATCAGGACAGTTTAATTAAACCCCATGTAGCATCACCCAGCTTCAGCAATTACCAGGTCATGGCCAATCTGGTTTCGTTCATACATGACCCACTGCCCCAGATATTGTATCATTTTATCCATAAATAGTTCAGTGTGTACTCACAGAGGTAGTTTTTGAACATTTACCTCTCCTAGGGTCCCCCAAATCTCAGCATGGGAGCAATTCCTCACACGCTGCAGCTGAAGAGAACTATATTCCCTGAGACTCTAACCTTTGGCCCAAACACAAGAATGGGCCATCAGGACCCATACAAAGCAGATTAGATGGCTTATGTTCCCACCTAACCAAAGACCCCAAAGAGGGAATCTGATCATATGTCCCAAGACATCCTCCAAAGGGGAAAAAAAGAGGGGAGCAAGGGCTTTGATGAAAAGAAGTGGAGCGGGGCAGACATAAGTGAAGAACTTGCTGTCACCATGGCCAGCCACCACCCGGAGACTGCCAGGTCCAATGCTGCCAACTCACAAGTGAAGCAACTAAGGCCAGGGAGATAAAGTGATTTGAAGTAAAGGCCAAGGACAGCTGTTGATCCTCGGTCATTTCTCATTCAATGTTAGGAGAGGGCGAGCCATTGGAGGGGTGGCCTGCTCCGCAGGAAGGAAAACAGGGTTCACCTTGGTGCCAACTGCAACCACGGAATATCTTCTAAATTGACATTCTGGATCTTCATTTTTCCTGAGTCAAATCTCTTTACCTTTAACTGCCTGCAAATCAATTCCATTTTTAAAGGAAGTACATACTCAAAATCTTTCTTAGCCTATCTCCTCCAAACAACTGATTCCTTTATTTTCACTTTCTTGGCTCTGCCCTGCCTCAGGGTCAACTCCAAACTCCCCAGCCAGGCCTTCCACAGGCTTTCCTGTTCTGGAGCCTCCATCCCACTTATCTCCACACAAAGCCTTCATTTTGCCATATCAGTTTTCTCCCTGTCACCTGATGCCCCTGGCTGCTTCCCCCTCCCTGTCCCCAGGCCCTGAAAGGATGCTCTCCCTCATGTAGGACACCTTCCTCCCTCCTCTTGCCCCTACCTTCTCCATCCTTCTTGGCCTCCCTCAGCTCTCTAAGTTTTGGGAAGCCTTGTGTTCCCATTCATGCATGCCTTTCTCTCTCCCCTTATCTGGGTACCTGTAGTATTTCAAATCTGTTTCATTCACACTGGTGCTTTTTAATATTGCCTTCTAACTATCTTACCTGGGTTCAGCTAGTTGCCTCATCCGGCCTCTATTCTTTTCGAGGTTAATATCCAAGTCTTATTTGTGAATTAAATAGAGGCAACTTGTCAGTCAAGGGAGCAGGGCACTGTGGAATGGGCTCTGGAATCAGTGCTCCCTGGTTTAGAAGCCCAGTTCCACTGCTCATTAGCCTCGCAACTGTGAACAGGTTAACTGGCCTTTCTGAGCTTCATTCGCCTTCTGTAACGTGGAGAGAACAGTATCTACCTAGCAGGGTAAATACAAAAATCTCTGCCTACCCAGATGATGTATAGAATCTATAGGTATGTCTTAGGAAGCTATTGTATAGTGCCACACCACTGTAGAGGCAAAAGCACAGATTTAATTCCATCATTGTTACTTTCTCTGGCATATGACCAGGATAAAATTGTGCCATATGCCAAGCCCATGTAAGTTTAAGTCAAACACTGTTAATATGAAAGTATATGATACATCTATTATTAGCAGTGATCATTACAGATTCATTAGGAAGCGCAGAGAGCATTTAGGGAGACGTACTAGTCCGAGGTAATTAACTCTAGCTTCTGCAACAGACAAACCTGAATGCTCAGTGGTTTAACCCAATACAAGTTTGTTGTGGTTGCTGATCATGAGTCAGGAGGCTGACCTCCACCTTGTAACTATGAATGTGGAAAATGTGACTCTAATGCCACAGCAGCAGAAGAGAGGCATTAAGATTGAAAGTGGCACATCTCTTCTGCCACCCGTGAACTGCAAGAAAGGCTGGGAAACAGAGGGAGCACATGGACATTTGGTGTGCACTAACTATTACTACCAAAGGCACAGGCTCTGCAGACAGTGAGAAGGCCAGGTCCCAATTCTCTTTGATTGTGGTGATACTGTTTCTATTAGGTATCATCTGGGATGAAAATTCAAATTGCACTGCCAGGCCTGAGAAAAGCCTGTTCTAGAGAGCTCAGCCTGCTGCCGCTCCCTTGGGCTGGACTCCCTTATGACAGAGGTCACTTAGAAGAGGTGAGGAGGAACACAGCCCTGTGGGAACCAGCAAACTATCCAAGGATCTGGGCTTTCTCTGCCTATTCTCCCAGTTTCTGTAAACTTCCCCAAAGCTACCTTGCTCAGCTCTCCCCCACTCCCCTTGCTCTTCTCTCCTATTTCTCTTTGTATAGACATTGGATCTAGCACCTCTTGAAGCTAAGATGGCTGTGAGAGAAGAAGCTGGCTGGCTCCCCAGCTCCTAACCGATCCAAAGTCCTTAACTCTTCAATGAGACTTACAGTTCTCTGATGCTGGAAACATTCTATTTCTGTGCACACATAAAAGTTGTCTTTTGACAACTATTTATGAGACACATAAAAGAATGGTCTCCAGCATCAAAGAAATGTAAGTCTCAGTACGTGTGCTCACATGTATTTCCAAGAATGGCAGTAATATGCCCAGAAGAATGCGCGTTGGATTCAGGCTCACCTTCATTCAGATTTTGACTCTGCCATTTTCTGGTTCTCAGATCTTGGCAGTACTATTTAATATGTTGGAGTGCCAGTTCATGGTACTGATAGATCAGTTTCTATAATACCTGTTAAATATGTTTACATTGAACATTGCTCCTAGTTATTAAAGATACCATAATGTGTATAAAGTGCCTAGCACATAGTAGCCCTCTAAAATGGATAGTGATTATCATAATTATTAGACCATGTATCGAGGGCAAAATTCATATCTGACTCATCTTTTGTTCTTAGAATATTCTATAGAATATTAGGGACTTTATATACATAAACTATTTTTTTTGTTGTCGCTGTTGTTGTTTTCTGAGATGGAGTCTTTCTCTGTCGCCCAGGCTGGAGTGCAATGGCACGATCTTGGCTCACTGCAACCTCTGCCTCCCAGGTTCAAGCAATTCTCCTGCCTCAGCCTCTCAAGTAGCTGGGACTACAGGTGCATGCCACCATGCCCAGCTAATTTTTGTATTTTTAGTAGAGACAGGGTTTTGCCATGTTGGCCAGGCTGGTCTCAAACTTCTGGCCTCAAGTAATCCTCCCACCTCAGCTTCCCAAAGTACTGAGATTACAGGTGTGAGCCACTGTGCCCAGCCTACATTAACTATTTGAATTCATTCCTGTACCTTTTTTTTTTTAATTGAATGCCTTCTCTGTGCCAGAGGAACTGGAGATAGAAGTGACCGGCAAAGTCCCTGCCTTCATGGAGTTACTATCTAATGGGGATAGAATAAAAAATACATGACCAAACAAAATTCCATGTAGTGATGTGATGAAGAAAACCACAGTGGGATCAGGGATAGAGAAAAAGGAGATTGCTATTTCAGATGATGTGGTCCAGGAAGACTTCATGGAGGAGGTGACATAAGAGCAGATACCTGGGAGGATAAAGGACCATAGACACACTGTGTTATAGATAGATAGAAATGCTATACTTGCATTCAGTGCTTGAGATCCATGCCGTGGTAGGTTGTGATAGCTTGATCACTATCACATTGATATTTTTAGTTTTAAAGCAGTCCCTTAATTTAAAGGGCTTCCATCCTTGCTCTTATCATTTCTCCCTTCTTAGCTCTAACTACCAAACAAAGCCATTTCCTTTCTCCTGCTTCTTTTTTCCAGCCTCTTCATTCAAATTTTATAGCTCCTCATTCCCTCTTCTGTTTCAAAACCACTTTGATCTTTTTGTCCTTTTCCTCTCTAAGTGTTCCCTGGCCCTTTTCTGCAGAAGATGCACATTTTCAGCAAAGCTCTCATCTCCACGCCCTTTGAGACTATCACAGAACAGCTAAAAGTGCTGAGCACATTAGGGAGGGAAGAGCTGCAGACAAAGAGAAGGTCAGGGAGAGATGAGCCTACAGAACTGCCCAGGCAGGAGTCCTGGGCCAGGTGCATGGCTCATGGGCCAGCCCAGCTCTGAAAAGGACTAAGAAACCAAGAGGCCAAATGCCAGGGGCTGGCTGAGTCTTAACAACTGCATGTTGGGATCTTAACCATGAAGCTGTTGTTCCCTCCTACTGCCCACTTCTGTCACCCCTGCTAGACCACTCTGGGTTGTGGGGGACTGTAGGGTGCATGGGCCTCAGAGGTGGCAGAGGGAAACTTCACACACACAGTGGCTTTGTCAGCTTTTCCCCACTGTGACAACCCAAAGTAGGCCCATAGACAAACTTGGGGGATATTCAGTGGAGCAGCATTTGCATCGGTCAACCGCATACCTTCATCACAATCTTTGTCACATCGTACCTGTATATTTCTTATCTAATAGTCTTCTTTAAATTGGCTCACTTTTCTTCCTTCATTTTCAGGAAAATCTTTATATCAAGTTCAAAAAAAAAAAGGAAACTAGTAATATAATAAAACACAAATACAATGAAAACTAAATGATATCTATATTAATCTAGTTGCCTGCCAAACACTCTAAACCAAAGGTTATACTCTCTCTGTTAAAATGAAAAAAAAAAAAAAGGAAGGAAGGAAAAGAGATCACCAAGGGCTACAGAGATGTTAAAGCTGTAGTAGCAATTTTGCTTTGATTTTATCAGGATTGAAAGAGGATTGAATAGGGAAAAACATTCTCAATACTAATTCAACATTATGAAATACTGTGTTCATGAAACACATTAACACATAGGGAAACTCAACAGTAAGTCTGGGTAGCAGATTTCCTCCTGCCACTGCCCACACCTGTGATTTCACCTGGGTTCTGGCAGTGACAGGGCCTGGCCCACCAAGTGGGCTCCTAACCCAGGTGGCCGGGAGCCCTGGAAGGGCCCTGATGACCACAAGATAGTTACAACATGTCAAGTTCTTAGTATGTTCCAAGGTCTTCACACACTATGTCTGATTTTAAGTCTCACATTAACCCTCCACAGTACATATTGTTCTTTGTGTCTCAGAAACAAAGTGGCAAAGAATCAAGGTTATGCCATGACTCAGCCTCAGGACCATCTTTCTCTCAAGTCCTTGCCCACTCCATCACACTCCACTGCCTTCCCAGCTGTGAGAGCAGAGTTCTCTGAGTTCTTTGTAAAACCATTGATTTTGCTCAGAGAAGTGGTTTTCAAACTCTTTGTGTAAACTTTTCCTTCAGTTATCTATTGCTGTGTAATAAACTGCCCCTAAGCAAAGTGGATTAAAGCAGCAACCATTTTATGTTGAACACAGTTCCGAGGTCCGTGGCAAGGCAACCAGGATCTGCTCGTCTCTGCCCCAGGTGATGCCTGCTGGAGACAGAATGCCCACGCTTCTTCACATCTGCCGAGAGGGTGCAGATGGCTGGGGGCTGGCCGGAACGGTCCAGTGGAGGGTGTGGGTCAGTGCTGCAGGTCTCCTTGTCTGCTGGTTGCTTGGCTATCTGCCACATGGCCTCTTCAGTAGAATAGAACTTCTTCTATGGCAGTGAAGGAGCCCATCAGTCAAGGAGGGCGTGGAAGGTGCCAGTCCTCTTCAAGGCTGTGCAGCATCACTTCCACCAGTCTTTGGTTAAAGCAGTCAGAGAACCAGCCCAGTTTCAAAGTCAGGGTAAATAAAAACTCTATCTCTTAATGGGTGAGTGAAAGAATTTCTGTCTATCTTTAACCTATCACAACTTTGAAATCTTTGAGAGGCTAATCTTACACAGAATTTGTGCAAAACTGACAAAGGGTAGGGAGGCATATTAGGGGGACGTGGGGGCCCTGGGGAAGGGACAGAGCTTTGCTCCTTCTGCTGCTCCCTTGGACTTTAGATAAAACAGAGGTCCCTAGAGAAGACAGTTTTTAAAGACTGACCTGAATAACCTCTTAGTTTTCTTTGAGGAGACTTTGCAGTGGCCTACAAGGCCCTGCATGATCCAGTCTCTCCCTGTCTCTCTGGTCTTGTCTAGATTCACCGTGTCACCCTCACCTTCCAGCCCACCCCACATTTGCTCTCTGAGCTCTGTTCCACTGGCCTTCTCTCTGCTCTTCAAACACAGTTTTATCACAGTCCTACCACAAGGTTGTGCCTGGGATGCTCCCACTCCCTGGAATTCACGTGCCTCAGGTCTTCGCATAACAGGATCTGTCCTGCCATTCAGATCAGGGGGCCCTCTAGACCCCAAACCATTTCCATTGCATTAACCTGCCTTATTTCCTTTATAACACTGTTATCCACAATATATCTGATTAATGTATTGCTGATGTCTCCCTCAACTAGAAAGCAAATTCCCCAAGGGCAGGGACTGTGCCTGTCTTGTTCACTACTATCATTCCTGACACCTGGTACAGTGCCTGCCACTTACTAGACACTCAATAAATATTCATGGAACAGCAGTGTGATTAGTTAAATGAATGAATAACATTCAGCGAAAGGTTATCTTACCAGATCTTCTCTTTTTGGTATGTTCCCAGGGTATTCTAGGAGAGGAAGGACTCTTATTGTGTATCTAACGGTTTCTATGCTGGAAACAATATTAATACTCTCAATAAAAATGGCCTTGGCCAGGGATCAGTCACTACCCCTCCCTCCAGCCCAGGTCTCTCAGGCCTCTTCAAGGTCTTTCCAAATCAAGCTGTCCCAAAGCGAGGCCAGGTCAACTGACAGATCTGACTGATAGAATTCACACAGGTCCCAAGCAAAACATTTCTCGGCATCACCTAGCTCACTGCTCAGCGATGGACAAGGACCTAACTTCTTCCTCCTCTCCCATGATGAGTACCCAGCCTGGTGTCCCATTTGCACACTGGTTATTTCAAGTTATTGTGCACAGCAGTGATGTATATGTTCGAGTGTTTTCTGTGGTCATTATTTCAGACAACCCAGCTGGATGGAGCCAAGCCTTAAAGGGAGCCTGTCATCTTGAAGTTCAGAGCTGTGAAGTGAGATCTTTGTCCCTGTGATGCTATTGAGAAACAAGAGAGAGAAGTCCTCCCTAGATAGTGCTATCCCTTTGGGCAGAGCTACCCTCAGAGAGGGCCTCTTCAATGGCTGACCAGAATTTATGAGTTACCAAAGGCTAAACTCAGTCGAAAGTCTACGGCTGCAAAGAAGGCCTTTGTTGAGAATATGGTTATCATGACAAACAGCTTTTGTGCTAATGCAGAGAGGAGTTAGGCTGTTCAATTCTTAAAAGATTTTGAACAATTCACTCAGCACTGTCACTTGAACATAAAGATTTCTCTGTTCCAACTCAAGGAAGATTACTTTTTCTTACAGATTTCAGAAGATACAATAATCAGTATTAAGGAATTTCACAAAAAGAGGAAATAACGTTTGCTTTTAATTTTTTCATGAAGGTAACCGTTGTGTTTTGGACAGCCATGGGTCAGAGGAATCACAGACAGGGATTCTAATGATGGCAGGAACTGTCTCTGCCTTCATAACTGTCACTCTGGGGCTGCTGCCAGCCCCCGCCACATCCCCATAGCACACACCATCCTCAGCTTCTGCCTACAGTGTTCTCACACAGGAGAAAGCCAGGGCAGTGATTGGTCCCTCAAGTGTCACTTGTTTCTCAGCCAAACTGAGGCCTTTTGTTCTTCTTCATTCACCTCTGTAATTCCCAGGTTTCTGGGTAGGGAATGCGGTGAAGGGCAATTGTTGAGACTCCTCCAGCACTGAAACTCAATCTAGAACCAGACCCATGACTTGGATTCTCTCTTGCTTTGGTGACTCCAATTGCCTCAGCAGCCTACTGACCCCAGCACAGGGTCAAAGGCAGGCTACGTTTTCTTCATTTCAGTCTTGACTATGAATCCCAGTGTACACTTACCTGATTTTCCCAAGGAGTCCTCCTACAGCTAGGAATTCTGGTGGCCTGCTTTGCAGTCCCCTAAACACAGTTCAGAATTCTACCAAGTTGACCTCCTAATCAGGGAATAATTAACCCAAACTTGGTCACACTAAAAACTAGCTACTGCAAACATGATAAAAGAAAAGATTTTCTTTTCTGACACTGTCTATGGATTTGAAACTTTTTGTGGATCATAAACACCCTATACTTCAGGGAATAACAGAATCTAACAAGCATTCTGTCAAGGATCCAGTGTCTTAGCATTTTAAAATGTCATGCAACCTCCAACTCCTTCCCTAAACTCATTAACTCTGTGCTTGAATGTTTTAGAAAAGATCCCAAGGTCATTGATTTCATGACGTAGCTCATAATGGATTGTGAAGTGTTTTCCCTAAAGACATTAGGTCTTGGTTTATTATATGCTACCTTGATCTTAGCCTATGCAGCTGTCCTTTAAGACAGTGGTTCTAAAAATGTGAGCCGAGGATCTTTTGGCTTGCAGCATTAATCTCCACAGTATGTACTTTAAGGGCATGAATTAATAATTAAGTCATGATCAATTTACTTGTGATAGCCCTTCTTGGTGTCTCACCAGGAACACTACCATCCCATCAGGAGAGCCTATTTGTGTCCACAAATAGGAGATTTGGGGGTTGGGGGAGAAAAGAGAAAGGGAGCAGTCCATACACTGAAGTTGTTTAGAGAGATCTGTGACCCAGAGTGCTACTTGAAATGCTCAAGTCTCATTTAGAGAATGCTTTAGGGTCATGCCTGGCATTGGACCCTAACAGTTCACCACGGGAAAATCATTTCCCCCGCCCCATTTAAAATCTTGGAAATAGAAAACCACCATTTGGAAAACACCACAATAATAATCATGCAATGCAGAATCATCAAAGGATACTAAAATCAGTGGTATGATGAGAACCAGTATAGTTATATATTCCTGCATGATACTTATTAATTACAAAGGAAAAATAATAATTTTAGATTGAAGAAAACTGCTAGAACCACCTTACCCAAGAGATCAACATTAATATCATCAGTAATAAGACAAATAGACATCATATACCCTCTGATGTGATGCACTGAGAAGGAGATTCTCGGGAAAAATGTAAAACTTGATTATTATAATAAGAAAACATTACACAAACTGAATTTGAGGGACAGTCTACAAAATGATTGGCAAGTATCCTTCAACAGTTAGAAGACCATGAAAGACAAAGAAAGATGAAGGGACTGTCCCAGATTAAAGGGGATTAAGGAGGTGTGGAAACTGAATACTATGTGTGACCCTGGATTTGCATCCTGGGTCAGAAAAAGGACATTAGTGGGAAAATTGAGAAAATTTGAATAAAATCTGGAGATGTTAATAGTATTGCATCAGTGTTAATTTCCTTGTTTTGATCATCATACTGTAGATATGTTAGATGTTAACGTGGGGAATCTGGCTGAAAAGTGTATGGGAATTTCTTGTAGTATTTTTGCAAGTTTTTAAAAAGTCTAAAAGTACTTCAAAATGAAAGTTATTTTAAAACTTTGGACAATAAAATCAGAAGAAAATAAACATCAGAGAAACTTGATCAACAAATGAAGATTTGGAATGACGGAAATATTCATTTGCTCAACAAAAAGGGTCTACTGTATGCCAGGGGCTGTTCTTAGAACTGGAGATACAACCAGGAAGAAGACGGTCCCTGATATCTGTGAGGCCTGAGTCTGGACTAGAAGGATCCAGACACAAAAGTGATAGGATGCTGTGATGCGGGCTATCTGAGAAGCAAACGAAGTGTCACAGGAACACAAAGGGAAAAGAAGTAATGAAAAACTAGGGTGTGTCATCAGTATGCACAAAGCAGCCTAAGACATTACAAAAGCACAGAAAAGAAAGGCCCTGTGAAGGTAGAGTGAGGGACCAGGAGAGCGGCTGGGAAGGCATAGAGGCTGGGGAAGAGTGGGAAGAGATGCAGAGAGTTGGTGAGGGAACAGCAGACGGATTGGGAGAAGTTGGAGAGAAGATGGTGGAGAAAGTTTGCAGTAGCATCAGAAGGCTGTGTATGGGGTACAGAGTGAAAGTAAAGTAGTAAGAGCTATATCCTTTGGAATAAAGAGTGAGAGAGTCCCTTTGTCCTCTGGCTGGGCTCAGGAAAGAATCCCTGGGAATCCAGATAGAGAAAGAGCTGGAGGCCGTTAGGAGCAGGCACACAGCGAGGCCACGATGAATGTGAGGGTGGAAGGCAGAGGAGGGTAGCAACCTCTCAGCCAGCTAGGAATAGGCCCACTGTTGCCCTGGTAACAAGAAGGCCAGAAGGGCAGACAGGCTGTCACCAATTATGCAGGAATGCCACAGGCAGGTCTGGGGTCTTTCTCAGCATCCGCAGCTGGTGCTGCTTCAGCTTCTCCTCCTGCTGCACTGACCTGAGTCACTGCCCTGAGCCAATCCCTGCGACCCACAGCAATGGAAGTTCCCCAAAGAGTCAGGTCTGGATTGCCACTTTTCTGTACCCCAAAGAAAGCTCTGATGAAATGCATGGATCTCAGAAAGGCCAAAACTCAAAGGTCAAGACCTATTGGCCTTTATTATTCAGTCTGAAATGACTCCAGGTAGAACTAAAATAGAACTCTCCCCAACAGTTCATTTATCAGCAATTCTTACAACATCTTCATAAAAGAGAGAGAGACGAGAGAGAATGACTAGTTAAGAGATTTTTTTTTTCTGTGAAACATTGATGGTAGTTAGGAATATTCTGTGTGTTGACTGCAGTGAGTCTTAAGAAGGAAAAAAAAAGACATTAGGGGAAATTCCTTTTTTGGGACAAAGATTCAAGATTTGGAAAGGTAAACCTATGAAATAGCCAAGCTAAGCAAGAAGGGAAACATATAGCCTGCATCTCAGACAAATCTAAATTCCCAAATGAAAATGAATGTTTGCCTCCAACTAAATAAGTGTATCAACAATTACCCAGCACTGTGTGACAAGATGCTAATCTGTTTGACTGTGTAGGTGAGAGAGAGAGAGAGAGGCTGTTTGCTACAAAGACAGCTACAAGTCACAGTGGCTACACAATGAAATATTCCAACAACCATATTTGAACAGCTTTTGATCTTTAATTCTTGAGTGTGGCCAGCAGATGGGGATAGTTCTTTATTGGTGGATAATAACAAATATCACAAATAATCTATTTTGTAATTTTTTTGGATGAACCAAAAAGAAAAACTAAATTAGCATTCTTGTGTCCATATATTAATTAGATAACACCAAAATTATATAAGTATTATAGCTCTCTTGCTAAAATAATAACCAGAATTATCTTTCCCTAGTATTTATTGAGTACTATGTACCACACACTGTATTAAACACTCTAATCCTAACAACAGCCCTGTAAGACAGATAATGTGATACCAACTCAGTTGTCCAAGGTCACAGAACTGGTAAGTGGTGGAGCTGGGATTTTATCCCAGCCTTTACAGCTCCAAAGGCTGCACTCTCATCCCTTGTATTATATCCTGCATCAGTGCAACTTGGGATTTGATGTCAGATAAATTAATGTGGTTCAAACCTGGCAGAAGCCGGGGGGAAAGAATAGAATAAGCAAAATACAGATTAAGGGTTCACAGCAGAAGAAGAATCACTTCAGAAACAGAAGAAAATATCAGACAAATACTTCTTTATGCTCTCAAAGAAATTGGAATAGATATGAACTCTGGAAGAAATAAAACTCAAAGAATAAATTCAAGAGATCAAATAAGATCAGATAAGATGACAAAATCGTTGAAGAGTGAGATGGCAGAGTCTTGGGACAATAAAAAGAAAATAAAGATATAAACATTACAAAAATGAAAGCCATCCTAAAAGAAGCAAGAGGGCCAGGCGTGGTGGCTCAAGCCTGTAATCCCAGCACTTTAGGAGGCTGAGGCGGGCAGATCACCTGAGGTCGGGAATTCGAGACCAGCCTGGACAACATGTCAAAACCCCGTCTCTACTAAAAGTACAAAAATTATTCAGGCGTGGTGGTGTGCACCTGTAATCCCAGCTCCTCAGGAGGCTGAGGCAGGAGAATTGCTTGAACCCGGGAGGCGGAGGTTGCAGTGAGCCAAGATCACACAACTGCACTCCAGCCTGGGCAAAAAGAGTGAAACTCCATCTCAAAAAAAAAAAAAAAAAAAAAAAAAAAGGCAAGAAGTAGAATATACACTGATGAAAAGAGTCAGAAATATAAATTTTAAGAGAAAATGCAGGAAGATAATAAAGATATAAAAGTAAAATAGTTGGCATTATAAAATCAGTGAGGAAAAGATAAATTATCTAATAAATCAAATTGGTATAATTAGTTACATATTTGGAAAAATAAGCTGGTTCAGTTTCTAAACACTTATACTAAGACAAATTATAAATAGATTAAATAGGTGAGTGTTAAAATATTTAAAAGTAGTTATTTTAGTATTTGGTGGAGAAAAGTTTTCTAAGCATGACCCAAAAATCCAGAAATCATTAAAGGCAAGATTGATAAATTTGACTACATAAAAAATTTAAGCTTCCTAGTAGTTAAAAGTGAACAGTCAAAAGAAAATAACAATCTGGAAAAAATAATTGTGACGAGTGTGACAGACAGAGCTAGTATTCTTAACACAACAAGAGCTTCTACACATCAAAAGAGCAAAAAAAAAAAAAAAAGAAAAGAAAAAATAGCCAAAGGATATGAACAGATAATTGATTTTAAAAAGGAATGCAAATATAAACAAACACATAAAAAGATGTTCCACCATATTCTAATTTTAAAGATGCAAAATAAAAAAAAGATTGAAGGCTTCTGCTTCCAGTATGCCCAAGTAAACAAGTAAGCTTTTCCTTGATATGACTTCCACAGGCAACTATAACCTCTGGAGAAAATATCACACATACGTTTGTACACACCCACACAGAATGATCTGAAGACACTGAACAGTGAACAAAAGAGTTAATCTATTCTGAAAGCAAATTAAAACTTGAAAGAAGGAAATAATAAAAAGTGATTTACCTGTTTTTAATGCTTTTAGTCTGAGGTCAGTGTTACACAGAGTACTAAAAGTCTGATAGAAAAAAGCATAGCTTTTGTGGGCTGGAAAACCAGAGGAAAAAGTTTAGAGCAGCTGCATATACTAGAAAATGAGGGGAGAATCCCAGAAATGAAAGAATCTGAGTAGGGGAACCCCCAGATCCTGAGCCTATATTATATCCGACTCTCTGCATTCATGGGGCAGACTCAGGGCAACTCACATAAAGACAGAATTGAACTGAAACTTGAGCTGCCAAGCAAAAGATGGTTTGCAGCTTGAGTCCAGTCAAGTTACTTGCCTCCAAACACAAAAACATCAAAAGTTTTGGAAGGATATAACAAATGTGAGAGTTTACACAACATATAACAACGTACAAGACACAATTCAAGATTTGACATATGAAGAGCAGAAAAGAAAAAAATGTGATCTGGTGTCAGGAGAAAAGGCAGTCAATGGAGACCAACCCCAGTGTTATCCAAAGTTTGGCATTAACAGACAAGGATTTTAAAGCATCTATATTAATTATGCTCAACAAAATAGAAGAATATATCTTCCCAATAAATGAAAAAAAAATTCCCACTAGGGTAATAAAAACTTCAAAAGGAATCACTGAAAATTCAAAAACAATAATATTCTGACATTTAAAAATCACAAGCAGAAATAAAAATAAAAATTAAAATTAAAATTCCACAGCAGAATACTGATGACAATAAAAAGTCAATAAACTTGGATATAAATCAATAGAAATCATCCAATCTTAAGTACAGAAAAAAATGCAGAAAATTAACAAACTCTTAGGGCTCTAAAGGACAATATCAAATGGTTAAAGAAACATGCCCTGGGAGTCCCAAAAGGAAAGGTGAGACTGAGGCAGAAAAATATTTGAAGATATAATGGATGAAAAATTTCCTGATTTGGTGAAAAACATGAATTAACAGATTCAATTATTTCAGTGAATCCCATACAAGATAAATATGAAGAAAACTACACCTAGGCACATCATGGTGAAACTGCTGGAAACCAAATATAAAAGCAGCACATTACAGGAGAACAATGAGTGAAGTTCCTGATGATTTGAATTGTAAATTACGAGGTCCAGAAGGCAGTGGAATATACTTTTAGAGTGCTGAAAAAATAAAACCTATCAACCTAGAATTCTATATCCAAGAAAAATATCCTCCAAGAATGAAGGCAAAATATAGTTCCAGGGTCAAAAAACAAAATGCACAGGATAATTTGTCGCCAGTAGACGTGCACTACAAGAAAGGCTAAAGAAATTTCTTCTAACTAAAGGAAAATGGTACCAGATGGAAATGAGACTCTCTAGGAAGGAATAAAGAGCAATGAAATAAAGGCCGGGCATGGTACCTAATGCCTGCAATCCCAGCACTTTGGGAGGTTGAGGTGGGAGGACAACTTGAGGCCAAGAGTTCAAGACCAGTCTGGGCAGCACAGCAAGACTCCATATCTAAAGAAAAAAAAGTTAGGCTGGGCGAGGTGGCTCATGCCTGTAATCTCAACACTTTAGGAGGCCAAGGCAGGTGGATCACTTGAAGCCAGGAGTTCAAAACCAGTCTGGGCAACATGGCAAAACCCCACCTCTACTAAAAATATGAAAATCTCTTGAACCTAGGAGGTAGAGATTGCAGTGAGCTGAGATCATGCCATTGCACTCCAACCTGGACAATAGAGCAAGACTCTCTCTCAAAAATAAATAAGTAAGGAAGTAAGTAAAAAATTAGCTAGTTGTGGTAGCATGTGTTTGTAGTCCCAACTACTCAGGAAGCTGCGGTAGGAGGATCACTCGTGCCCAATAGTTCCAGGTTACAGTGAGCTATGATCACACCACTGCACTTTAGCCTGGGCAAGAAAGTAAGACTCTGCCAAAAAAAAAGCAATGAAATAGTAACTATATGTGGATATATAGAAATGTATATTTTTTCCTCTTAGTTCCTTTAAAATACACGTAATACTTAAAGCAAAAATTGTAACATTTATTATAATTATATGGGTTTATATGTGTTACATGTAGCAACTTGTGCAAAAGCATGTAGGGGAGTAAATAGACTTCCATGATTGTAAAATTTTTATATTTATTTTTGACAATATTTACACACAAAATGATACAAAGTCAACTCTAAAAAGACTGTGCAAAGTAAAGTATATAGAGCAGGGGTCTTCGGCCCCCAGGCCATGGACTGGTACTGGTCCGTGGCCTGTTAGGAACTGGGCTGCACAGCAGGAGGTGAGTAGCGAGGGAGCGTTACTGCCTGAGCTCTGCCTCCCATCAGATCAGCAATGGCATTAGATTCTCATAGGAGCATAAACCTTACTGTGAACTACATATGTAAGGGATCCAGGTTGTGCGCTCCTTATGAGAATCTAACTAATGCCTGATGATCTGAGGTGGAACAGTTTTATCCTAGAACCATACCAGTCCCTGGTGCCAAAAAGTTGGGTACCGGCCAGGCGTGACGGCTCACACCTGTAATAATCCCAGCACTCTGGGAGGCCGAGGCAGGCAGATCACCTGAAATCGGGAGTTCGAGACCAGCCTGACCAACATGGAGAAACCCCATCTCTACTAAAAATACAAAACTAGCCAGGCGTGGTGGCACATGCCTGTAATCCCAGCTACTTGGGAGACTGAGGCAGGAGAATCACTTGAACCCAGGAGGTGGAGGTTGCGGTGGGCTGAGATTGTGCCATTGCACTCCAGCCTGGGCAACAAGAGCAAAACTCCATCTCAAAAAAAAAAATGGTGGCTACTGCTGACATAACTAAAACAAATGGAAAAATATGCAAAGAGCTATAGCTAAAACGATGGTTTTTCATAGAACTTTTTCAAAGTAATCCTACATCCTTTTGGAAGAGCATATTGCCAGGAAGAACTAGGAGAATGTGAAGGACAGGTTATTCATGAAGATGGAAACTCAAATGGCCAAGAAACATTTAAATAGTTTTTGAAACAGGAAAATGAAACTAAGGTAATGCAATATGATTTTCTCTACCCAACAGACGGGCAAAACAAAAGTTTAACAACATCATGTGCTGTCAGAGATGTGGGGAAATGTGAATGCTTATAATTGCTGGTGGGACCATAAATTAGTACAACTGCCTTGAAAAGCAAGGTAGCCACACGTAGTAAAGTTGAAGACTTAAAGCAATTATGGTAAAACATTAACAGGTATTCAATCCCAGTAGTGTGTATGTAGTTATGTATTACATCTGTACTTTTAATGTTAGAAATGTTTCATTATTTTGTCAGTATGAATATGTTACAATGCAACAATATGAACAATATGTAACACTGTATATGTATATATGTGCTCATTGGTTAACACCTGTAACAATGTGAATATTAACAAATAAGCACAAATAAATAAAATGGGAAATAAAACAAAGATTTATTCTCAACAATGTTCCCTGAAGCACTGTTTGTAAGGCAAAAAACTGGAAATCACATACATGGCCGACAACAGAAGACTGGTGAAATAGATTGCATATAATAAAATACTATGCAGCAGAATGGAGGAATGTATATATGTATGACAACGTATAGCAAGTGTATTTTTAATGGATAAGACCAAGCTGTATAAAATTATCCCATAAAAAACCTACTGCTTTTGCTTGCACATGCATAAAAAATGGATGCAAGGATACCCAAGAAACTGTTAACAGTGGTTACTTCTGGGGGTAGGACTGGGAGGGAGAGGCAGATTTTTATTTTCCAGTTTATGCTTTTCTAAATTATTTGGATTTTTTTTCCAGGAGCATGTATTTCTTTTATACTTTTAAATGTTATTTTTGCTCGTAATGACAGGCAACTAGTTGATTCGCTGAGTCACTGCAGCTGCAGTAGGAATTTGGGTTTTACCACTGTTACTCATCTCATTTTGCCTTTTATCCTAGGACTCAGACCACCTCCCTTTCCCACACTCTGAACCTCAAACCTTCCTGACCTATTCCTCCCCATTCCCACACTACCAAAGCCATCCCCTGGAAACTCACAGTCATCAGCAAAACTCTGTCTATCCCCAGCCTCTTCTCTAAATGCAGTCCTTGCCTTCTTGCTCTAACAGTAACCAGCTGTCCTGAGGACACCGCTCCCCTGCAGCCCCCACCAGGCCTCATGCCACTGGCCCTGAGGCCGGGAATGGGAGATCCTCTTGCCTCTCTCCTTTCTGACTTGCTGCATCCTCCAGCATCTTTGAATCTCAGGTCTTCTGGCAGGCCCTTCCACACCTCTACTCATTGCAGTTTTCCCCAGCTCTTGGAACACACCCCACGAGATGATTCTAGCTGCTAGCTCGCTGTCACTCTCTCCAACCCTACTCTTGCCTTAATTCTTGGGGATTTCAACATCCACAAAGATGATCCTCTCAAAGTCTTAGCTTCTCAGTTCCTGTCTTCTCATCCAGGGATCCTGTTCCCAACCCAACCTCGGCTACTCCCTTTCAGAGTCATATCCCCATTTTGCATTTTCAACAACAACCCCTCCCTAATCTTAATCCCAAGCATTCTGTCCTCCAACACCACCTCCTATCTTTCTATCTGTAGGGGCAGTAAGGGGTGATACCTTTCCTCACTCATGATAAGGGACATGGTCAACACTGCTATAACAAAGGACAGGTTATCAAGAGAAAAGCATAACAAACTTACTTAATCACATTTTTCTGTGACAGAGGAGGCTTCAGAAATGAAGACCCAAAGACCTAGGAAAAACCTTCTGTGTTTAAGCTTAGAGTCTGTGAAGAACGGATAGCCATGTAAAAGTGTGATTAGACAAAAAGGTATGATCTAATGGTAATAGACTGAGGGGGAAACCCAGCAAGGCCTGTGTTTTCAGATGCTTGGTCTCTCTGTGTAGCATTCCCTCCTCTATGGAATAGGACAGAACATCTCTTACATGAAGGTCTTCAAGGGAGAAGGGAGAGAGTGACCAATATATTCTTATTCTTCATCACCTCTGCATAACACGCTTGGTTGACACAGAGCATAGAGATTTTCCATAGTCTCTGGCAGAGGCTGGAATTAGAACAAAAGCCACCCCACTTGGGGCCTTTGCAGCCAGAGGCAAATGGCTGAGCTGCAGGCTTCAAGTATACACCTTTTAGATTGTATGGCTTGATTTTGGAGAGAGGGGTTCTAGTTGCTATGGTCAGCTTTGGAGAACAGGAGTTCTGGTTTCTATGACTCAATTAGGGAGAGAGGGGTGAGACACAGGAGGGCAGGAGAAGGTCAGAGGGACCTTGCCTCTGAAACTCTACAGTCTCTTTCAGTTCAAAATACTCAGCATGCTAAGGTGCCATACTTAGCAGTATCACAATCTGTGCCCCAACACATCTCATTCTTTCCAGTACCTCACTGAGCTGATAATTCATCTACCCTACTGCCTTTTAACTGTCTCTCAGCCCCTCTTCTCCTCACTGCTCTCTTTATCCAGTTTAAATCCCACGGTCAACCTCAGCTCTCTGCCTACTGTGCCTGTGCCCACACAGCTGAAGAAGTCCAGAGAAAACACACAAGGCTTCAAGGAATTGAATGGGTGAGCCATCCAATATCTGAAACTATGAACAGCATGTGCAAAGGCCCTGGGGCATAAGATTGCACAGAGACATTGAGGATTAACAGAAGGCCAGGCAGCTGAGAAGAATGAGGAAAGGGGAACATAACCAAAAATGTGGTCATAGAAGTGAATAGGAAGCCAGATCAGTTAGGGTTTTGCAGGCCATGATAAAGACTGCTTTCTCTCTGAGTGAGATGGGGAGCTTTTCGAAGGTTTTGAAAAGAGTGACATCAACTGACTTCTACCTGTAGAGGTTCCTCTGGCTGTGGTGCTGAAAATAGATGACAGGATGTAAGGGCAGGAGCAGAGAGACCATTTAGATGTGGGGGTTTCGATCAGTCTGATAGCTGTGCAGGGAAGGGACAGTCTGATTCTGGATCTATTTAGAAGGTAAACAGGATGTGAGGATGACTGATTGGATGTGGGATGTGAGAGAATGGGAGTGATTATTCCACGTTGTTCATTTTTGTTTGTTTACTTTTTCACTAACATAAATGAAAGGGTGGTGAAACCATCTACTGAGATGAGGAAGACTGTGGGTAGAGCAGGGTTTATTTTGGGGGAGAGCCTCAGGTAAATTCTAAATCTCAGTGAGGCCATTCTTGACCACCATCTTTTAAATTATACTCCCACCCCAGCTCTCTGCATCCCTTTCCCTGCAATATTTTTATCTACAGCACAGATAAAGGAGAGTCTGCCTACACTGCCCCTCCTGCCCCTACCTTGGCCAGGGAGAATTGGACACCTCCATTTCCAGTCTGTCTGAGGATGTGCTCAATGGAGAGTGAGGGTCCAGGAAGAAATGGAGAGGGAATGAAAGCTGAGGAGGTCAGTAAAAACAGACGTCCATTTCACAAGCTGTAAACAGAAGATAAATCATTCCCTTTCCATTTATTTCTTTTTAAAATCTGTTACAGCTGCAAGAACAATAAATATACTTTCTTCCCTA
Organism: Homo sapiens; assembly: GCF_000001405.40. Classification (NCBI taxonomy): domain Eukaryota; kingdom Metazoa; phylum Chordata; class Mammalia; order Primates; family Hominidae; genus Homo; species Homo sapiens. The sequence goes on from NC_000003.12 coordinate 160,171,875, forward strand.
TCAGGGATTTAAACCTGAAGCTCATAAGATGAGGTTCTGATATGCTGCTACCACATCCTTTTCCTGCTTTCTACTGAAACAGGTGACCTTAGCAAATTGGCATCTTCTGGAACAGCAAGGTTCCTTCCGAGGTGTGGATTTGGCTAGGGGCCAATCAATGTGGCCTGGCTATAATTTCATTTTGACTTTAAGAACTTCAGTTGGACCAAATTAATACCTCGCTCCATTAAAAACCATCTCAGGTCATGTATCTTCTCGTTCTTTTTGGCAGTCATCTCTCCAGAGACTTTAGATGATGTCTTTTCACAATTAATATCCATGTTATACCTTCCTTTTGCAAATCGAGGCAACAAGTCATTTGATCCTCATGAAGTAAACCCCAGCTCACCCTTTTTGACTGCATATGCCTGCCTTTGAGCACACCCACACCTGAATGGGGGACCCAAAGGCAAATAATATTCTGAAATATCAAACCAATATATTCTTTCTCCATTATCTCTGTGTAGCACACTTTGTTGACGTAGAGCATAGAGATTTTCCATAGTCTCTGATAGATGCTGGAATTCGGACAAAAGCCACCACATTTGGGGCCTTCACAGCCAGAGGCAAATGGCTGAGCTGGAGGCTTCAAATACATGCCATCAGATGCTCTAGAAGACCCAATGGGGCCAGCTGCCCCTCTGCATGCGTCAGCTTAGGGGCCTGTCCGTGCATCTGCTCAGGGATCTGACAGGGCATCAGCTTAGAGGCCTGTCCATGCATATGCTCAAGGATCTGTATATGCATCTGCTCAGGGATCTGACCCTGTATCAGCTTAGGGGCCTGTCCATGCATCTGCTCTGGAATCTGACCCTGCATCATCTTAGGGGCCTGTCCATGCATCTGCTCTGGAATCTGACCCTGCATCAGCTTAGTGGCCTGTCCATGCATCTGCTCTGGAATCTGACCCTGCATCAGCTTAGGGGCCTGTCCATGCATCTGCTCAGGGATCTGTCTAGGCGTCTGCTTAGAGGTCTATCCATGCATCTGCTCAGGGATCTGTCTAGGCGTCTGCTTAGAGGTCTATCCATGCATCTGCCTTGGGATCTGTCTATTCATCTGCTTAGGGGCCTGTCCCTGCATCTGCCCAGGGATCTGACCATGTATCAGCTTAGGGGGTCTATCCATGCATCTCCTCTCTGGAATCTGACCATGTATCAGCTTAGGAGCTTGTCCATGCATCCACTCAGGGATCTGTGTATGCATTTGCTTAGGGGCCTGTCCAGAGCAGACAATCAGCAACAGACCACTAAGAATGTAGAGGACACTCATGAATCTAGAATCATCTATATTCCCAGATATTACCTTGGAGAGGATTTGGGGAAGGAAAGTATATTACTTGTTTTTATTTTATTTATTTACTATTATTATTATTTTTTGAGACAGAGTTTCATTCTTGCTGCCCAGGCTGGAGTGCAATGGTGCGGTCTCAGCTCACTGTAACCTTCACCTCCCGGGTTCAAGCAATTCTCCTGCCTCAGCTTCCCAAGTAGCTGGGATCACAGGTGCCTGCCACCACACCTGGCTAATTTCTTTGTATTTTTAGTAGAGAGGGGGTTTCACCATGTTGGCCAGGCTGGTCTCAAACTCCTGACCTCAGATGATCTGCCCGCCTCAGCCTACCATCCACTCCTAAATGTGCTCAGCCTATCCTCCCAGCATATATATTTATTGTGTGCAAAAACCGCAATAAAGACTCTGGCCCACGCTTTTATCTCACTCCTTCTGCCCCTTTACCAACCCTGGTGCTTCCCCACGTGGCCCTGAGTGGCATGGCATCCCTCCTCCTCTGGGGAAGTGTAAGTAATACACTATTCTCTCAAGGCAATTGTCTCCATGCCAGTCACCTTACCATACCTGATCAAACAAATCCCAGGTACATTTTTTTTTTTTTTTTTTTTTTTTGAGACGGAGTCTTGCTCTGTCACCAGGCTGGAGTGCAATGGCTTGATCTTGGCTCACTGCAACCTCTGACTCCCTGGTTCAAGGGATTTTCCCGCCTCAGCCTCCCGAGTAGCTGGGATTACAGGCACCCGCCACCATGCCCAGCTAATTTTTATATTTTTAGTAGAGACGGGGTTTCACCATGTTGGTCAGGATGGTCTCCATCTCCTGACCTCGTGATCTGCCCACCTCAGCCTCCCGAAGTTCTGGGATTACAGGCGTCAGCCACCATGCCCGGCCTTATCCCAGGTACATTTTAAAGTGGGAGATCATCAGAAAGGCTAAACACTTATCCAAAGGAGATAATGTTTCCAAAGGAGGTTGTTTCAAATGGGAGACATCATGATGTTGGCAAGTTAAAGTTTGAGTTGGGATGTGGTGTGTGAAAAAATTTTCCATGCCACAGTTGGGAAGAAATATGGGCTTGCAAGAAGCCCATCATCCAGATGTCAGGAGGCAGAATGAAAGCTGTAAACGGATTAACAAGAAATTGCTGCGTTTCCTTCCATTTGCATTTAAACATGTATGACTGTGACCATGTCTTTAGTCTGTTCATGGCCTTCTTGAGGCACTTTCATATGTCTTATCTCATCTGATCCTCACACAACTGTGAGATGGAGTAGGCAGGTATTATTATTCCAGTTTTATAGATGAGAAAGCCAACATTTGGAGAAGTGGTGGAACATGCGGGATAAGGGCATAAGCTATGGAGCCATTCTGCTAAATCTCAGCGCCACTACTTTCTATCTATGCGACTTGCAATGCATTATTAAGTTCTGTGCTTCAACTTTCTCATCTGTAAAATGGGAATGATAACAGACTCTGTCTCTTAGGACTGCTACACAAAGAGAAGTTATTATTGGGTATCAAGAAATTTTAGCTGAGATTATTTGGCTGATGTAACAGGGACTTCATGAGAAAGAACAAATTTGGAGTTTTCCAAGTTTCCTCGCCCACATTTTTATATTCTTGAGGTTTCTATGACCAAAAAAATGCTTATTAGTTAACAAGGGTATGCTTTTTTAGGGCAGCTAGGTTCCAAGATGTTCCCACGTTTATAAATGGAAGCCAAATTTTTATCAAATCCTATCACTCTTTCAAAGCCAGCTCAAATCTAATCTCTTTTCTTAGGCTTTTCTAGACTGCCCCACTCAGAACTAACTGGCCTCTCCTGTCTTCAAGGTTCTGAAGCAGTTAGAGTGTGAACCCCAGAATTTAACACATAACCAGGCTATACCCAGCATTGGGACCACCTTTACTCTGTGATAACTCCCACTCTCTCTTCCTCAGCAGACCCTATCTCCATGGGATCATCAGCAGGCCAGGAATTATGGGATTTCGTAGTTCATGTCAGTCTCCTGTGTTGCCTCCTATTTCCTGTTTCTAGTGAGAGAATTAAAACAGGAAACAGGAGGCAACATAGGATAATTGGTTACACCTTGCACACACCTTGATAATTCTTGCTCCTGTCACTCAGGGTTTTTCATGGCAAGCAGCAGAAACTAACGCTGGCTGACTTAAACTGAAAAGTAATTCATTAAAAGGAGAAAGGAGTCATGTGCTGGGGCTGGCTTGTTACTGGCTCACAAGAGTCAATTGTGAAATTTTTAAGAATTCTGTGAGCTAGTTGTTAAACATGGCCATTATCAAAAATTAAATTTGGCCTGGCACGGTGGCTCACACCTGTAATCCCAGCACTTTGGGAGGCCAAGGCGGGTGAATCACGAGGTCAGGAGATCGAGACCATCCTGGCTAACACGGTGAAACCCCGTCTCTACTAAAAATACAAAAAATTAGCCGGGCATGGTGGCGGGTGCCTGTAGTTCCAGGTACTCGGGAGGCTGAAGCAGGATAATGGCCTGAACCCGGGAGGCGGAGCTTGCAGTGAGCCGAGATTGCACCACTGCATTCCAGCCTGGGTGACAGAGCAAGACTCTGTCTCAAGAAAAAAAAAGAAAAAAAAATTAAATTTATAAACTTACAATTAGGCCAGATGTGGTGGCTCACACCTGTAATACTAGCACTTTGGGAGGCCGAGGTGAGTGGATCACTTGAGGTCAGGAGTTTGAAACCAGCCTGGCCAACATGGTGAAAACACGTCTCTACTAAAAGTGCAAAAAAAGTAGCCATGCATGGTGGTGAGCACCTGTAATCCCAGCTACTTGGGAGGCTGAGGCAGGATAATCACTTGAACCTTGGAGGTGAAGGTTGTTGTGAGCCAAGATTGTGCCACTGCACTCCAGCCTGGGTGACAGAGTGAGACTCTATCTCAAAAAATAAATAAATAAAAAGTAAACTTACAATTAAATAAATTATATCAAAATCAAAGATAATAAATGCTCGAAACTCATCACTTCTTAAATATCTTTCTAGATTTTATTGGCATCTATACTGTCGAGGCTATGACATGTATTGTGTCTGTGTGGTGGAAATACCATATAGCAATGTGCTGTTGTATTTTTCTTTCCAGCTTCATGTTGACTGACGTTACACTGGTAGCTTGAGCTCAGCAGTGGTGAGCATATTTATACCGCAGGAATCAGCAGACACTTCAAGTCAAATGGTTTGTATTTGTTTTTATCCTCAAAGAAGCTACTGGCTGTTAAACATTTGCCCTGGCACACCAGTGGTATTGGGTAGCTCCCCAAGTCTCTAGAAGGGCTGAAGGACTGGGTTTAGATTCCTCAGTCAGGACCAAACTACAGTCAGATCAATACCCCAGGACCAGTTAACATAATTTGCAGGTCTATTGTTCAAATTTATTAAGAATTTTAAGACAGGAATAGCAGAGCATTAAACCAAGTGTGGAGCCCTTCTAAGTGCAGGGCAGTTGGGACTGTAGAGACTACTGCCCATGAAGCCAGCCTTGCAATACCCAAGCCACACTGCAGACCAAAGACCCCCCTTCCATAGCTGCTAAGACTGCAGCCTCCACCTCAATTCCATGTATACCCTTCACTGGACGCTGATTTGGAACCGCTGCTTCTCGCAAAGTCTCTGTTGCCAGGCTGGAGTGCAATGGCACCACCTTGGCTCATCCTTCTTTTACACACTATTTTTTAGCATCTGTTGATATGTCTACCTGAATTAATAATTACTATGATGGCTGCCACATTGTGACTTTTTAAACCCCAACACTCCTCTGGGTTTATTAGTTGGCATTCTGCTATGATTAAGAGCTTTCTGTCCTCTCTGTTTATTTATTCATTTGTTTATTTGATGCAAGGATAGGCAAACTATGATGCATGGGCCAAATCTGGACTTCTGCCTGTTTTTGCAAATAAAGTTTTATTGGAACACAGCCACACACTCACCTATTGTCTGTGGCTGCTTTTGTGTTACAATGGCAGAGTTGAATAGTTGTGACAGAGGCTGTATGGCTTATCAAGACTAAAATATTTATTATCCAACCCTTTGTAGGAAAAGCCAAGTCCTGATTTGTATCATGTGGACTTGTGGATTCTTATTTTGCCCCATTACTATCATTTATTATTTGTTTTGATGCTCAAATTGTTCTAGATTTGGCCACCGAAAGCCCCTTCAAGCTGGTTTCTGTGTCCCTTTGACAAATTTTCATCATTCTTTGAACTCATCCTTACTTTCTGATACAACAAGACGTTCTAGGTTTATCTTTTACTTTTCCTGCTTCTGCCATGAAATCAGCCATTTCTCCATGGAGCCCTAGTTCATTTTACTTGGGAAGGATATTTGGAAACCAATGTCAGGGCACAAGGTTGTCATTACCTTTGGGATGTTGCTGGAAGACACGAGAGAAGTCACTGTTACAGATCTAAAATTGGAAATCATTAGCATGTAGATGATCCATTAAGCTATGGGACCGGGTAAGATCACTCAGGGAGGAGATCAGAGAAAAGTGGGCCAGCCTAGAGCCAGGCTTTCCAATATTACAGGAAAATAGTTTGAGAAAAAGATATTTGCAATAATGAGTTTCAGGATTTTAGTATCAATATCTACAAAGAGCTTATATATGAAACAATTAAGACCCCCACTGATGAGTAAAGGGTCATATCAGCTCAGTCACATAATTAAAATGGGAATTAGTAAATGAAAATGAGAAAGAATATTCAACCTCGTTCACGAAAGAAATGCAAATTAAAGCAAGATGCAGTAAATTCTCAATGTCCTTATAGGTCCTTGGAAACTGTGACTTTAAGCAAAGTGACATACGGCAGTCCTAGAATAACATTGTTTCCCTCAATGTGATTTGTTATAAAACTGATGAGGGAAAAAATTGTTTTATTATACATCATTTTGCTTAAGGTCATAGTTTCCTAGAACCTATCCATGACATTAAGTGAGGACTTACTATATGGTTTTGGGTAATTATCTTGGTTCTTTTTTTTTCAGCTTTTTAATTGGATAGTTTTCACATTTATAGAAAAGTGAGGTTTCGTTGTGTTGGCCGGGCTGGTCTCCAGCTCCTAACCGCGAGTGATCCGCCAGCCTCGGCCTCCCGAGGTGCCAGGATTGCAGACGGAGTCTGGCTCACTCAGTGCTCAATGGTGCCCAGGCTGGAGTGCAGTGGCGTGATCTCGGCTCGCTACAACCTCCACCACCCAGCCGCCTGCCTTGGCCTCCCAAAGTGCCGAGATTGCAGCCTCTGCCCGGCCGCCACCCCGTCTGGGACGTGAGGAGCCCCTCTGCCTGGCTGCCCAGTCTGGAAAGTGAGGAGCGTCTCTGCCCGGCCTCCATCCCATCTAGGAAGTGAGAAGCGCCTCTTCCCGGCCGCCATCCCATCTAGGAAGTGAGGAGCGTCTCTGCCCAGCCGCCCATCGTCTGAGATGTGGGGAGCACCTCTGCCCCGCCGCCCCGTCTGGGATGTGAGGAGCGCCTCTACCCGGCCGCCCCGTCTGAGAAGTGAGGAGACCCTCCGCCTGGCAACCGCCCCATCTGAGAAGTGAGGAGCCCCTCCGCCCGGCAGCCACCCCGTCTGGGAAGTGAGGAGCGTCTCCGCCCGGCAGCCGCCCCGTCCGGGAAGGAGGTGGGGGGGTCAGCCCCCCGCCCGGCCAGCCGCCCCGTCCGGGAGGGAGGTGGGGGATCAGACCCCCGCCCGGCCAGCCGCCCCGTCCGGGAGGGAGGTGGGGGGGTCAGCCCCCCGCCCAGCCAGCTGCCCCGCCCGGGAGGTGAGGGGCGCCTCTGCCCGGCCGCCCCTACTGGGAGGTGGGGAGCCCCTCTGCCCGGCCACCACCCCGTCTGGGAGGTGTGCCCAGCAGCTCATTGAGAACGGGCCATGATGACCATGGCGGTTTTGTGGAATAGAAAGGGGGGAAAGGTGGGGAAAACATTGAGAAATCGGATGGTTGCCGTGTCTGTGTAGAAAGAGGTAGACATGGGAGTCTTTTCACTTTGTTCTGTACTAAGAAAAATTCTTATCCTGTTGATCTGTGACCTTACCCCCAACCCTGTGCTCTCTGAAACATGTGCTGTGTCCACTCAGGGTTAAATGGATTAAGGGCGGTGCAAGATGTGCTTTGTTAAACAGATGCTTGAAGGCAGCATGCTGGTTAAGAGTCATCACCACTCCCTAATCTCAAATACCCAGGGACACAAACACTGCGGAAGGCCGCAGGGTCCTCTGCCTAGGAAAACCAGAGACCTTTGTTCACTTGTTTATCTGCTGACCTTCCCTCCACTATTGTCCTATGACCCTGCCAAATCCCCCTCTGTGAGAAACACCCAAGAATGATCAATAAAATAAATAAATAAATAAATAAATAAATAAATAAATAAAAACACACACACACAAAAAAAAAGACAAGTGAACAGAAGAGAGTGGTGAGCACCTGTATACATGTCTTAGTTTGTTTTGTGAAGCTATAACAGAATTCATAAGACAGGGTAATTTATAATAAACAGAAATTTATTGAACCGCAGTTCAGGAGGCTGGGAAATCCAATATCAAAATTCTGGCACCTCGAAAATCTTGCAGCCTCATAACATGGTGGAAGGGCAGAAAGAGGGAGAGGGGAGAGAGAGACAAAAGGGGGCCGAACACATCCTTTTATAAAGGACACACTCCCAAGGTAAAGGCATTAATACATTGATGATGGCAGAGCACCTCATGGCCTAACCACTTCTCAAATATCCCACTGTTACAGCGGCAATTAAATTTCCACTTTGGTTTGACCAAATTTTCTTCACGCAACAGTTCTTACTCCAGTAATAGAATACAGCTTATTTTGTCATATTTTGCAATTAAAATTTTAACATTGTTTAAGAGTATACAGCAATGTCTAGGAACTTATCCAACCAAAACACTTGGTCAAGCCTGCAAATAAATATGAACAAAAATATTTATTTTACTCCTTTTTATGATATTGAAATATTGGAAACAACCCAAATATTCTTTAGTAAGATTCCAATTAATGTGTGTTACTTCCATACAATACTGTGCAGCTTTTAACAAGAATGAGATACATTTAAAGATGAGGAAAAAGTCTCATATGTAGTATTAAGTGTAAAAGTAAGATGCCAAACTTTGTGTCTACTCTAATTCCCACTTTAGAAAATGAATGCATATCTTAGTATATGTATAGAAAGAAATCCAGAGAAATAATCCACAAACTGTTAACAGTAGTTATGAGAAAGGAATAATAGGTGACTTTGAATTCCTAAATTATACATCTCTGGATTGTTTGAATTATTTACAAGCACTTATTCACTTCTATATCAGAAGAAAACAATATATTGTTTAAGTCGGCAGAAGGAGCAAAGCCTGTCAGACGCGGAGCAGGATGCAGATTGAATGTGGCTCGGCTCCCCTAGCCTGTTAACTGCTGCCTCATTTCCTGGCAGTAGAGTTTTAGGACTGGCTGACTCTTGATGCGTCCTCCTGCCAACAGGACGTTGGCAAGCAAGGACATTAAAAATCTTCCTTGAGATAATCCTAACAAAACCCTAAAAGGGATTACAACTTGGAAATATGGCCAAAGGGAAAGATCCGTAAAAAACATTCATCCCCCAAATCTCTATCCATGGAAGGAAATGTAGCCATTAAGCCAGTGAAAGGAGTTAGGATCATTATGCAATCACACTGGTTTGGCTGCAGAGAAAATGAGAGGCGTTAAGTGTAATTCATCTTTAGAGAACTCCCTTCCCATCCGGCCTCAGGACCTACATAGCCATAAAAGCGACAGAGATAAGATAAATAATCACTAGGATGGCTGACACTTTTACAGTGATCCATAAATTTTAGTCGCTTACACGCATTTTAAACCACATTGCATGTCTGCTCCTTCCAAAAACTCTGGGATGCCAGTTTTTCAGATGAGGAGGACATTGGTAAGTCACACAGCAGGACCAGACACAGGGTTTCTCACAGCCACTAGCAAACAGGACTGCTTTTGACATCATCCTGGAATTAACTGGAATAATAATGAAGACAATCTATTTTTAAGCAAATGTATCTCTTCCTGAAAAGCTAGATAAACAATATATCCATTAAAGAAAAAGACTGATATTAGGTGAACAATGCAGAAAATGCAAGGGAAACTGAGGCACAAATAAAGCCATAGGTGAAGGGAAGCATTTGCCAGACCATCTTCTCCTGGATCTCAGGGAGTGGTGCAGAGTAGATTCAAGTGTGGTGACAATGCTCTGGAAGGTCTCCATCGTATGGGCACATGGGATGGTTTTATCTCCAAACCAGCTCATGTTAGCCTTGGCACCACCAAAGTGGGCCTGACGTGCAGAGTTGAGAGTGGGGCCTCTGGGAAAGGCAATCTCCCCATCTCATTTTGGAGGGCTATATTTTCCTTCCCTGGAAGTCTCAGAGAAAATGACCTGCATGGCACCATTTTTGTGAAATTATATTATGTCCTGAGACTTGCCACAAACAACTCCTCAAACCAAGTCCAAATAGCAAAATTCTCCAATTTTTTTTAATGCAGCAAAGCTGAATATCATCTTCTTACATACATCTCCTCTATTTGCTGAAGGTAACTTTGCTTTGTTTATTTTTTATGGGAAGTTCACTATTGTCTAAACACTAGAGTGTCACTTGAAGTTGGCTGCAGAGTAGTTTACTTTTGGGTGATCATATGCAACATCCAAATGTTTATCAGCATAGGGTCAAATTTACTTAAGTTAAGCTATGGCATTCCATTCTGTTTTTCTCATCTGGTTAAAAAATAATTCAGAGGATTTTTTTCAAACTTAAAGAAATTATGGATAATCCCTTTTTTCTATTTTTACTTGTAATGAATTTGTACTTCAATAAGTCTTAGAGTATCAATTTATTCTTTCCTTTTAAAATATGTGCAGATATATGTACAAGGATTTTGCCCTTGTTGGTAACAGCAGAATATTGCTCATAAGTAGGGAACTGGTTAAACAAATTGTTATATGTCCAAATATGAAATAAGTTGATGTAGAACTACCTCCAAGATATATTGTTAAATTAAAAAAAAGTGGAATAGCAAGTATATTATGCTACCCTTTGTATTTTGTTTTTAAAAGAATAGATATATAAATGCTTATATATGCAAAAAATTCTAAAAGCATAGACACACCGGATTGGTTAGAGTATGTTCTTGGAAGGAAGTGAGATGGGTGACGTGAGTGTTTGCCCTGCTAGAGAGACTAACTTTTCATTATATATTCTTCAATATTGTTGGAGTGTTTACCATTTATATTATTATCCTTTGAATTTTTTCATGTTTTACACCCTTTGGTATGTTTGGTAAACCTAGCTCAGCTAAAAAGTTTAAAAATGCAATTCAAATACTCTAACAATTTTTGTTCAAATACAATAGTAATGGCATATAATTACAACTTTGTTTAATTCATAAAACTTTGGTCAGAGTTGTAATTATATGCTATTATAATTATATAATAATAAAGTTATTCTAAGATTTCAAGGCTGGGCATGGTGGCTCATGTCTGTAATCTCTGCATTTTGGGATGCCAAGGTAGGAAGTTTGCTTGAATCCAGGAGTTCAAGACCAACCTGGGCAACACAGTGAGATCCCATCTCTACAAAAAAAAAAAAGCCAGGTGTTGTAGCATGTGACTGTATTCCCAGCTACTAGGGATGCTTAATTGGGAGGATCCCTTGAGCCCAGGAGGTGGAGGCTGTAGTGAGCCATGATCAGGCCACTGCACTCCAGCCTGGGCAACAGAGCAAGACCTTATCTCAAAAAAAAATTTTTTTTCAATTTCTTCATCTCTAAAACAGAGACACTATTATAAAGGGTGATGAATAACATTTGTAACATTTGGTACATACTCATATGCAAAATAACTAAGATGGAGTTTTGCAGGGGCAGTTCACTCTTGGATAAAAATGAAACTGAGTTCAACTGCAAAAAGCAATAACATCTCTCTATATTGGACATTTGTCACTTACTCATCATTGGATCATTCAGGTTGAATTGGACTTGACTTATGGTGATCAATTGTGTCCTTTTGTATTACAGGACCAAATTCATTATCAGATCCTTGGGGACTAAGTTTAACATTAAATTTGTTTGCAGCAGTAGACGAATTTATAATCTGCCTGTCAGTTCATTCCACTGCCTAGTCATTCTTCTGCCCATACAATTAATTTAGCTAAAGAAACGGTAATAAATATATCTTAAAATTGTGATGGCGTGTTATCGTTTACAAAACACTCTTACATATTTTATGCATTAGACCCTCTTAGCAACATTGCTGGGGAGGCTAGACAGACAGTATTGTCTGCTTTGCAGATGGCCACAGTTAGCTGTTCACCTAATCAGGAAGTGGAGAGCTAAGATTAGAAGCTGGGTTCTTACCATCCCATTCTACTACTTATACATATTTTACAGTATTTATGTGAGAGTTCAGAAAAGGATGTGTTTGTATAAAAAATCTATTGTGTTAAATTAAAATATAAGGACAATATGCCAACTCCCTAATTTCTGTTTTTTCTGAGTAGAATTCACATGACATTGTTTCATTTGCAGTTTGAACCTACCTTGACAACTATATCTAAACTCACATGAGTAGCCAAAGAGTGTTCTTCTGTGATGGGGAACCATTCATTTTCATAGTCTCATTTATGACTCATGGATTTGTGTGGGTGTTGAAAAGAAAAATCCAAAGAAATAGGAACAGGAAAAGATTTCTTTCTACATTTAAATATAAATAATAGAAAGAGGCTGAGCTAAGTTATAAATAACAGTGAAGTGAAATGTTCTCTGGAAAATCCATGGCAATAGCATTACTGCTGCCTGAGAAATGTCACTAGTTAAAATTCTGGTCTGAAAAAACTTGTTCATTGTAAAATAAATGCTTTTTTATTATTATTATTATATCAGATCGTTGTCCTGAATTTTCCCAGGCCAACAAATGTAATCATTGGTTTCATACATTTCAGTGATTCAGGATGTATGGTTTAAAAATGTATCATATTAGGAAGAGCAACTCAGACTATCATTTGGTGTGTGGTTCTGGATTGATGCAGATTTTCACTATTTTTTGCAGCAAGTGTGAAGTCATGTTTATTATTTTGCACATTAAGCAGTTCTTGTCATGACAAGGAAAATAGTATTAGATTAAAACTATCATCATGATTATTCTTATACACATATGCTAATAAAGACATTAAATGGCATACACAAGACTAGAATCTGGGAACTTTGACAGTAGCCAAGGTGTTGATGAGATTTTGTTAGAGCATTTTCCAAAATTTAGTGAAGTTCAGTAATTTAGATTGTTTTGGGACATTATCCAGCTTGTTAGCAGAAGAAATAACCTAATCTGGGAAGGGAAAATATCACAAGAAATCTTGTATAAGAACTGAAGTAAATGCCTTTCTTCATAACTTAAAAGGAAATACTTGCTCACAGCAGAATATTTCTCATCTCTTTTGTTTGGTTCCAACTTGCAGAGTCATCTGGCTTCTAAAATGGTTTCAGAGCCAGAGATGGTAAGTTTCCAAGCCAGAAAGAAACTCCCCTTATCTTTAAATACATGCCTTTTCAGAATGTGAACCTCAAAAGCCAATTGCATAATTGTGTTTCAAATTTTTAAAAGTTTCCGTCCGATATATTTAGCAAGGCTTAAGCATCCATTTGATGACTCCACATGAATTATTGTAACAGTCATGTAATCATGCACAGTGTTCATAAATAACTCCATCTCTTCCTACAGACGCTCTGAGAATGCTAGAGATCCCATGTCCATAGGAGACTGTTGGTTGCAGGGAAGGAGGTAAAGGACAGCTGAGGGGGACCCTTTAAAGTGTGAATGGTCTTCGTGGTTTTTTTTTCTATTCTTTGAGATTGATTCAGCTAACCTAAGCTAAAGGAAAACTAATTACCTTGTGTTTGCAGTAATGCAGAGTTTACCTAGTATTCTGAAATGTTAACCAACTTCTAAGATTAACATTTGTCAGCCTGTTATTGAAAATTGTCCAAAATATCTATGTGGATCATAGTCTGTGGCTATTATCCTGGGTGATGGGTTATAGAGAACAGGGCTACTCCATGGAAATGTTAGCAATGAAAAAAAAAAAAACAGTAAGCAAATATATATTATTAGAGCCACAACATGCAATAGTGCAGAGGTACAAGTACGCAAGCATAAAAGAGCATGCTGTTACTAAAGGCCAGCTAACACAGGAGATCAGAAATCCAGATAGCTAATCTACAGTTTAAAGGAAAGTCAAGCAAGCACTCACAGGTCTGAAAGCCAGACAACAGGTACATATGAGCAGAGGCCCATGTGAATAGAGCAGGGACTACAGATCAGATGCTGAGGCAAAATTTCATGTATGCTCTCCACTAAGATGGGAAATCTCCCACTCAGAGTGTGCAGTCTTTTAATTGCCATGTAGACTTATGTTCACCTAAATTAATTTTGCAACCAGGATAAATTGAGTTATGCATTATGGCTCTTCCCCCATGACTTCCCAAGCTCAGTTCTCATCTTTGGCTAGTAGCAAATGGACAAATTTACACAAGTGTTGGGACAGCTGATAGGTGTTTAAAAGTCAGGAGATAAGCAGTCCACTCATGCCTCAGAGGTGGAACCAAGGTGCCTGAGTGCTTGGCTTGCATGAACCTGAGGAGGTTGCTATAGAAATGTTATCACATTGCTGGGATCATTGGAGTACCTAATGGAACTTGAATCTCAAAGTCCACAGGAAGTATGATTAGAAAGGACTTTTCTTGGCTGCTGCATGTTGACAAGGCAGCTACTTAATGCATCTGATTGCATGTGGCTAGCTACCTCTGAGAACCTGGGTAGGGAGGCAGACCATGTCACAAGGATCCTAGTGATTTCTCATTAACAAGGAGGGGTCTGGAGCCACTAAGACTGAATACAAGGGGAAGGGTAGGGAGTGCTTACAGGCACAGATCTTAGTCTCTATATAGGGGCAATACTATTGTTTTCATTGATTTCCTTGGGCCTGTGGTTAGAGCAGGGCCTACCCTACAGATTTCAGGTTAAGAAATGTTGAGCACAAAGGAAAGATCAGAGGTTATTAGAGGTGAAAATAAATAGGGAAGGAGTTGGGGCCAGGGGAGAAAGGACAAATCCGGCATGCAGAAATCCAAAACATGGAGGAGCTTCCCAGATCCAGGTAGTAGGATAGCTTGAATATCAAATTTCAGGCAGGCAAAGGGCAGGCAGAGAGAGACAGATGTGTCAAGATAGTTCTGAGATGGAGCCATGTGTCTGACCCGATTGTCTTATCCCAAAACTCCTTGGTTATTCCTTGCCAAAGAACTATTGCTTCAGCATGAAGAAAGAGCTATACTTCACCGACAAGGTGGATTTTCATAATGTGTACCTATTGAAGGTAAAATGTGCAGTTACCCAAGGAAAAGCATGAAACAAAAGGAAAAACAAACATGTCTACATCCATTTCAATCAGGGTCCATAGGAGTTAGAGCTAAAAAGAGATTCTGAAAGTTTTATAATCCAGCCTTTCATTTTACAGAGTGCAACTGAGGTCCTGGGAGGCCAAGTGACTTGTCTGAGTACACACAGTGAGTGACAGTGGTAGGAATGGAACTTGCCCCACCTGACATTCTGGCCAATGTTCTTTCCATTGCCCAGGCTTTCAATATTCACAGAATGTTGTGATTAAGGAATATGTCTCCAGAGCTTCCTCAAGCAGAGTAGCATAAATTCAAAATCCCAGAGAAGAGACAAAGGGGAACACCTCTGAACACTAAGAAGTTGAATGAAAAGGACAAGTAGTAGAAATTTAGCAAAGACCATTTATGTGTGCCCATGCAAAGGCAGATGCGTGATCTGGGATGTATCCAGAAAACCTTTAGCCGAAAGTAACAGAAATCCCAAGTTCTGGGAACTGAAATGAATAGGGGGTTATTTTTCTCACCTACCAAGATGTCTGGAGATAGGCAGCTGCTGGCAGTGGTTAGGCAGCTGCTGGCAGTGGTTTGGCAGCTTCAGAGGTTGCATCTCTGTGATTCTCAGAAGCTTCCTCCTGGTCACAAGATGGCTGCCATAGCCGCTAACACACATCTAGACAGGAATCGTGTTACATGGCCACTGTTAATTGCAAGAAAGGCTAAGAAAGTAAACATTTAGGCTTGGGTGTTGGGTAAGGCAGTGCCTAAAGGTGGGATGGTAGGTGTCCCAGTGCTCCACCACTCCCATCCCCAAGGCAGACATTACTAATCAACCAGGACACTCCTATCACTAAGCTTGAACTTGGCCTTGAACTCTTCCCAACAGAGTTTTCCAAGCAAGTACTACCAATTAATCAAAACTGGCTCATGAGATGAAACCTATTTGCTCTCCCTGATGCTTTCATAGTAGCTTTGTGGTATGACAAGAAAAGCTCTTTTAACAAAGATGATAATAATAGAGTTTAAATAACCAAATCACAGACACACAGAAAGAGCTGGGTTTGGTCTTCAGTCTTAATTCTTCATTTTACAGCTGAGGAAACTGAAGCCCAGAGTGGCTAGGGGTCTTAATCTTGGTAACACAGCCAGCTAGTTGAATGTGGTCCCTTTCAAGGTAGTTATGTTCAGAGGCTTTATACTCATTCTGATGTTGCTGACACTACTCAAAACATTTCTGAAGCTCCTCTTAGAATGTCTTTCATTTAGTTAATGAGCTGCTACACAAGAAAATTTAGCCCCTCTATTTTGTAGAGGCCTCTGTCTCCTCCCCACCCCTATCCCCACCAAACGATACTGTACAGCTCAAGCACTTATTTATTTAATCATCAAAAATTTATTGAGCATGAGGATGCCAGATCCAGGGTATGACTTGGCTCCAGATGACTCTGGGTTGTTTTGGAAAGTCAAATCCACTCTTGAACGCTTACATTCTCCTGACTACCTCCCCACCTTCCCCTTCCCATCCGCCATCATGCTAAGGCTGGTTCATGAAAAAAGCTGCCTGCTCTAGGCAATTGTTATAGAGTCAACACTGTCCAGTAGAACTTTTTGTGATGATGTAAATGTTCTATAATCTATGCCACCTAATACAGCATGTACTAGACACATGTAGCTATTTAGCACTTGAAATGTGGCTAGTGTGACTGAAAACTGACTTTTTAATTTTATTTCATTTTAGCTATTTAAATTTAAATAGCCGCACATGGCTACTGGCTACCTCATTGAACAGCACAGCATAATACAAGACCCTTCCTCCATTTCCTCTCAAACTAATTCTTTATCTCCCAAATGCCTGACTCAGTCACAACTTCTGTATCTAGTTCTCCTCCCTTCTCTGGAACCTCCATGTGGTTGCTTGGACCTCATTTCTTCTCTGGCTGAACTTCACTTTCTAGTTTTGGCAACTCCATGATTCATAGGGAGAAGCTCTATTCTCTAACCCCAGCCCCATGTACCTTAATGGATGGCCCATCCTGGTCACCACACCCAAAGGGGCCAGAGAGATTCAAACATTTGCTGTCCCACTTGGGGACACTCAAAATAATGTCCTGCTGGGTGCAGTGGCACATACCTGTAGTCCCAGCTACTCCGGACATTGAGATGGGAGGATTGCTTGAGCCCAGGAGTTTGAGGCTGTAGTGCACTATGATCATGCCTGTGAATAGCCGCTACATTCCAGCCTGGACAATATGTCTGAGACTTCATTTCCTTAAAATAAAAATAAAAAATAATGATGATGACGATGCTCTGAGGTGCCTTTGCCCTTTTGGGTGGGAATCACAAATTTTTAATTTTGCCCTGGATCCTGAGACAGCTTTATCCCTGAGGTACGGCTTAGTGGCACTGCAACAAATGGCCCATGAGAAATGCTTCCCTCTGTGAGCACTGTACTCTTGAAAAATAGGACAGGACAACCACTCCTGCTGTTGATATCTTTAGACACCTTAAATAATTGTTCACTCTCTAGAATAAACAATATTTCCGCAGTATAGTGATTTTGTCCTTGGTGCTTTTAGTCGATATGCACCTGTCTAGAGGCGTGGTGCCCTTTCACCTGGCTCTATTGGAATCTGAGATGTTCGAGGCTGGAAAAGAGGCATGGGCTCCCATGGCAGGGTGTTTTCCTAGAACGGCCATCATAACAATAGCTCCCAAGTCATATTCTCCCCGCCGGAGTCTTGGAAGGCCTGTGATTTGGGAATACAGTGACACACTCTTGGAACTCTAAGCTGCCACGTAAGAAGTCCAGCTTCTCTGAGGCTGCCATGTTGTAAGGAGGTGCAATCCAGTGAAGAAGAGACATGTAGATGCTCCAGTTGGCAGTGACAGTCTTCAAGTCCACCCAGCCCAGGCATCAGAGACATGGAAGTTGGAGCCTCAGTTTGCCCTCTGTGTTTTAATCTTCCCAGCTGAGGCCCAAAACATGTGAAGAGAAAATCCATCCCCATCATGTCTGTTTCACATTCTTGGGCTACAGAACTTGTGGGCATAATCAAATGGCTAATGTTTTGTGACACTAAGTTTGGTGTGCTTTGTCATGTGGCAATAGTACTCATGAGCACTCCATAAGCCCCAAGAGACAAGTGAGAAAAATCAATCCCCATCCTGCAGATCCCCATCAATAAGCACAATCATCCCTACATGAGTGACTTTGTGCAGCCACCATTCCTAGGGGTTCTGGAAGTATTTTTCTGCCATGACAAACCTCACGAATCTGACCTTTCCTAAGCAATGTAGCATGATGAACAGTGTATTAAAAGGAGGCAAACCACCTCACTACCTCATGCAGGAATGTGGGCTTCCCAATAAAGGCCTTTCAGGAGCAAACTTGTAACTGAGTTGGTGAGAGTTTGAACTGAACTATTTACTTGCCCTAGAGGTTACCTAGTAGTTCAGAGATAACACCTCAGGTAGAGACATTGCTGATAATAAAATTGCTAAATTCTTCAGCACTTACTTCAAAGAAGGCCCCCTTCTAGGCAGAAGGGGGGATGAACTGGTGGATGAACTGGCTTGGGGCTTTCATCCTGGAGATACCAAAGGAAGATTGGAAGTGAGGAGGAGGGCTGGGCACGGTGGCTCATGCCTGTAATCCCAGCACTTTGGGAGGCTGAGGCAGGCCGATCACTTGAGGTTAGGAGTGCGAAACCAGCTTGGCCAACATAGCAAAACCCTTCTCTACTAAAAATACAAAAATTAGCCATGCATGGTGGCAGCCACTTGTAGTCCCAGCTACTTAGGAGGCTGAGGCAGGAGAATCGCTTGAACCCGGGAGGCAGAGGTTGCAGTGAGCCAAGATTGTGCCACTGCACTCCAGCCTGGGCAAGAGAGCAAGACTCTGTCTCAAAAAAAAAACAAAAACAAAAAAAAGGAAGTGAGTGAGGAGGAGGAGGAGGAGGTTGCCTCTGATGGGAAGATAGTGTTCATGAGGATCGGTCATGTTTCTCCCCACTCTGGGAGGGAAAGGGAATTGGTGCTCTTTTGTCACAGTTCCTTAGGGACTCCTTTGTTAAAAATTGAAGTTGAGGAAGGAAGTCCCAAGAAGACTTGCTTATACAGTTCAGATTTTATTCCAGAAGGGAAGACTGGCATCTTCTTCCCGGTTGTTTGATTAGCCACTGGACTCCCTGCCTGTCCAAGTGCTTGCAAATCAGGCAAAGTGTACCAGGGAGAAGTAGCACTGTGGCTGGTGTTGGGGGAGAGGGGCAAGGATACCTGCTATGGACTGAATGTTTGTGTCCTCCCACTGCTTCGTTTCATATGTTGAAATCCTAACCCCCAATGTGATGGTGTTCGGAAGTGCGACCTTTGGGAGGTAATTAGGTCATGAAGGTAGAGTCCTCATGAATGAGATCAGTACACTTACAAATAGAAATGAAAGCTTCCTCTCTCTCTGCTCTCTGCCGTGTGAGGACACAGTAAGAAGATGACCATCTGCAAACCAGAAAGAAGGCCTTCACCAGACATGTGGTCTGCCAGCACCTTGATCTTGGACTTCCCAGGCTCCAGAACTGTGAGAAATAAATGCTTGTTGTGTAAGCCACCCAGCCTATGGCAGTTTGTTATAGCAACCAGAACTAAGACAATATCCCTCAAGTTCCCAGGCCTCAGAGATATAAAAGATGAATCTGATCCAAGCCGTGAGCCCCAGCATTAGAGTCTAAGGAAGGAAGAGGAGACTGGGGCTGAAGCGTTACTAGATTGAGGAGCATAGGAAGAGGCCCCAAGTGAAGGTCAGATGTGTCTCACAGGTACACGAAAGCCACGGATGCGTCATGGGAGTGAGGGGCTCCAACAAGGGAAATGGATCAGTGGTGACAACCATCAGAAACCAAACGTCAACTAATGCATGCTCTTGCTTAAGGAGACAGCTTCCGTCCTCTACAGAAGGATGGGGAAGGGGTGGGGAACAGCAAAGGGAGCGGCCCACACCACCTCCCAGCTCCAGATCCCTAGAACTGCAGGTGAGCCTGAGCTTGGGAAAGGAAGAAAGATTTGAATCACAAGTGTTTGAGGTGATGAATATGCTAATCTCTCTGATTTGATCATTATACAACGTATACATGTATCGAAACATCATGGAAATGTACAATTATATGCCAATTAAAATCAAAATAACACTTTAAAAAGTATATGAAGTTGGAGTTTTAAAACAAATGAGGCTGAGTTTTAATAACTGGATTATCCCATTTTAATAACTGAAATTATGAAGTTACAGAGTTGGACAGAGGTGACATTAAGGAAGCCTTTGACTCAGGAGCAGAGCATAGATGGGGACAGACATTGAAAAAACAGGCAGTTTATGTGTGACGGACATCATGGGTTGAATAAGCTGTCCTCACACTCGTTATCTGGCAGACAGTGTAGTAGCTGGGGTGCAGGTTCTGGGCCCCAAGCCCTGGGTTTGAATGAGGCACTGACTGGCTGCAGGCCTTCAAGGTATCTTATGAACTCAGATTTGAGTTTCCTGTTTGCAAAGTGGGGCTAATACAGGCTATGTCACAGAGTTGTGAGACTTAAATGAAATAATGTCTGTACACATTCAAAAATAGAAAGGAGCTGCTTTATTCACAGGGTATCTCTCTTTTTGCTCCTCCACATGTTCACTTCCTGGTAAGAAGACCCCTGGGTCTCCATTCCCTGGATCACTGCCTACTGGCCTGCCCACAGCTGTGCAGTTCTTCCAGCTTCTGAGCCACTGGCACTGATGAGGGAGGTTCTTTCCTGCCTCTCTGAGACCCTGCTGTGGTCCACACTGGATCAGCCTTCCTTGCAGGCCTCAGCAGTGACCACCAGACACACCTCTTTTCTGCCTTAACAGTCTTTTCTCTTTCCCTGGAGTACCCTGAGCCGCAGTTAGTGCTGTCACCCAATGACTGCTCATTTTCCTTAGGGCCCTGAGGGAGGGCTGCCCAGACCCTCATCTGGGCCATTGACTCTTCTCAACAGTGGTGGCCTGGAACAGCTGGACTCAGCCCAGATGCACATTGCCCTGGTGGTGAACACTTTTTAAAATTGAGGTATAGCTTATCTAAAGTAAAGTGTACAGATCTTAGTGTACAGCTTGATGAATTTTTACATATGGGTACACCCATGTAAGCAAATCACCCAAGTCAAGACTTAGAAAAATTACATCACTCCAGAAGGCTTCTCCAGGCTCAATAACCCAGTTTGCTTATGCCCTTCCCAGTCAATAGCCCCCTCCCTCAGAGGCAACCAGCATTCTGACTTTTAACACCATAGATTTGTTTCACCTGATTTGAACTTCTTAACATGGATTTATATTGTATGTAGACTTTACTAACTGGCTTATTTTGCTCAACATAACGTCTTTGAGAGTCATCCATGTTGTTGCACGGACCCATAGTTTGTTCCTTTTAATTGCTGCAGGGTATTCTATTGCATGGATATATTACAATTTGTGTATCCATTCACCTTGACAGTCATTTGGGTTTGTTTCCAATTTTTGGCAATTATGAATAAAGCTGCTGTCTACCTTCACATATATGTGCTTCTGTAAACACATGCACTAAGTTCTCTTGAGTAAATACCTAGGAGTGAAATTGATGGGTCATAGGATATGGGCATGTTTAACTTTAGTGGATATCATGGGCATTTGATGAATGCCATTTATTAGAACCAATGAGTGAATGAACAAATGACACTTTAGTGCCACCATTAGCTTTTAAACACTAACACAGGAATGTATGCATTTGGGGTAAAAATGGGTTTATTGCAAATAAAGTCATTTAGACAGGATTGTCAGTGGTTTTAAAACAGAGCATGGGGTTTTGAGGGGCAGGCAGGAAGAGAAACTTGGCCAAGAGACCCCTGGAAAGAGGCAGGTCAGAGCCAGGATGAGATGGGGGCTGGTGGGGGGTTTTACAAAGTGCTGAAAGCAGGGCCAAGCACATGACCATGACCCACACACGTTCGTGCCCACAAAGAGCGTAGTGGTGTGTGCTTCTGTGAGATTCTCCATCATGTTTCATAATTGGTTTCCTTCACCTTGGGAGTCTTTAGTCATAAAACATTTCGCTGTCAAAACATTATCAATTCAGCTATATGGATAATGTATCAGCAATGTAATCTGCAATTAGTGCAGCTGTCAGTCAAGAGCCACCCTAGGGAATACAACAGACCCAGAGCCCCGCCTCCTCTGCTGCTGTTCCAGCTTCCCCTCCAGACCCATCCTTAGACACCCAGTGCCACCCTGCTTTCTACATGCACCATAGGGCCTGCTCTCAAATCCCCCAGTCTGTAATCTCTTCAGTATTGGCAGCCCTCCCCGGGAGTACCAGACTATTTTTGGCACAGCAGTAGGGAATTGTGGGAGGAATAAAGTGATTGCCATTAATGTTGGAATATTAGACACTGGGAGCAGGGGGAGTTGAGGAAAGAGTAAAGGAGGCAACCCAGTCACACAAAACCTCACCTGCTTTGCCTTTGCATGTGATTGATCCTGCTGATAACACAGCTCTGCACTTCTGGCTTTACTTTTAGGCCCAAATTCAAACATTTTACCCTGTTTCTCACAGCCCTTGCTTACTTCTAATCACCTCTTTTATCTAAGTCGTCACCAAACCCAAGATCATCTAGGTTTTCTTCTATGTTATCTTCTAGTTTTACAGTTTTACATTTTACCTTTAGATCTATGACACATTTTGAGTTAATTTTTGTGAAGATCTGTGTCTAGATTCATTTTTTTGCATGTGGATATTGTTGTTCCAGACCATTTGTCAAAAAGACTATCTTTGCACCCACTTGATATTCTGAAAGTCACTTGTGATGCTTGGTTGATGTCTGCTTCCCCACTGGAAAATAAACCACATTCAGACAAGTTCTAGGTTTTCACTGCCTAACTCAAGGACTTGACATATCATATATGCTTCATCTAAACCTATGGCATTAAGGAAGTAAGCAAATGCTCTTTATTTAACCCCGTGCCTTTCATTATGACTCTTACTTTAAGTTAAAGTGAGACATTATTATCATCATCATTATTATCATCAACAGGCTAAATTCTTCCATTGTACCATCCAAATTGTTCAAATTTGCTGGGAAAGGAATGGTAGGTTTGTCCCTTCCCTTTGGAAAACTTTTTTTTTTTTTTAAAGAAAGATGGTTTTGCCCAAGCACTGTAATTGTATTGAAAGTAGCCATTTAACTTTTGGGTTCAACTCTGAATTCTGATATTGTAGCCAGCAAGAGGTCTTTGCCAGGTAGTTCTCAAATAGAGTCCATTTTAATTATCCAGTTTCTGGATTATTCAGCTCCTGTGCTTTCCTTTCTTCTTTCATCATCTGTCCTTCAGTGATACTTGTGAAAACATCCACCACAAGGAGGACTTGCACAATGATCCTTGAACCTTCAGTTTCCCAGGGTGCTTGAGTCACACATGGCACATGCACACAGGAAGGACCCCTGTGAAAATAATTCTTGCACCCCCACCCAGATTTTTCTGCTCCAGGCACTGAAATATGGGGCAGGGAGTCCTCATGTTGGAGACTCAGTGCAGATTTCTAAGGGGCTTGCATTGAGAGCCAGGCAAACTTCAGGTTCAGTCCCTGCCTTGCCACTGACTGGTCATGTGATCTTAGATAAGATGCTTCATCTCACTAAGCCTCAGCTGACCCCTCTGGGTGATAGGTGTTTATTTACAAAACTATCTACCTATGAGCAATGAGACTTCAGTTATTTAAAAATCCCTGTACCCATTTCCTCATCTGTAAAATGGGATAATAATAACTCTCTTTAAGGTTATGAGGATTAAATGATTTAATGTGTACAAAACTCTGCTAAAAATGTATTAGGATGCTGCTGCTGCTGATGATGATGATGTTACAGCACTGTGATTAAGAGTGTCACTTTGAGCTAAAAATAGAACTACCATTTCACCCAGTAATCCCATTACTGGGTATATACCCAAAGGAATATAAATTGTTCTGCCGTAAAGACACATGCACGCGAATGTTCATGGCAGCACTATTCACAATAGTGAAAACACAGAATTAACCTAAATGGCTATCAATGGCAGACTGGATAAAGAAAACATGGTACATATACACCATGGAATACTACACAGCCATAAAAAATAATGAGATCATGTCCTTTGCAGGAACACGGGTGGAGCTGGAGGCCATTATCCTTAGCAAACTAACTCAGGAAGAGAAGACCAAATATCGCATGCTCTCACTTATAAATGAGAGCTAAAAGATGGGAACACATGGACATATAGAGGGGAACAAGAGACACTGGGGCCTACTTGAGGATGGAGGGTGGGAAGAGAGAGAGGATCAGGAAAAATAACTATTGATACTACAGGGCTTGGTACCTGGGTGAAGAAATAATTTGTACAATAAACCCCTGCGACATGAGTTTACCTGTGTAACAAAGCTGCATATATACCCTTGAACCAAAAATAAAAGTTGAAAAAAAAAAAGAGTGTCGCTTTGGAGTCAAACAAGCCTAGGTTCAAATCTCAAATGTATGCCCCTAAGGAAGCTACTCAATCCCTTTAATATATGTTTTCCTCATCTGGAAAATGAGATAATAATGGTGCTCCCTTCATAGGGTGGTTGTGAGATTCAAGTGCTCAGTGTGGGTCCTGACAAATAGAAAGTGGGTAACAGCTGGTAGCTACCGCCATTGTGGAAGATTCTTACACAATCTCTGAAGAGATTCCTTAACTTGGGACCTTGTATCGATGTCAAAAAGATCTTTTGGGAATGTTTGAGCTCACAGTCTATACTGAGGATAACAGATAACTCACAAGGTACAGTGTAGACAGTGACCTAAAAAAGAAACACCACGCAATGTGGCCTCTGGTTCCTCTCACTAAACAGCAGCCTTAACCGAGAGAGGTTGGGTGAAAAGTCCCACTGCTGGTCCCGGCAAGTTGGTGTTTGATGAGCTAACGTTGCTTCTGTGCCAAGTGGGCCATTGACGTCTTGGTTTGGAGCCCCTGGGATTGACTCTTAGTCATCGTTCCAGCTCCTGGCCAGGGCACAGTCTGGGGTAGGTTGGGCTTTCCTTATTGACAGGCGAGGAAGGGCTGCAGAGGAGCTGCTTTGTCCAGACTGTGTTGGCTCCACAGCCTCCCAGACATTTTCTGCTCTGTCGGCAGAGAGCTATCTCCCTGGACAGACAGAGGCCATGAGAAAGGCTTCAAAGCCCATCTGAGAGTGGGGGTTGGGGAGTGAGTATGCCCTAGAAAGAATCCTCCCTTAGAGCTGCAAAAAGACGCTCCTGAGCCATTCCCAGCAGCAGTCCCTGGCACAGTCCAAGGCAGCTCATTGCTGCACATCATTGCTTAGTTAGTTCATGTCCAATATCAGAAGCAGCAGCATCTCATCTGTTCCTCTGCAGCCCTCTGAGAGAGATGAGGCATCTCAATTTTACAGGTGAGGCTGCTAAGGCCAAGGGATGTCCTTTGCTCAGAGACAGCCAGTTGGGAAGTCTCAGGCCATTTCTCTTTCCTCTGGGCCCTGTATCACTTAGCTCCTACTGGCCACTACAAACACAGCCCATTTTTCACTGCCCTCAAGCCACAACCCAGTACCAGGGGCTCCCTACCACCTGGTTCCTCAAGTCTGCCTCTGGGCCATTGCAGCCCCTGCGCTCCCTGTGCTTGGACAGTGCCTCCATATAGTTAGGTCTCAGTGAAGACATCATCACCTCCAAGAGGCCTTTCCCTAGTCACCCTAAAGTAGCATTCATCAATCACTCTGTATCTCATCATTGAATGCCTCCAAACCCTTATCCTACTCATCTTTATTCTTCTTTTTTTTTTTTTTTTTTTTTTTTTTGAGACAGAGTCTCACTCTATCATCCAGGCTGGAGGGCAGTGGTGCAATCTTGACCTCCCGGGCTCAAGAAATCCTCTCACCTCAGCCTCCAGAGCATCTGGGACTACAGGCAATTACCACCATGCTGGGCTAATTTTTTTGTATTGTTTGGTAGAGACAGGGGTTCACCGTGTTGCCCAGCCTGGTCTCAAACTCCTGGGCTCAAGCAATCTGCCTGCCTCGGCCTCCCAACGTGCTGGGATTACAGGCCTGAGGCACTGCGCCCACCTATCCATTTATTTTTATCTCTCTCAGTGAGGTTAGAATCTCAGGAGTCTTGCTCACTGTCGCCTTGCAGCACTTGGCAAACAGCACCATCCTCAGACGAGGGGCAGCCAAGCCCCTGCCCTGGGCCCTGAACCAATGCCCAGAGGGTCTGCTCTGGGCCTTTGCAGCTGTGCCCTCCCCATAGGATAAGGGGTCTACAGGACCAAAGGAAGTACCCACCCAGAGCCCATTATCTCCTCTTCTAGATGGCATTATGGGTACCCAGGAATCAGTAAGTCCCTGACCAAATGGCCCTAAACCCACTTCCAGGGAGGAATTGTGGGCCTCTTATCTTCCCTAGGGTAGAATACACACCATTGTGAGACCCCAAGACCCAATGGGTGGCCACGGAGCAGTACATGCAGGTGAGGTCCCTCAGAATGCTGGGCAGACAGGGAGAGTTGGGGGAGAGAAGAAAAGGGAGGGCCGTTCCCATATGGGGGCCAAGGGAGGGTATGGGGGAGGTCTCCACACACCATTGAGTTCCAATGCAGAACTCCAGGGAGCTCTAGGATTATGCATTTGAACCCGGCCCTCCAGGTCTTTATGACAGTATATGATGGAACAGTTCATTAGTTTGATTTATAACTTAAAATTTAGACATATAGTATGTGGGCCTCCAATTGCTCTCCAAATGTTAGGGGCAGGCCTGTTAACATATAGTAGATAACCACTAAATATTGACTAAATAAAGGTATAAGTGAATGAAGAAATGAACAAATGAATGAAGTTTAAGCCCATTCACCAGAGCTTCCACAGTGGCAGCTTGGGGGAAGTTTCCACACAGAGTAAAGTGGAGCCTCTCACTCAGTCTGGATAGACACAACCAAGTGAGGAGCTTGCACCCTGGTGGGCCAAATCACACTGCTCCAGGGATTGCTGTAAGACAGTCAGCCTCAGTAATGCGATCAAATTAGAGCCACAGCCAAAATAACCAGCCATTTCCTAAAGTAGCGTAGAATGTGGCTTTGAGCTTTTCCATGGATTTAATTTCCCCCACTATACCTTCAAGCATTGACTACATGTGTGTTTAAAGTAAGGCATTAAGAAACATATGGCCAATAGCAGGCTCTATCCTATTTTTCTAAGAACTATGA
The DNA here is from genome assembly GCF_000001405.40 of Homo sapiens. Taxonomy (NCBI): domain Eukaryota; kingdom Metazoa; phylum Chordata; class Mammalia; order Primates; family Hominidae; genus Homo; species Homo sapiens. Next base: position 160,198,938 of record NC_000003.12, read on the forward strand.
AGCTAGTGGATGGGCCCCAGCAAGATAATATAACAAAAGAAAAGAAAAAGAGTTAATTCTATAAAATGCAGTAACTGCTAAGTCAACTCCTTTTAAAACATTTTAGAGATTTTAAGGTCAAGAATTAATGGTCCACTTACTTCAAAGGAATCAATTTATTTCTTCAGCATTCATTTTCAAAATCAATCATTTTGCATCACCTAGAGAACTTAAGAAATTGAACTTTGAGAGCACATTACCGTAAAACACTCATCGGTCTATGTATGACTTCCAGCTACCACGAGTCTTTTTCACATAAATCCCAAAGATAGTTGATTTCTTGCTGCTTTGCTCTAGATGTAATAGCTGGTAATAATGTGGTCCTGCAGAGGTGTTCTAAATAATGGATAGCAAAGCAAAGCCCTTGCAGGGATCAATTCAGACCAACAACCATCTAGAGTGAACCCATGTAGGCCAGGCATGTGCTAGGTGCTGACAGGGCCTTTTGGTGTAATTGAGCAGTGCAGGCAGGAAGCCAATTCAGGAAAAGCATAGAATTATTTGCTTTTCCCTCTGCTAGCTGAGTTATTCCTGCAAGATGGGTGTGTTCAGGGTTCCGAATTATTTAAAGGTTTATGCTGAAAATTTGGAGGGCAATAACTATGCACCAGTGTATCTTTAGTCAAAGTTGTTATGTTTCTGCTTTGTAGAAACATCCCATCAAGGCTGGGCACAGTGGCTCATATCTGTAATTCCAGCACTTTAGGAGGCCGAGGCGGGAGGATGGCTTGAGTCCAGGAATTCAAGACCAGCCTGGGCAACACAGCAAAATTTTGTCTCTATTAAAATTAAAAAATTAGCCAGGCATGGTGGTGCATGCCTATCATCCTCGCCAATCCAGAGGCTGAGGCACAAGGATGGCTTGAGCCCAGGAGTTTGAGGTTGCTGTGAACTATTATTGTGCCACTGCACTCCAGCCTAGGCAACAGAGCAAGACTCTGTCTAAAAAAACACAAAACACACACACTGTATTAGGCCATTTTCATACTGCTATAAAGAACTACCCAAGACTGGGTAATTTATAAAGGAAAGGTTTAATTGACTCACAGTTCCATATGGCTGGGGAGGCCTCAGGAAACTTACAATTGTGGGAGAAGGCAAAGGGGAAGAAGGCACCTTCACAAGGTGGCAGGAAGGAGAAGAACTGAGCAAAGGGGAAGAACCCCTTATAAAACTATCATATCTCATGAGAATTCACTCACTATCATGAGAACGACATGGGGGAAATCGCCCCATGATTCAATCACCTCCACCTGCTCTCTCCCTTGACACATGGGGATTATAGGGATTATTGGGTCTACAATTCAAGATGAGATTTGGGTAGGAACACAAAGCCTAACCATATCACAGACACACACACACAACCTCCAGCTGAGTTAACCTAAAGGCTGATGTTATTATCCTGGTGCTGCAACAAATAGTCTCGGTGACCTTGGACAAGTCACTCCACCTAACCTCCCCAAGCTTTAGTTTGGATGGGTAATCTGTAGACTGTCATCAGTGCTAACAGTCTGGAAAACCCCATGTTAATCAACACCACCAGGGACTCAGACAGACCAGCTGTTTGGCTTCAGAAGACAAAACCTCCAGCTGAATGAGGGCATTTAGCATTGGGCTTTTTGGCAGCTGCACACACAGTGAATAAATGTCAGGAGTAGATTAGTAAGGGAGCCTTGGGTAGAGAGAGCTTTGGTAATTCAAGCCCCTGAGCATCCTATTTACTGAGAAGTGGCTCTGAATTAAATAAACATGTAAATTACACACTCATCCCAAATTGGATTTCAAGCTGAGCATCATTACTGGAGTGTAGGAGAGACAGCTACAGTCCAAGGCTACCTGCTCTCCTCAACCTTCAGTACTAACTGGATCAAGGTTTAATTCTTCCAAACAGCCACATATTTCACATTGCATTTGACTGGATATAATAGGAAACTTGAGCAGGGGCTATTATTATTTGCAGGGGTGGGGTGGAGGATCTGGCTATGCCACCCCAAACTCTTCATTGACTACAAATTTAACCTTGAGCAAATCTTGTTCTATGATCATGAAAGTCCTGCCCAGCCTCTAACATTTTATAGTCTATCACTTGTTCCTAATGAGAATCATTAAAATTAACACTCAGGGCAGCCTGCAGAATAACGGCTTCAGATCTTGACTGCACTTTGGAATCACCTGAGGATCTTAAAACTTTACTGATGTTGCTCAGGCACAGTGGCTCACGCCTGTAATCCCAGCACTTTGGGAGGGTGAGGCAGGATTGTGTGAGACCAGGAGTTCAAGACCAGCCTAGGCAATATAGCAAGTCCTCCATCTCTACAGAGAACTTTAAAATTAGCCAGGCATGGTGGCATGCACTTGTAGTTCCAGGTACCTGTAAGGCTGAGGCAGGAGGACCACTTGAGCCAGGAGGCTCACATTACAGTGAGCTATGATTACACCACTGCCCTCCATTCTGAGCAACAGAGTAACACTCTGCCTCTAAAAAAATAAAATTACTGACATTATGTTCCACCTGCAGATTCTAATTTCATTGGTCTGAGGGCTCCTGGGCTTTAATTTTAAAAGCCCACAGGGATACAAATGGACATTCAGGCTGAAAACTCCTGCTTCAGGGAGAAAGCTCCATGGGGTGTGTGGCACACACTGTGAGCTACTCAAAAGCCATCCAGTGCTCAATTTTCCCTTGTCTTCATCACATAAAAAGACTAGAAAACTAAAATACCTCCCTAGATTCCCTTACAGTAAGAGGCTTATGTGCCCCAGTTCTGACCAGTGAGATATAAGTGGAATTCACTGGGTAGAGATCCCAGGAAAGCTTTTTAGAGGAGACTGACTTGGCTGGTGGGCACTTTAGCCCTTGCCCTGTGCCCCCTTTTTTTCTTCCTGTCTGTAATATAGAAGCCATGCCTGGATCTTCAGCTGCTGTATTACAAGTGCCAAGCACTTGTCTAAAGATGGTAGAGCAGGAAGAGAGAAGGGACCTGGATCTTTGGGGTCACCGTGACCTGCAATATCTGCCCTATTGCCTATCTTGGAATTCTTTGATGCATGAGATAAATAACCTCCCTACTTATTTCAGTCACTGCCAGTGCCCCTTCCTCTTGCATGCAGCCCAGCACTATCTTTAAATGATACAGAACATGAAAGGTGTTAAGAGGAAATGCTTCGCCTTCTCAAGGTCACCTCAATCTTACAGCATGAACACAGAGTGAGAAACAATTTTCTTAATTTGTAAATGACCATTATAACTAAGCATATTGGCCGGGCATGATGGCTCACGCCTGTAATCCCAGCACTTTGGGAGGCCAAGGTGGGCAGATCACCTGAGATCAGGAGTTCGAGACCAGCCTGAAAAATATGGTGAAACCCCGTCTCTACTAAAAATACAAAAATTAGCCGGGTATGGTGGCATGTGCCTGTAGTCCCAGCTACTCAGGAGGCTGAAACAGGAGAATCGCTTGAACCTGGGAAGTGGAGGTTGCAGTGAACCGAGATCACACCACTGCACTCCAGCCTGGGCGACACAGTGAGGCTCTGTCTCAAAAAACAAACAAACAAAAAAGACTAAAGCATACTGACACTTAAACCAGAAGAGTTATGTTTTTGAGTCTACAGGAGGCTCCCCAAAAGGCCTGTGCATTGACAGAAACATCTGGAGCCTAGCTACTAGGTTAAGGTTATGGCTCTTGGAAAATTGTACTAATACTCAACTGCCATCTTGACCCCAGCCCTGCTGCTACTGCTCCTGGGCTGGGTAAAAGGCCTAGTGTGCTCAAGAGTACAAGGATAGGAAGCTGAAAGCAGAGTTGTGCAGAACAAGGGCTCAATAAATCTCAGGGGCTTTCTATTTTATTTTTATTTTTGAGACAGGGTTTTGCTCTGTTGCCCATGCTGGAGTGCAGTGGCACAATCACAGCTCACTGCAGCCTCGACCTCCTAAGTTCAAGCCATTCAGGGGCTTTCTAAAGATGTTATATTGGAGGCCATGATCCTAGCCATCACTTTCAGCTAGTCCCAGGAGTCTGTGTTACTGGGATGGAGGTGAGATTGGGGGTGGGGGCAGTTAGCTTCTCTTGCTGCCTTGACTTCCTTCCTTCTTCTCTCCTTCTTCTTTCCTTCTTCCTTTCTTCCTCTCTTTTCTAGGCTCACACTTCTGTATTCACAGGGAAGAGACAAAATGCTAGCCATCCTTACATTCCCTGCACTTGGCAGAGTATCTGTCAGAGAGTAAGTGCTCACTAAATGCTTGTTAGAATAAACACTCATCCTCACACTCTGCTCACACTTACCTACAAGTACCCACCACCACTCCCCCTTCCTGTGCAGGGAGAAGTCTAACCTGTTCTCATAATAGAGTTATGTTTTCTTCCCTTGTTACTTTCTCTGGATCACCCTACTGCCATTCCTGCCCATATCCTGATGCTGGCATTTAACAAAAGAGAAATGGGAAAGCATCAGGAGAGACATATGGGAGGAGGGGGGTTATTCTGTGTTTTTAAGGACATGTCTATCTAGTCATGATAGTAATTGAATAAAGCGGGAGATGCTGGCTGGGCACGGGGGCTCACCCCTGTAATCCCAGCACTTTTGGGGACTGAGGCAGGCGGATCACGAGGTCAGGAGTTTGATACCAGCGTGGCCAACATACTGAAACCCCATCTCTACTAAAAATACAAAAATTAGCTGGGTGTGGTGGCACGCACCTGTAGTTCCAGCTACTTGGGAGGCTGAGGCAAGAGAATCACTTGAACCTAGAAGGTGGAGGTTGCAGTGAGCCGAGATGGTGCCATTGTACTCCAGCCTGGGGGACAGAGTGAGACTCTGTCTAAAAAAAAAAGGGAGGGGAGAGATGCTGAAGATTCAGAAGTGAGAGGAGAAACAAAGGGAAAAGGTCCTTGAGAAGGTGAAGTGGAGGGTTGGCCTTTGGTGGCAGGAGAGGCTCAAACAACAGAGAAGAGAGGCCCTACCTCAGTAGACTTGTACATCTAGATTCTGTTTTCCTAAAAAGGTGGAAAGTGAGATCATCAGCTGAGAATAACAGCAGAGGTTAGGATGTGGAAGGCTGAGAAAGAGAAGGTGGTATTGACCCATCATGACTTGCTTCCTCTTCTCCTCCCTAGGCTAGCCTTGACCAGGGCCTGCCTGCAGGCTTGTGATGAATGATATAATGGCCTCCTTGGCCTAGGTTATAAGATCCAATCAGTCTGTCAGACTATCTTAATTGTATGCCAACTCATGCAGAGAATGGTGTGGAGTCATCTTCTCACACTCAATCAAAGTAAGTTCCTGCAATTTCTCCGCTAATGATATGGTTCGGCTCTGTGTCCCACCCAAGTCTCGTGTCAAATTGTAATCCTCAATGTTGGAGGAGGGTCCTGCTAGGAGGTGACTGAATCATGGTGGCTGTATTAGTCCATTTTCACACTGCTGATAAAGACATACCCAAGACTGGGTAAATTATAAAGAAAAAGTGGTCTAATGGATTCACAATTCCATGTGGCTGGGGAGGCCTTACAACCATGGTGGAAGGTGAAAGAAACATCTTCCATGGCAGCAGGCCAGAGAGAGAATGAGAGCCAAGCGAAAGGAATTTCCCCTTATAAGATCATCAGATCTTGTGAGAGTTATTCACTACCACAAGAGCAGCATAGGGGAAACCGCCCCCATGATTCAATTATCTCCCACCAGGTCCCTCCTACAACACATGGGAATTATGAGAGCTACAATTCAAGATGAGATTTGGGTGGGGACACAGCCAAAACATATCCGGGGAGTACTTCCCCCTTGCTGTTCTCATGATAATGAGTGAGTTCTCACGAGATCCGCTTGCTTAAAAGTGTGCAGCACTTCCCCCCTTAGCTCTCTTCCTCTTGCTCCTTCCACATAAGATGTGCCTACTTCCTCTTTGCCTTCTGCCATGATTATAAGTTTCCTGAGGCCTCCCCAGCCATGCTTCCTGTATAGCCTGTGAAACTGAGTCAATTAAATCTTTTTTCTTTATAAATTACCCAGTCTCAGGTAGTCCTTTTTTTCTTTCTTTTTTTTAAAAATTTTTTAATTTTTTGAGATGAAGTCTTACTCTGTTGCTTAGGCCGGAGTGTAGTAGCATGATCTTGGCTCACTGCAACCTCTGCCGAGCCCCCAGTTCAAGCAATTCTCATGTCTCAGCCTCCCAAGTAGCTGAGATTACAGGTGCCCACCACCACATCCAGCTAATTTTTTTTTTTTTTTTTTTGTATTTTTAGTAGAGATGGGATTTCACCATGTTGGCCAGACTGGTCTCAAACTCCTGACCTCGAGGGATCAGCCCGCCTTGCAGGTAGTCCTTTATATCAATGTGAGAATGAACTAATACACCTAAACTTCAGCATCACCCATTTCCACCCTTTTCCTGGTGATGGCAAGAGAAGGAGAAGCAGAGTCTAATTTGGGCTACAGCAGGTAAAATTTGAGAAATTTAATGAAGTCAAAATGAGACCACCCAGATCCTGAAATATAAAGATTAAGAAAAGCAAAGATTTAGTAACCGGTTCTGAAGTCTCTGGACATCCTTTGGCACTTCAAAGCTTCCAGTGATTCTACAAGACTTATAGCAGAAACACCAATCTTAACATTTCAAGATTATTGCAACTTTTTCTTAATCTACCTCAATCCATTCTATATCATGCCATTAATAGACATGTCCTAAAATATGAGAATGAGAGCATAGGGGGTTGAGAAGAAACTACAAGGGGATGGAAAGTGAAACGTTTCCCTAGTTTAGACCTCGTGAAATTCTTGAGGAATACCTCCTGGCACACTGCCTGGAATCCTGTCCCAAGCAGGGAAGCCAAGCCCTCTCCAAACAGGGCGTGAGTAGGAATTTTGCATCATCCTCCTAGAACCACGAGTAGGAGGGTCTTGTGGGACCATTCTGGTCCTGGGGAACTAGAGTTGTTGGCTTCAATTGTAACCCAGAAAGTAGGCAACAAGGCCTACAGCTTTGTGTGCAGAGTTGAGGACAAACACTGACCAATATCATTCAAGAGAACTCCTTCCTCGCTAATTCAGTGCTGTGCCATCATTCTCATCATCTTTTCCCTTTTGTTCATGCTTCTCCCAGTGGAGTCTTTGTCCTCCAACTCCTCACAGTTAGAGTCTCTACGTTTCTTTCCTTTTCCTCAAAGTAATCCCAGGAAAAGGTAGATAACTCCTTAATTCTCAATGCAAATTTCAAATATTTGACCATCCATCTTCTGTCAAAGTGACCGACACTCAGAGCACTAGAAATTTGGAGTTTTCCTGGAAATAGAATCTTATGAGAATGTCTTTGCAAAGCAATGACTTTAACATTATGGAGTTTTACCCACGTGAGAAGACTGCTATTTGTTAAGGAATTGAGATTAATGAGTTGTCACATTCTTATGATGGAAAAGGAGACAGATGATTTTGCAATTCATATTCAGCCTTCTTCTATTAAAATATAAAATCATGTGTCAAAGCATCTGGATGGTCTAAAAACAGTGGTTGCGTGGAGTATGGAGCTCAGTCACTTTTGAGAAAAAAATGCACGTTTATTTTTAAAGGAAAAATGAAAAAGAGGGATATTGGAATGTAGGGATGGTTATGTTGAGAAAGTTTGCCCAGATTGACTTGACATCTTGGAAAATATTTTAGTTCATTTGAAAGGAGGAATCCAGTGCTTCCAGCCAGGACAATGAAAGAGAGTTCTAAGAAATTTAAATGCATAAAAAGAAAAAAAAAAGTAAGAGGGGGCAAAAGTAGAGAGAAAACAACAAAGGATGGTAATATTCCAAACCCTAGAGTTGCAATTGTCTTTACCATTGGCTATCTTACCACACCTCCCTAGTATACATTCATACATTCATCTTCACTCACCTTTGGCTCTCCAGTGATTTCCAATGGATTGCGGTTAGAGTCTTGACAGATGTGTCCAGTGGTCTTCAATCAGGATCACGATGAGAGACAAGCCAAGAATCCCATTTGCTCTTGCTCTGTTTGGAATATCTCCACATTAGCCCAACTTTCCATTACTGCTACTGACTTTAGACTTCTGGATGACAAACGTAAGAAAGAAAGTGATTCTGTTATCAAGCAAGGAGGATCCTAAAGAGCTCCTTGTTATCATCACCAAGATCTGAAATTATGTGCTGTTCCATTTGTGAGCTCATTAATCTCTGTTTTCCAGTGGGAGCTTTGCAATTGCAAAGAGCTGCTCAGCGGTGACCTCCAACAGCTGTCCAACTGCAGCATCCCTGGGCCACAGGCACACTGGCCTGATTGGAATGGGAATGCATATTTGGGGCATGGGGAGGCAACAGGAGGTTTGAGCTAATCAAAGCACAAAGCTTGTTTAGAATTTATTGATGTGTTGTTAACTGTGTTGCAGCTTTTCCTAGAATGATGGCTGTTTATTTATTGACTTTTCAAAAAAGCTTTCGATATTGTGGTTTGTTTATCACAGAGGTTTGAGTTGTTGAAAGTTGACCTTAAAATTGATGTAATTAACTGGTTTTAGTTTGCTGTGTTTAATTGATGTTGAAGTGTAGACAGGAAAGTATGTGGGGGTGGTGGTAATTTTCTAGTTAGTTGGACATTGTTTTTGGCTTTTAGAGCCTTCCGGTTACTCAACAATAACTTTCCAAATGTTAGCTCTGCTCTGATTATTAGTTTTATGATGATGACTTTCCCATTATGCCTAATCAACAGCTGTGCGGAAACTCATTTTAATCATATTTTTCCTGCCTAGAAATTAGCGGATGAAGGATAATTACTACCCAATAGCTTGAGTTATGATTGGCTGCTTCCTAACCCTGTTGAAAATAAAAAATGCAAACTTAAAGAAAATGTAAAACTGTTATTTCTACTTTGTAAAAAAAAGTGTGAACTCTTTGCCTTTTTTCCTACCTGAAGACCGGGAATGAATTGCCCACTTCCCTACCTTAAGACCAGCATTACAAATCAGAGTTGCTTCATTAACTAGATTAATTAGATTAAACTAGATTAAAGATGCTTTTTACAGCATGAGACTTATGCACCCACAGGGTCATGAAGGATGATGGCAACATTTATTTCCAGAATGTAAGTAATGAACTTTTCCTTTCCATAATGTTTCACAGAAGCATGAGAACTTTCAATTAGGTCAGGGCTGGAATGGCTCATAAAGACCATCTATTCCAGGGCTGTGGACTGGGGGTATATATGCACATGTACATATTCGGGGAGAGTAGTCCCAGCTTCCAGACATTCTGAAGGGGACCATGGCTCCAAAGAAGTTAAAACCCACAGGCCAAACCCAGGTCTTTCATGTTACAAAAATGAAAATCAAAAGGGTCTCATAGAGTCAGTGGTGGCAGAATTGAGATTTAGAAGCAAGGTCATCACACTTCTCACCACCTTCTTGCCTCTCAGAAGAGCTGCCACGTCCCCTAATCCTGTATCACTGTTAGCACCGGCTCCTGAAGCCTCATCGCCCCTCATGTCACCACCCTCCGATACCGCTGTGGCAATGAATATGGGTCAGGGTGTGATATGCAACCAGTGAAGAAATGGGCCCTTCTGACTTCAGTGATTGGAAGGTGATGGATGGTTGGTTGTTTCCCCTGTATCACTGCTATTGAGTAAAGTGAGGAATCTATGAGCCATGACTTATAAAAGTTCCAGTGTACAACACCATTAATGACCAACAAGGCAATTAAGCACTAACTGGCCTTTAGATCAAAATGCCCTTATGACTCCAAAGAATATTAAACTAATAATAAATAATAGTTTGGATAACTGTTGAAAATACAATCTATATAACTTTATATAGTTTCTTTAGGTTTCAGATATTATTGATATTTGATGGTAAAATAATCTTACAACATTGGAATAAACATGGAAGAACAGTGGAAACCTTTACAGTTTAGGATGTCTCAAAGGCCCGAAGATCTAAAAAAATAATTATATATATATATATATTTATATATATCTGCAGAGCTGATGTACTCTGAGGCAGAGTTTTCCAAACTTCATAGATTAAAACACCCGGAGGGCTTACTAAAACACAAATTGCTAGGCTCTACCCTGGAGTTTCTCATTCAGTAGATCTGGGGTGGGCCTGAGAATCTGCAATTCCAACAAGTTGCCAAATGAGCCTGATGTGGCTGGTCCAGGGATCACACTTCAAGAACCACTTGGTTAAAGCTAATGTTTACTGATTGTTACCAGCTTTATAGTACCATCTTCACTCTTACATATTCCACTAACATTTAAGTGAAACACCTCTAAAAGGTCCCCTGTCATTTAGAAATCCTCTGTTGCGCTTCACATTTCATCACACACATCTGGCCCCTGTTCTGCCCCCTCCAACGTGGCATTGTCTTCCTCAGAGGGAAGGCAGGGATGCAGCAGGATGAAGCTCCTCTCTGGGTTGCCCACAAACCCTACCACAGTGTCTTCAAACTTTGTTGCCTTTATTTGAAATTGAACTAAATTCAAAATAAGGAGGATGAACTAAATGACTTTAAAATTCTATTTTGGCCCTAAGGTTTTGTTATTCAAAGGCTACAATTTTGACCTGGACTTTTTTCTCATCTCCATGGTAGACACCAGCTAGATGTTCATGAAACCCATTTCTCCAGCCTTCCTGGGTACACAGCTGGATTGCATTTCCCAGCCTTTCTTGCAGAAAGAGATGTAACCATGTGACTGATTTCTAGTCAATACAATGAATGAGCATTTACTTCCAGGACTGGCCCCCCAAAACGACCCATGCAGGATCATCCATGTTCTTTCCCTGCCACTGGCTTTAGGCAGATTCATAGATAAATTGATGATGCAGGAGATGAAAGGTGCTTGGGTTTCCAAATCACTTGGAGGAGAACTGCCCCAATCTGGACCTTTTTTGAACTTTGCAAGAGTGAGAACTAAACTTCTGTTGTACAAATCCACTGAGATTTTGGAGAGTCTATCTGTTCTAGGAATTAGAATTACCTTAACTAAATAATTCTACAGCCACAGCTCTGAGCCCTCATGTGCCTAGCCTGGGGAAATGCCATCTGTGATGGTCTTTGTTCCTCTCTCCCTCTCTCTCCTCATCCTTAAGCACCCATCTAATCATATCATAATGTCAACTTCTTTCATTTTCATATTAAGTCATCAAGGCCTTTAAGACTGTCACCAATCCAAATATCTTACCCCGTATTTCATAAAACCCACATCTTATGACTATGGAGAGATGCCATCCATCTAAGTTAATCACCTCTTCATACAGAGCTGTTTATTAGGCACCTCCACTACTCCTATGCAGTGCCTAGACTTCTTCAGGAGAAGGGTTTCAGAAGGGTCAGTGCCCACAAAGTCCACAAACCTGCTGCAGGAATTGCATTTGTCTCTCCTGGCATTAAGGGGTTTAGATTCCTCGGGGCCTTTGTTCTGGCTGAGGACAGGGATAGGGAGTTTACCTCCTGCTTGTGCAAAGGGTCTAGGGGACTTGGGAGAGTCTAATTGGTCTTGACTCTGCAGGTCCTAGCTAAAATCCTTTGTAAAAAAGAGGAACTAATTGTCTTGCAAGTGTCCCATGTCCAAGTGCTGTGCTGGTCATTTTGTGTCTTTTTTTAAAATGTAATGTAATGTAACCTTTAAAACTGGGGGAAATGAGGCACAAAGGAAGTGAGTCTTTGACCCAATATCACCCAACAGTAATTGATACTTTTCTTTGTGATTCCAAAGCCTGTGTTCTTTCTATTAATAGCATACCATGTATCCTTGCTAAAAATCAGCCCCCCTTGCTAAAATCAGAAACCACTCTCAGAAACCACTCCAAACTCCATGACTTCTTTTTTAACAGAAGATCCACTGTTTGGTTTAGACAGAATGTGCCCACCTACTAAACTACATATCCCAGATGCCTTGCAACTAGGGAAGGGTACATGACTCATCCTAGCCAGTATGGTACAGATAGAATTGTTTAGGTAGAGCTTCTAGGAAAGCTCCTTAAGGCAATGGTGGACACAGTGAGAATACACTTTTTTAAAAAAATTGGCATGTACCTTTTTATATTTTGCCTTTCCTTCTTCCTCCTGCCTAGAGCTCAAATGTGATGTCTGGAAAGGGAGTTGATATATTGTAACCATGAGGCAACAAGATGACATCACCGAACCACATACCAGCTCCCTGCTGCCTCCCTCTGGACTTCTTTTACATGAGAAAAAAATAAAAGTTCTTATTTGTTTAAGCCACCATTTCTTCAGGTTTTCTGTTACTTGCAGCCAAACACAATGTTAAGTGTTCTTCCTTTGAACCAGTCCAGTACAGAAGCAGACATTTCCCAGTGGCCAAAGTGTATACGAGATCTTCTGATTCCTCCTGCATCCCAAACCACATTCTCTAGAGTCCCTGAAAAGATGGTGACTGTGGGTATGAAGGCTGAGAGTCTGTGACCGAATGGGCACCACTTGAAAGGGTCACTTTGCCTGCTGTTTGTACCCCTAAATGGAACTCCAGCACTCTCCTCCTGGAGCTGAATCCCAGAACTTCATACCCAGCAGGCAACTGACTATGTATGCAATATGTACACATACTTTTGTACACATACTTAAACCTCCATATAGTGCCATATGTTATTTCTCTTTCAGGTAATGGTCTTTCAGCTTCTCTCCAGCTTATTTCAAATAACTAATCAAAATACTCCAGCTACATGTGAAGTTTTCCAAACAAGCCTGACCTAGTTCTAATCATCCCAGTCACCCTTGCATGCATTGCACTTTGCATGGCTTCTTGAGCAGTGTCCATCCCATAGGAAACAAAGCTGAACAGCATGAGAAGGTCATTCATGAGATGCATTTGTGATGCCCCCAGGGGTTCTCAGAAATAACTGGGAAAAGAATTTGCTCTGGATTACTATGGCTGTGTAGTAAATCACCCCAAAACTTAGAGGCTTTTAAAACAACAAAAATCATTTATTATTTCCCACAGTTCCTATGAGTCAGGGGTTCAAACAGGCATAACAAGGCTTGCTTGGCTCTACTCAATATCTCAGACATTGGCTGAAAGAATCAAAGGCAGGGGGCAGGAATCCTCTAAAAGGTCATTCATTCACAATCAGGTGATTGGTGCTGCTGACTCGGCGGGGCCCAGCTGGAGCTGTCAACTGGAACATCCACATGAAGTCTCACCATGTGGCCCGAGCTTCCTCACAACATGGTTCCAAGGGCAGTTGTCCTGAGAGAGAGCCAGGTGGAAGCCATATTGCCTTTTATGACCTAGCCTTGGAAGTCAACTGGAGTCACTTCTGCTACATTCTCCCTGGCTCAATGACAGGGAGCATAAACCCTAGCTCTTTTGAGGCATGTTAAGGATACATTGTAAGAACATGTGAGATGAGATGTATATGAGATGCCCCTAACTTATACCAGGGGAAGAGAGCAGAGGCAAGAGGCAGGGAAATATGGTTATTGCCAGAGAGCCAGCAAAAATCAAATTACCTACTCAATTTTGTATTTATATGTGTGTTCAGATGCTTGCACCTGTTCTATTCTTTAGACCATAAGATCTGTTATGCATACCTTATATTACAACGACCCACAGTCCTCAGTGTCTTTTCCTGTCCTGACTCCTTCCTCAGGCTTCAGCTGACATTTCCCACGGTCCCCTTCTCCCCTTCCTGCTCTGCTCCTTGCCCTCAGTGTTCCTCAGCTCATAAAATGCAAGATATTTTTGTAACACCTAAATGCTTATGTTACTCCCAATTGATGGTAGTTAATATCAAATGCTGATGGAGCATTATCTGAATATGTCATTTTCTGAGGTTCTTTTATGTATCTAATATTAAAGTGTAAACTTCAAATTATATCTAAAAGTACATATTGACTTACTGTAACTACAAACCCAAGATGCAGTAAACATGTTCAGAAGCGCTTGCCAAAATGGTACTTCTAGGAGCCTATTAAGGTGCTTTAATATTTTATTTTGGATTATGCAGATAAAGTTTATAAACAAGATTGTTAAAAAATAATGGGGATGAGAAAGCCTTTCTATTTCCTTCTTTATATCTGGGTAGAGGAAATAAAATACATTGCATCTAAGTCTCCACACTATAGGGTGAGGACTGGGGCCATTCCAAACCTGTTCTGCCTGGATTAGTACAGAAGAGGTGGCCCCTACCCACCACAGAACTTCTCAACCATAACCGATCTACCCGGTCACTTGGTAAGCATCATCTCATTAAATTTTACAATGATCCCGAATTATTATCCCAATCTCACAGAGCTAAAAAGTGACACCATTTGGATTTGCACCCTTATCTGTCCAATTCTGATATTCCTGCTCTTTGGCCCACCCCACACAACCTCTATCCTGATGTCATGGTAGAATTCATGCCAGGACCTTGTTAGGCAGGGTCAGCAGCATACTCATCAGGCAGGCAGCTGTCCCCCAGCTTAGCACTGTATGATTTCCTCACTGGGAATAAGGAGATCAGAGTTCATATCCTAGCTCTTCCTGTTTCTGCAACATTGAACAAGTCACCCTTCTTGAATCTAATTTTCTTTTAAATTCATTAAATAATGTATAGTATTAGTTATCAACTAACTTATTGATAATTTAACTTCAAAATGCTCTAATGGTTTGCCATCTTTCTATTTTTATAAATGTTAGACTATTGCCTCTGTTCATTATCGTCTTCTATTTCCACAAACATTTCCTTTTTGTATTTGCTATCATGTTCCAAAAAAAAAAACAAAACACAATTGTTAAGAGATGAGGTCTCACTGTTGCCCAGGTTGGAGTGCAGTGGTGCAATCTTAGTCTTAGTTCACTGTAGCCTCAAACTCCTGGGTTCAAATGCTCAAATGATCTTCCTGCTTCAGTTTCCCAAGTAGCTGGGACTACAGGCATGCACCACCATGTCTAGATAAGTTTTTGTTTTTATTTTCTTAATTTTTATAGAGACAGGGTCTCACTATGTTTCCCAGACTGATCTTGAACTCCTGGGGTCAAGCAATCCTCCTGCCTCAGCCTCCCAAAGTGCTGGGATTACAGGCATGAGCTACCACAACCAGCCATGTTCCAAAAATGTTATCAGATTTTATTTTTTTCTCAATGTTGCAACAGATAAATAGAATTAATTCTGCCATTTGTTTAGTAAATTTTTCTATAGTTCAAAATAATAATAGTTTTGTGTTTATTGAGCATTTGCTATGCACCAAGCACTTTGGATTATCTCATTTAATCCTACAAAAACTTCATAAATTAGATTATATTATCACTCCCATTTTATAGAAGAGGAAACTGAAGCTTGGAGTGATTAGGTGACCTGCCCAAAGTTACAGAGTTAATGGTAGAACTGGCTTTAAACCCAGGGTCTGTCTGACTCCATGGCTTGAAGTCCTAACCACCAGGCATAATTATCTCTACTAACACTTTCCTGATCCATCTTGTTATAACAAACAAGGTGACACATATGCAAACATTTGGTAAATTTTAGGTGTGAAACAAATGTTAGCTGTTTTGATTCTGATTAGGATAGGAAAACTGAGCTGGAAGAAGGTATCGACTCTCTGGGAATAAATGTCCACATAAATAGAGGAATCTAGAATTCTGGAGCCAGCCCCACTGTGCTCTCTGGAACCAAAGGCAGGCGGCCAGAATGCTTTATTATTAGATGGCTCCACTTAGCAGTATGCATTGTGTTCCACTTTAAGAAAAAGTAAATCTCTGTTAAAATGTCTTTCTGAACTGCTTTAATTATAGATTAGCCTTGTCAATCTTAATAAAATTATGCTTTGTGTTTGAGGATTATATATATATATATACATATATATATATGTATATGCAAAAGCGCTCAAAAGTAATTACTTTCATTTCACAAGCATGTCATTTAAAAAATTCTTCTATTCACAGCTTGAGCTCTTTAACTCTTTTCTCAGACTCATTTCTAATCTGACCCCACCTAAAGCTAAAGCGTGGCTCCATGATATTGACAGCTTAAATGTCACATTAGTAACATGGCCATTGATTTTATATTTCTGCCCAGACTAGTAGACTTAAAGCAAAAACAGTGAAGGTCCAGCACTAAAAATGTTTATTTATTTCCAAATAATCTTCATTTATTATTACAATAAGATTTTTTTTTCAATATTAAGGCATCTTCAAGATTTCTGATTCTAAGGAATGCTTTAATGGTGAACAGCTCTTTCAGATTTTTCTTACGGACTTACTGAAAAAGTGGCACTTGCCAATGTAGGCAAAACCTAGTCTATGGGAAATTAGCCTATACTGGAGAACCCTAGTTCCTTAAAATATTAACTGGAGTTTCAGTTAAGAAAAAAATATTGGAGAGGAAAAAATTGCGGGAATTTGAGGGGAGTGCCTTGGTCATAGAAAGTTGGAAAACTGCTACCTTATATTTCTTTCTTTAGAGAATCACAATAGTTATTCTGCAATATCCACAGGGAGATTGGTTCTAGGACCCACATAGATACCAAAATTTGCCAATGCTCAAGTCCTTTATATAAAATGGCATAGTGTTTGCATTTAACCTATGCACATCCTCCTGCATACTTGAAATCATCTCTAGATTACTTATAATACCTAATATAATGTAAATGCCACATAAATAGTCTTTTAACATTCATATTTTCTTATTTTTGTATCTGTTTTTAATTGGTTTGGGTTTGGGGTTTTTTTCCCAAATATTTTTTTATCAGCAGTCAGTTGAATCAGCAGATGCAGAACTCAGGAATATGTAGGGCCAACTGTTTACCTGAACAAATTAAAGGCTCCGAAAATTTCTTTTTTTTTTTGAGATGGAGTCTCTCTCTGTTGCCCAGGCTGGAGTGCAGTGGTGTGATCTCGGCTCACTGCAACCTCTGCCTCCCTGGTTCAAGCAATTCTCCTGCCTCAACCTCACGAGTAGCTGGGACTACAGGCACGTGCCTCCATGCCCAGCTAATTTTTGTATTTTTAGTAGAGACAGAGTTTCGCCATGTTGGCCAGGCTAGTCTTGAACTCCTGACCTCAAGTGATCCACCCTCCTTGGCTTCCCAAAGTGCTGGGATTAAAGGCATGAGCCACGGCTCCCAGCCCTGAAAAATCTTGAAGCAATGAAGCTCACTGGGTATTTCCCAAACTTGCCTGACCACAAAACCGCTTTCCCGAATAACAATAACAACTATATTATTTCAGAATATAATTTATTCTGAAATAAAAATGACTGAGGCATGCGACCAAACCACATGGACTTCCCAATACATACCATGATGAAAAAATATAGCTATCTAAGAAAGTTACTTTTTACATTGAGATTACAACCATGCATTGCTTAACAACAGGGAAAAGTTCTGAGAAATGTATCTTTAGGTGATTTCATCATCGTGCAAACATCATAGAGTGTACTTACACAAATCTAGGTAGTATCGCTTACAACACATCTAGTCTATATGCTATAGTTTATTGCTCCTAGGCTACAAACCTATTCAGTATGTTATTGTACTGAATACTGTAGACAATGCTATTTGTAGAGTACCTAAATTTGAAAATTTGTAGCTATCTAAATACAGAAAAGATACAGTAAAAATATTGTATTATAATCTTATGGGACCACCATCATATATGCAGTCCCTAGCTCTCTGAAAATCATTATGCAGGAAATGACTGTATATTCCAAAATGAATTTGGTGACACAGAATAACATATTGATGGAAAACTCATAACACACTCTAAAAACTCTACGAATTTAGTGTCATTTATTTCTACTACATCTTATTCCACAAAGAATTGTGCCATAACTTACAATATGAATATAAATGGCAAAATCTAAAGAGGGAATCAAACAGAAAATAAATTTTGAATTAGAAAACTAAGGCCATATGGCAGTACAAACATAAATGTAAAAAAAAAAAGGAGGGGCCAGCACAGATATTAAAAAAAACTTTAAATTTAGTTCTGAGCTCCCTGGCAATGAAAGCAAAAAGGGATTCAAGACCATTTACCAAATTACTGTGATGAAAAAGAAGAAAGCTTTAACATGTCTCTAAAGAAAACATGGCTTTTTTGGGCTGAATTTCTAAAAGAAATCATTCAAAAGGGAGAATTTCATAGGAGACATGATGCCTCCCACTATTTTTCACAAATGCAATAATAACTTCATGTGGTTAACTCTTAGAATATTGCCAGTGATAAAGCTGAGAGCCAAATATCAAATTTTACGAAGTTAATAAGTTTCATTTGTCTTTGGCTGACTCACAAAGACAAGTTACAAATCTAATTAAGTCATGATAACCCTAAGAAAATTAGCTTTTACTTCACCATTTTCAGAATCAAACTAGCAGGCAAGAAAAGATAATGCACTCTTTGTGATTAACTAACAATTATAGGTAACACTTACACAGAGCTCACTATATGCCAAAGTTCTAAGCACTTTGTATGTATTCATTCATTTAATCTTCACAATGGAAGGTAGGTATTATTATACCCTTTATTTCATAGACAAGAAAATGCAGATCCAGTGATTAATTGTCCAAGATCACACGGCTGGCACTAACACCATTTACTGTCACCAGCAGTTAGGGTCACCTTTCCACATCCATGGTTGGGAGAAATGGGACCAGTCTTAAGCTTTAGAGGGGATTAACACTACTCTGCTCAATCGGTAGGATCAGTGGAATCACATAATTCGTTATCTTTGCATCCTAGTGCTGGTGAAAATGGTTCAGGCAAACTGCATCAATCAAGGGTCCAACCAGGAAAACGACCCATTCTGAATTTTTAAACAGAGAGAAATTTCATACAAGAAACTGTTTATGCAGGAAGTGCTAAGAATCTCCCAGAAAATGGTGAGACAGCCTGGAGACTGGTAATAGTAGGAAGGAGGAGGTGGTCTTATGGGAGCCTGGGGAGGCAGGGGAATTGACTGACAGCAGCTGGAGCCACAGCAGGCCTCAATAGGAGCCGCGGAGGAGCTGCCAGTGTCCCCACCCTGGCTTCACCCTTTATCTTCCTTCAAATCTCCCACTGACTGAACTCTGCCAGAATTTCACCAACAGGGAAATGCACCCTCCAGGGATCAGCTCTCCTGTGATACAGGGCAGAGCTGTAAAAGGTTGAGAACGAAATCCAAAAGCAAAAACACGCAAGACTGGCTCACACACTAACACTACAAAAGTGGAAATTCTGGCCAGGAGCAATGGCTCACTCCTATAATCCCAGCAATTTGGGAGGCCAAAGTGGGCAGATTGCTTGAGCTCAGGAACAGACCAGCTGGGCAACATGGTGAAACCCTGTCTTTACCAAAAATAAAAAAGAAAAAATTAGCAGGATGTGGTGGCACATGCCTATAGTCCTAGCTACTCAGCAGGCTGAGGTGGGAGGGTCGCCTGAGCCCAGGAGGTAGAGGATGCAGTGAGCAGAGATCACACCATTGCATTCCAGCCTGAGCAACAGAGTGAGACGCTGTCAAAAAAAAAAAAAAAGGTAGACATTCTCTCTTCAAGTAGCTGGAGCATACGGACCTCAGAAGGCAAATCCCATAGTAAATACAGTCCATTTCTCTAAAGCCCAAGTCACTATAACAAGGGGAAAATCCTCTTTATGCTTGAAAGAATACATAAGTAAAATGATTCATCCAGCAAGCAGCAAAACCATGGAATTGTTACTCAAAAGAGGAGTATATATTGAAAACATAAATAGATTCATAAACTTAGGTAAATTAATTCTACAAAAATGTATTCAGCACCTATTATGTATAAGTTGGTAGAGGCTCCTGGATGATATGGCAATGGCATTCTGGAATCCTGTAAGCTCTTCACAGGTGTGCTGCATTCATTTTGTCCCTGCTGAGTCCCATACATGTAAGTGATGCCTGTTAGACAGAATGGTGAAGGTTGCACGTCTTGTGACTTGAGTTCAGTGAGATAAATCTTGCTGCGGGAGGTAAGAAGAACGTTCTAACAGCAAGTAGGGGCTAGGGAAACGTGCTTACAGAAACATTTGAGAGCATTGTTTTATGAATTTCTGATGGAACACAGGCAGACAGTGAGGCATTGCATCCAAACAACAACATAGCAGTGGGTGGAAGGCAACATAGGTCCAGGTGAACCCTTCAAGAGAGCCTCCCAAAGTCTAGTATTCAAAGAGACGGAAAGCCACCGTGCTGCAGAGACACATACACAAAGCCTACCACCATAAGCTTATTTCTAAAAGTCCTAAGGCCAAGATGTGTACATAACTACCTGAAATATGAGGTAGTAAATGAGATTTGCAGCCAGGCATGGTGGCTCATGCCTGTAATCTCAGCACTTTGGGAGGCCAAGGTGGGAGGATCACTTGAGCTCAGGAGTTTGAGACCCTCCTGGGCAATGTAGTGAGACCACGTCGCTATTAAAATAAAATTTTAAAAATGAGAATTGCCACAAACAGTAGATGGTAGATTTTGGAGAGGAGCTGTCATTGGAGCTGTATTTTGCATAGTTTTGACCAACAGAGATGGGAAAAGATAATTCCTGGTGGAGGGCACAGTGAAAGGGAAGGGAGAACATCTCTAAAGCAGGCATCTTAAACAGCCATATCAGGTAGTCATTTATTGAAGCAAAGGGTGCACAAAGGAAGAGAGTAGGAAAGAAAGGTGAAAGTAAAGACTAGGATTATACCCCAAAGGACCCTTTGAAATTCATAGTTGGATAAATCTACAATGAAAATTGTTAAGCAGAATTTAGATATTTAGGGTATATTCAAAAGTTTTAAGGCAGGTGTCTTGGAAGACGGTTATCCCATTTCATTTAATGTTAGAAGCAGGATGCTGGGTAGATGGACCACAGCCCTGCTGCCCAGGGACTAACGGCAAGCTCAGAGTCAATGCCATTAGCCTGTTGCCCTATAAGTATAAAGTCTGGCCTGGTGAGCAGGAACAGTCATCTCCCGCTCCATCCAGGTTTACAGAAAATATTCAGAAGGAGCTATTGACAAGCAATTTTTCCTTGTAATGAAAGGGAGACAAAGAGTACATTACTAGTTTCAGATTAAAATAATGGAGCATAAAATGCTTCACCTTAAAAAATTATTTCATCTTATGAAATAATTTCATGCTATGTGATTTTTCTGCCGATGCAAGTGTTTGGCTGGTACAACAGCGTACTAACAGGTATATTCTAACTTGAACAATCTGACCATTTTTAAAAAACATGAGTGAGAAAGAAATTCATTCAGCTGACATAACTGGAATTCTAATTTCAGATCTTCATGGCCTCACTAAATATTTCTCATAACATTTATGGTTTAGTTTTTACATCATCAGCAATAATGTGAAAGGTATCAATCTCTTCTACAAGGTTGCCACAAGAAATTAACTGATAATTGTAATAAAGCAAGAATTTAAATATAGAAGTTTAAATTATTGATAAATAATACTGCATTTATTTGTGTTTTAGAACCCAATGTGTCCTTATTTTGCCAAGCATTTCTTATTTTATATTGATGAGCATTAGATAACTTAGTTCATGGGTAAAGATCAAATGTAATGAAGGAGGGAAATTTATTTTTTGTTTCCAGAAATGCATACAAAAATAGCTGGCCTCATCTAGACCATTATTAATGGTTTACAAAAGTGGCCACAAAATGGCAGAAATAAAAGTTTTATTTCCTCAGAAGAATCTTGTATTTGTGGTCCAGAATACAGTCCAGGTTAACTCCCAGCTATTTTCCTTAGAATTGGCCTCATGATGCATCAGGAGTTGTCTAAGGGAAATCAGGTGACTCCCGCCACAGCGATCCCTTTGGCCTGTCCAGCTCAAATCAATAAGGGAGTGAGATGCCAAACCACTGTTTTTAACTAGATTTGGAGTTATAAGCCTTGGATTCCAGTGTTAGCACCACCACTAATTTGCCCTTTGATTTCGCTGTTTTAGCCTATCTTCATTGGTGAAAAGGGATAATAATAACTTCAACCCACCTCACAGAAATGTAGTAAGGAGGAAAAAAAAATCAATGCATGTGGAAGTTCTCTGAAAAGCTAAAAGGCCAAATATAAACATAGATATTATTTTTATAAGGGCCTGGAATTACTCAACCTTTTGTTTCTAACTTCAAGCTTGAGAAAAAGCTTTCTATTTCCTTCTGCTCCTAATTTGGACAAAAGATACAAAGCATTCCACTTGGACTTTTCCCCTTCTTCAAGCATTTGGCTTGCAGAAGCCTTTTGTCAACCAACTCATAAAGTTGAAAGGGGAAATCTGAACTCCACTCCGAGTCTGGGGTGTGGAGGTGGAAATAACAGGAAATGTCACTAGAACTTTCCTGGTCTCCAAGGGGAAACCGGGCAGGACCAAATACAAAGATAAGTACAACCACACAGCCTGTTAGACCACTGCAGAGAATGAGGTTTGGTTTTAAAGTTGGATGGCAGCAGAGGTGGCTTGACTCTACATAAAGCTAATCTAGCAGCAGAGTCAAAATTGTTGGGATAGGAATTATACAAGTTTTGCCTCAGTCATAAGAGATGACACATGAAGTGTCTTTCTACCTCGGAGACTCGTGTCCATGATGATTCCTCTGCCCAGAGGACCCCTTTTTTGCTTCCCCTTGTTGTCCTTTTTAAGGAGGTCTTTCTTAGGGACGTTTTTCCACCCAATGCCACTGCCCTAACCCAATCCAGATCATGTCCAGTGCAAAAACTCAGAGCATCCTGCACTCCTCCAGGTATGCATTGATCATTGGAATGATCAGTTCATTATTTTGACTGTTTGACTATTGTTCTTTTCCCCCTCCCCTAATAAGATCCCTGAGGACAAAGAACCGTTTGATTTCATAGTATCCTCAGAGTGGAGCAGAATGCCAAGCTCAAAGTGGGACCTCATTAAATATTTATTGAATGAGTGATGAAAGAAATATGATCTGAAAAGAACTCCAAAGCAGATTATCTCAGATCTTACATCATTTCTAGGGAGGTATATTCATGCAAATATATGCTATTTACAATAAGCCTCTTAATTTACTGTTGCTCAGGGAAGACATGTGCAAGTGGAGGGAAATCATACAATGAGGAGGTTAAGAAATCAATTATAATAATTTAGTAGTAAGGTAGTATTCAGGTGTTGCACATCCTGAATAAGGGGTCCTTAAGGACTAGACAGTTTACAAGGTCCCAACTACCCATGCCTAGATGTTTTGAAGGAGGGACATGAAAAGGGCAGAGCCATCACTTCTCAGGCTTGAAGGCACAAGCAACAGTCAGCAGACATCAGAGAAAAACTTCCTTCTGGGCCTGTGTCATGTGATAGAACAGAAGGTTGTATGATGGAGCCACTAAGTCTTTCTGAAGCTATCAACACAGCTCCCAGAGACACAGGTAAAATAGCCAGTTTTGCTGTGTTCTGTTTACTTTCTTCTGTTCCAGAAAGTTGAAAAGTATGGCTAATTTGCATTCATATGGTGTGAATGCAAATAAATCAGGAAGAGAAAATGTTCAAAAACTATCATTCAAGCTCTACAGTATGGTGAAGAAGTTTAAGTTCTTAATCTTTATCATTAAGACTATGCTTTTTGGAAAAAGGTGAGTCCCCTCCCCCCACGTGTTGGTTTTTTTTCTCTCACTCTCTCTTGTTCTCACTTAACACATTTGGTGCAATTTTTTTTTTAACAAAATAAGGTTTTAATTT
Organism: Homo sapiens; assembly: GCF_000001405.40. NCBI lineage: Eukaryota > Metazoa > Chordata > Mammalia > Primates > Hominidae > Homo > Homo sapiens. Next base: position 160,222,607 of record NC_000003.12, read on the forward strand.
TTGCACTGTGGTCATTCTATGAAACATATCATTAAATTCCATCTTCCTCTCTAAGTGGCTTGAATTTGATTTTCTGGCAGCTCAATCTACCCCATTTATTTGTGTGTTGAATCTGAAGAAAAGAATAAGGATGCTGAGTAATGAAAATTGTGTCTTTTCTGGGGCTTTTAAAGCTATAAGGTTTCTATTCGTTCCTTTGAAATACTGTACACAGTAAATTACATTGCAAATAGAGATGAATTAAGTGAAACTGAGAGATCAGAGAAGAAATAAAGAGGTGCCAATTTCTGTAGAGGGTCTTGAATGGATGATACTATATACAATCTATGTTGTTCTTCTACTGTGTCCTACCTAATATTCTGCAAATTCTAACTATTTAAAGGTAGATAGAAATGAAACCATTTAAATGCTGCTTAATAATTTCAAAATAGCAATGAGCAGGGGACTTTCTCTTATGTGTCATCAGCCATATAACCCCCTTTACTTTTGCCACTGCTCCTGCTACTACTGGAAGAAATCCCAAAAACTCAGATAATCAAAACCCAAAGAGGGTTTATATTTTTTCTATTTCATATTCAAAGCCTATCTCAAGCTATGAACTGCCTTCATTCCTGAAATTGTTTGAAATTCACTAATTTTATTTTTCCTTTGGGAGAGAAAGAACAAGTCATGATAGAAGAGGAAACTGCCGTTTGTTGCCTTCTGTGCAACCTCTTACTCCATTTAGCTGAAGCTGGGAGTGCAGACCTGGGTTTACTCCATGCTGGGGAGGAGTCAGTATTTTTCTGTTACAATGAGCATCTAGCTGAGTTCCCTAAACATAGAAAATGTTCAATGTAAATTTAGCAAAAGAATGGGTGAATGAAAGAATACAATTTTCTGGCCAGGTGTGGTGGCTCACGCCTGTAATCCTAGCACTTTAGGAGGCCGAGGCGAATGGATCACTTGAGGTCAGTGGTTCAAAAACCAGCCCAGCCAACATGGCGCAACCCCATCTCTACTAAAAATACAAAAATTAGCTGGGTGTAGTGGTGCACGCCTGTAATCCCAGCTACTCAGGAGGCTGAGGCAGGAGAACCACTTGAACCCAGGAGGCAGAGGTTGCAGTGAGCCAAGACTGTGCCACTGCACTCAAGCCCAAGTGACAGAGTGAGACTCTAAAAAAAAAAAAAAAAAAAAAAAAAAAATTCACTGTATTAAAATGAATCATTTTCATCCTATGATTTTACTACAATTTGAAATCCATTGTCAATCAGGCTTTGCAAAATAGGTAATATGCCTCCCTATAAAGAGATCATAACAAATGTGCCTTTGAAGAACCTGAGAAAAAAGGGACCTGTGCTCAAGTAAGCGTTACATACCATATCTTGTCTCCGTAACACTTAGAAGCTTCTCTGTGAGTAGAAAGGATCATTTTAGAGTGTGAGGCAAAGTAAGGTGTTCACAGCAACAGATATGTTTAAAATGTTTCATTCAGGCTGAGCAATGACCTGTCTCAATCAAACCACCATTGCCAACCTTCTTGTTCCATCATCACTTTGTTACGGAGACATACGATGACTTACTCAGGGAGAAATCTTTGCTTTTATCTGATCCTCGGCTGAATCTTGTCTGCATATTGTTCCTTTGCTTTTACTGTTTTTCTCTCTGTGACTATGGAATTTTCCCTTTGGTTTCTCTTCAAGGGGTCCTCGTGTTTAAGGGGTGAGGGAATGATTGTCTACTGCAGTCTGCCTTAATAAAAGTGGCAAGCTCTTGGCTTCCCCGTGGTATGGCTCTATCCACCACGGGGGCAGAGCTTAACTACACCATGTAGATGTGCCTGCCAGTCAGGGACCGCTGTAACTGTCGCCCCTTACGTGTGCTGTGTGCCCTACCGGGCTTCCCCAGAGAATGGTGACAACCAAGGCAAGGTAAACCCTGTTCCATGTTAACTGGGAGCGCAGAATTCCTTTAAAGTCAAACTTTGCGAACAAGAATAATCTTGAAAAAGACCCTTTAGGCGCAAATCAACGCTCAAGAACGTTGCCAATCACTTGTAACCTCCTTAGGCATTTCACGGATGTGTTATTTATGCTCAAGGAGGGGTCTCCTTTCAGCCCGGCAACCCAAATCTTTGCTCTGTGCTTCGGACTCAGTGGGGGCTTGTCGGATGAGCCACTGGGAAAATATGCGTCCCCTCACTTCTCCTTAATCAACTAAGGTCACCTTGACGGAGCGCTTCCCTGTCCCTCTGGGGCTACCTCTGTGGTACCCTGACCTGTCCCTCTACGAGAAATTCTCTACCTGTTCTGGAGGTTTCCTGGGAATCCCGGGTTCCTAGCTCCCTGGACCTGCCTGCAAGCAGAAATATCCGCCGGTCTCCACCCCCCACCCCCAAACTCTGGGACAGCAGTGGGTACTGCACTAGCCATTAATGGCCATCATCTATTTTTAATCGGAAGATCACAAGAAAGATGGTAAGCGAATCCCAGTCGCAAGTCAATTTAAATAACATTCCTGGGGAAATCCAATCACTTAAAACGGAGACACCTACGCGAGCGAGAGCCCCCGCCCGTCTGGCGGGCCTAAGCGCGAAGGCTGAATTAATCAAGATCAAGGGGCTCCCGGGCTGAGAGCAGAGCGTTAACCCTTCCAGTCCCAGAGAGCGACAAGGCGGGGGAGGAAAAACGCGCCGGCCGGGGCCAAGATGCCCATGGCAGCCCCGCGCGGGCTGCCTCTGACATTTAGGGAGGCTCCGGAAGCCTTGCACCCGGCCCGGGCGGTTGGGCGCGAGAGGTTAAGGTCAGAAGCTCGGGAAGCTGCTTGGGCCGCCAGTAGCAGCCGCCTCCCGCAGCCTCCGCGCGCCGCGGGCTCCTCCTCCCGCCCAAGCGTGGCCAAGTGAGGACTGCTCCGGCCGCAGGTAGCTGAGGCGCGGGAGGCGGCGCGCGCGGGACCCGAGCGGAGCGCCGGGGAGGGGCCGACGGACGCGAGGGCGGACGGACTCCCCAGCCTCCCGTCCCGGACGTTAGCCGAGGTCTGCGCGGGCCATGTGGGGACCCGGGGTCACTGCTGAGGGCCTGTCGGTGGCTCCGGCGCCGCCGCCTCTGCTGCCGCTGCTGCTACTGCTGGCGCTGGCGCTGGTGGCGCCCTCGCGGGGCGGCGGGGGCTGCGCTGAGCTGGCGTGCGGCGAGCGGGAGCGCTGCTGCGACGCGACCAACGCCACGGCGGTGCGCTGCTGCAAGCTGCCGCTGCACGCCTTCCTGGACAACGTGGGCTGGTTCGTCCGCAAGCTCTCCGGGCTGCTCATCCTGCTGGTGCTCTTCGCCATCGGCTATTTCCTGCAGCGCATCATCTGCCCCAGTCCACGCAGGTACCCGCGCGGCCAGGCGCGCCCGGGACAGCGGCCCGGGCCTCCGGGGGGCGCCGGACCGCTGGGGGGCGCGGGGCCGCCCGACGACGACGACGACTCGCCCGCTCTGCTGCGCGACGAGGCGGCAGCCGGCTCTCAGGACTCACTGCTGGACAGTGGCGGCGGCGGCCGGGGCCGGGGAGGCGGCGGGCGCTCGGACCCCTCCTGCGCCTCAGAGCACGAGATGCGTGTAGTGTCGCCGGTCTTCCTGCAGCTGCCCAGCTACGAGGAGGTCAAGTATCTGCCCACCTACGAGGAGTCCATGCGGCTGCAGCAGCTCAGCCCCGGGGAGGTCGTGCTGCCAGTGTCGGTGCTTGGCCGCCCTCGAGGCGGGGTCGCCGCGGAGCCCGACGGCGGCGAGGGCCGCTACCCTCTTATCTGAGCGCTCGGGGATCGGCGGCTGGTGCAGGGCTGGGGGCTGCGGGTGGCAAGCAACGGCCGGGGTGCCGCCGCCAACTGCCTCAGACCTTATCTGGCACCCTGGCCTAACTGCCCGGCACCCCGCGACTGGGTTGGGGTCACTCGTCTCCCTCGCGTTCTCCCGGGATCTTATGTTTCTCTGCGTTTCATTCCGTTCAAAGAAACGTGGGGCACGCGCGGCGGGTGCGGCTGCAGCAGGCGACCCTCCAGCGCACCTTCGAAGGACGTCCCTGCCCTCTGCCTTGCCTCGTATTGTGGTTCACTAGTAAGTGCCTGCTTCCCTAGTCAAAGAGAACACGTGAGCCCTTTGGTGCGTCGAGAGAAGGGCGGTCTTCTTTAGGGCTGAGGAGAAAGGACCGCAGTTCCACTCCTTTCCCTACCTGCCGCCTGGACAGGTCTCCCAGGGTGGGCAGAGGGCGAGGAGCCGTTGAGGACCAGCCGCGACCAGGGACTGCTGCACGTGGGTGTGGGAGAGCGCCACTTGGTTATGATGAAATCGCTGCCATGCGGCAGACCCCCCAAAATCCCTCAGTGTCTTCCTGATCTAGCAAATAGTCACAGCTGGTGTTTCACAATTAGGTGGAGTGCGGGGAGTGGGCTAGGGGGGACACCTGTGATACAAGGTTAGCTGCTGTACCTACTCAGGGAACAGCAACCATGTATATCCATTCGGCTGGACTTTTGATTGTTCAATAACTGAGGAGGTATTTATATTTATTTGTCTTTTATTCTAATATTTTTACCATGCATTGAACGCAACAGGAGGGTATTTCAGCAAATTCACGACAAGGTAATCGTCTTATCACTTTTTGTAGGCCATTAATGGTCAGGAAATTGCCCATACTCTGTCATTATTGTTTAATAAATCATTAAATTATTTCATTAAAAAAGAAAAACAGGTATGGTCAAACGAGGAAGCATATGTGACATAAAAAACATGAAGGATATCTTATTTTCACTATTTGAGAAGAATATATTTTATTTTTAGTACTGTGGCATAATATATAACTTTTTATAATAATAACTGTATGCATTATGTAGTATAGCTTTTAATTGTATCATTCATCACAGTTATATGTAAAAATAATTGACATGTATATGCCATACCATGAAGCATATGATGTTGTGCACTTTCTCCTCCATTTTTCATTTGGAATACATTCCACAACATGATCCAAAACATAAGAACTTACGACTTGTAACTCGTTTAAAGCCATTAATTGTGCAGTAATGTGCTACAGGATTCAATCAGCTTCTCTTAAGAAACAAGTGTCATTGTATCAGTTTCCTGTTCTGTGACACGCCCTTTAAAAGTAAAAGATAATATAACATATTTTAATACATTGTGTGTAATGTACATATGCATATTGTCTATGTACTATATACACATTGTTTATAATATTGTTATTACAGTTTGTCATTCACCTGAAAGGAGAAGGAAAAGTACGAAAGGTTTCTCTGCTTGGGAAAAGGTGAATGTTGTTATATCAAGAACGATTACACACATGGATCTCATACATGTTTTTAGAACATTGTTCTTCTGATTGAAGAAGTCTGATGCTCCTGAAAAATCTTAAAATATCTGACTTGTATTGAAGAAAATTATTTAATTAAATTTTTAAAGGCTGGTTGAAAAAGTCTGACAGTTCTGAGAATTTTTTAAATGTCTGAATTGTAATAAAAAAATGGTTTACTTTAAACTTCTAAAAACTAATGACCTTGTGACTAAAGAAAAATCATTTGAAGTGTATTAAAAAATAGCAAAACATTAAAATCTTTTCTCTGTGCAAATTTTATCAGATGTGTGGCTATATGGTAGTGTATCAAAATATGAAATATGTCTATTTGTCATTTAAAGCAATTTGAGCTGTGAATTGACAAAAGTATCAGGAGTTGAGGCTATATCAGTTGAGAATGGTACAAAATTTAATTACATTATATAGATAATCACATATTAATGTTACTCAAATACCGTGTATTTTTGTTATATGTGGCTATCAATACTACTCACCATTCAAACAAACTGGAAAGTTGCCATATTTTAAAAAATAATTTATTCTTTGAGGTTACACTGTTTTACACAGTTCACAAATGTTACCTGTATCTGAAACATCAACCTAAATATCCAAATACCTGTGCCAGTATATGAAGCATAGTCTATATGTTGTTACCATAACATCTTAAAGAAATTCAACAAAATCCTATGAAAAATACTTACAATACGGATCAAGTATATTTCTCTTTTATCAACTATGGAATATTTCTCTCCCTAAAATCTAGAATGTTTATAAAGTGGTAATTACACTTGATACCAATCACACAATGAGGTTCTACTGAATTTTAAAATGACAAGTTTTCACCTGTTTTTTATCTGCCCAACCCACAAGCTTTTATTCACATCCCTCAGTTCAATAGAAATGAGTTTGACTCCACAGTGGGGTTTTTTTTCTTGCAATCTATTGATTTACCAAGGACAATTTTGTTCAGGCATAATTGTGTGGAAAAATTCTTTAAAACAGTATTTTATTAATAAATGAGCATGTCTCATGGTAATATATACACATATAACACACCATATTAACACACACAGAACCTGTGTGTTTATAACCTGCATTGCCTGGATAGAAACATTTTTAAAGCAGTAAAGGCAGTATCTGGGTGTTAAGTTTTATAGATTTCACTTGGAAATTATTATATAGACAGAACCTATTATATATAATTGCATGTGTTTATTAATATAGAAAATAGTTATCCTGTTACCTGAAAAAAACTCACAAAGAAATGATTTTACTTCTTTTTAATATTCTGTAGTAAAAGTGGAGGATAGAACATTGTGCTCTTTATATGTAGAATAATACACTATTAACTTATGGCATGACATGTTAATGGAATTAAGATGGAACATAAATTTTATGGTATATATATATCTTCTTTTTTTTTTTTTTTTTGAGAAAAGATCTCACTTTGTTGCCCAGGCTGAATTGCAGTGGCATGATCACCGCTCACTGCAGCCTTGACCTTCTGGGCTCAAGGGATCCTGCTGCCTCAGCCTCCTGCATGGCTGGGACTACAGGTGCACACCACCACACCCAGCTAATTTTTGTATTTTTTTGTAGAGATGGGGTTTCGTCATGTTGCCCAGGCTGGTCTCATTCTCCTGGGCTCAAGTGATCTGCCTGCCTTGGCCTCCCAAAGCTCTGGGATTATAGGCGTGAGCCACCATGCCCAGCCTGTGGCATATATATCTTAACTAAACCCACCTGGGCGTGCAGTGTTTTCCAGTACCAAGTGAGCTTTTGCTCCTGGTTTTCAGTTATCAAAGTAATTCGAATACTAAAACATTTTAAGCACATTTTATTTTCACTGACTTCTCAAGAGTAGGGAAATAATGGTCCTGCATATTGTAATCCATCTGGAATGCAAAAAACATGATTGATTTTCTAAATTTAGGTGCTAGATATATAAATATGTATATTGTGTATGTACAGTTGGTTCTCCTGTATCTGTGGGTTCTGCATCTGCAGATGCAACCAACTGCAGGTAGAAAATGTATTTTTTTAATTTTTTGAAAATATTTTTAAGAAAGAAAATATAACATTTAAAACTGCAAATTAATACGTTATAGCAACTATTTACATAACATTTATATTGTATTAAGTGTTATAAGTCATCTAGAGGCGATGTAAAGTATATGGGATGATATGCATAGGTTATATGCAAATACTACACCACTTTATATCAGGGAGCTGATTTTGACCTTTGCAGGGGGTCCTAAAACCAATCTCTATGGATACCTAGGGATGACTGTAGTGTGTGTGTGTGTGTGTGTGTGTGTGTGTAATCACCAGTTGATTACAAGCAATTTGTTATGGGTGTTCAATATCATAACCAAGGGGAAAATGTCTTCTTGAGATAGAATGATAGTTTTAAGAGGCCATTAATTGCTACATTCTGCAAATGTGAGTATGCTTCAACCATGGAAAATGGGCATTGGCAATTATGTCAAAGGGCATGAAATGTACTCTATAAGGAAAACAAGATTCAATTGTAAAGGCCAGAGGGAATATTAAGGAAACGGACTCAGTTAACAATTTGAAAGGCAATATGCTAAGTACCTTAATGTTGTACTTTTTGTATACAGTTTCTCTCAAGTGGAATTAATAAAGGAAACAATTCAAAGCTGAAACTCATATAAACATGAATATGATGTCTAGATTTATACAATATTCTGATCTGACTTTTATTAAAAATTTTATGAATTGTAATTAATTTGGGTTTCCAGCTTGAGAGAAATAATGATGTATGTTGAGTTTTATTTTGAGCAACAAACATTAACCATCTCTTCAAAAGTGTAAGTTTCCTAAACCAATCAATAGTAGAATATTTGGCAAGTTCATATCTGACCTCAGTAGTTTACAATTTACTTTTTCATTCTCCTTTCATGCATTGATGAAAAGACTAATAACTAAGGGTAACTAATAACTAAGGATAAACTAAGGGAAGGTATTTTGTCAACCAAGGAATGAATCAGCAACAGCTAATGGCAAAAACTTAAGCCATTCTTTCTTCCACATGGGTAATACCAGAAAAGTTACAGTATTCCTTTGTAAAATTTTGCCTGTAAAAATAATCAAATATCAAGTAAAACCAATACTTTTGTCATACTTAATTACATGTAGAACCTAATTTTATTATTCATTTATTCATTTTTATTTACAGAACTCACTTTTTAAATTTATTTATTTATTTATTTATTTATTTGAGACAATATCTTGCTTGCTCTATCACCCACGCTGGAGTGCAGTGGTGTGATCACAGCTCACTGCGGCCTCAACCTCCCAGGCTCAAGTGATCCTCCCTCCTCAGCTTCCTAGTAGCTGGATACAGGAGTACACCACCATGCCTGGCTAATTTTTAACTTTTTTTGTTGAGACAAGGTCTCACTATGCTGCCCAGGCTGGTTTCGAACTCGTGGGCTCAAGAAATCCTCCCACCTCAGCATTTGAAAATGCTGGGATTGCAGGCATGAGCCACCACACCCAGCCCACTTTTATTAATTTTATGGCAAAAATTATATGATGGTGGAGATACTTATGTTTGTCGCCAAACCAAACAGTATTTTTATCCCCTCTTCAGCTTCTTAGCTAAGTATCTTGTCTGATATCTTGCCGTTCTTACTTTCTTTTTGTGTGGTTGTTCTTATCCTGCTTGTCACATCTCTTAGAACTCCATGTTATTCTGCTGTGCTTTCATCTCTCTCTGGTATGGCTTCACCTTTTGCACAGTTTCTTCTTTTGGTAAAATGGTATTTTCCAACGTACTTCCTTTGTTTTCTCTTTGCATCCGACTTCTGTAGCTTTTCCATGTTGATCCAGGCATGGTTTTTCCTCTTTATCCACTAAAGGACTGTAAACTTTTTTTATTTGTTATTATCTATGGAGTTTTTCTCTGTGATGCCGGACAAACAAATCTTTTCATGTGTCCAGCAAGGATTGTTCTAAATCTCAAATGTAATAGATCCAGATGTACTACTACCTCTTTATCTTCTGCTTTCTCACCTGGATTTTCCTGAAGGGATTATCAGCACTTTTCTCCCCATCTTTCCCCAAAGACGTGTTCTCTGCTATATTAGGACAAATAATTAGACCCTTGCATTTTAGTAATGACAGGGATCTTATTTTGGCTTCCAAACCTCAAGCATATTCTTTCTTCATGGACTATTACATCTTTCTACTCGATTTTTTTCTCACAGGCATCACTGTGGTATCCTCTATGTGTGTCACTTTTTGTGAGTAATGATCACCTGTTTTCTTACTATCCTTGCTCACAGACATTCTATTTGTTGTACTAGTTAAAAGATCATATCCTCTATCTTTGTAGGAAAGACCTCATTTGAGTCACTGGACCTCAAAGGTAACTTGATTTACAATTGATTGCTCTATCTTTTATAACATTCTTACGGGTTTTTTGCATGGGCTCCTCTTAAACTTCCTCTGCATATGGTATCTCTTTTACTGGGTAGACTAGAAAATATCTCTACCTTTACATTTCTTTTATTCCTGCTTGCAGATATAATCTTGAAGTTATGCCTCGAATCCCCACTGTATTAGGACCTTATCTGAAGAACTATCAATAGTTTTATTTTCTGCCTCTTTGTTGCCTAAGTTAGTTTCATCAGACAGAGGATTAGAACCTTCCAGATTACTCCTGTTTCATTTTGGTTTGTGTGAAGTTTTTCTTCTGTATTGACCAAAGATACCACCGGATAAAAATTAATTTTGATTATTTTTCTAAGTCTTAAAAATATCTTCTTTCCATTTGTAGATTTAAATTTTTATTGCAAATTCTTCATTAGTTTGTCATTCTTTTCCATGTGTATAATCCCTGTTGAACTAGCCAAACCATCAGATTCCTGAAGATTTATACCAGTTTTACGTTCTCCCATCTCACTAACCCCCTCCGCACCCCCCCACCCCCCACTATGTTACACTCACTGTCTTTTGTTTCATAGCTCCATGTTCTGAGTTTTTCTCTTAGAAACTCTTCACAATATTCTTTTTTTGTTTTTTGAAACAGAATCTCGCTCTGTTGCCCAGGCTGGAGTGCAGTGGCACTATCTCGGCTCACTGCAACCTCCGCCTCCCGAGCTCAAGTGATTCTCCTGCCTCAGCCTCCTGAGTAGCTGGGACTACAAGCATGCACCACCACACCTGGCTAATATTTGTATTTTTAGTAGAGATGGGGTTTTACCATGCTGGCCAGGCCGGTCTTGAACTCCTTACCTCAAGTGATCTGCCCGCCATGGCCTCCCAAGGTGCTGGGATTACAGGCGTGAGCCACCACGCCTGGCATCTTCACAATATTCTTTTAAACTTTATTTACTTGAATCTTTTCTGTTGATGTAAGCAACTGAGACTCTTGCAGTTTTTATCAGTTCTGTATTTGGGTCTAGGATGTGGGGACATTCTCTGACTCAGCGTTTTTGAAAATTAAGCTTATGGCCAGGCACAGTGGTGCACGCCTGTAATCCAAGCACTTTGGGAGGTTGAGGCAGATGTATCACCTGAAGTCAGGAGTTCAAGACCAGCCTGACCAATATGGTGAAACCCTGTCTCTACTAAAAATATGGGCATGGTGGTGGTTGCCTGTAATCCCAGCTACTCGAGAGGCTGAGGCTGGAGAATCACTTGAACCCAGGAGGTGGAGGTTGCAGTGAGTGGAGTTTGCACCATTGCATTCCAGCCTGTGTGACAGAGCAAGACTCTGTCTCAAAAAAAATAAAAAAGCTTATATTCCTTTATATTAATTTCTCTTTGCACATATCTGTTTGGCTAGGCAAAGGTTTTAGATTCTTGAAAATCTTTATTTTTTAGGGTAGATCTGGTTCTTTGACTAGCTCAATCTTGCATGTTCTTTGGCCATGTCTCCAGTTTCAGAAGCATTAGTTTTAGATTCATATTAACAAGGATTACAAAAGAAGTTTTCTTGACAGATCTCCTGGTCGATTCTTATTTTTGTTCATTGGATCAAACATTTCTTCAAATCCATTATATACTTCCAAACGATGTTTTCGTTTGGGTTCTGTCATAAGTGTTTTCATTCCAATAAGTCTTCAACTGCACTGTTCTTTTTTCTTGATGGTTTCAATAAGTTACTGATAACTCTTGCTTGCGTCAATGTTTTCTTTTGGTGTTTTAAAAAGTTCCATATGATTGTAATCATAATTGGTTCATCGCCTGATGCACAAGGGAGTTAATATGCAGAGACACCTGGTTGCAGCAGAGAAAGAGGTTTAATCATAGGGCCACCAAACAGAAGAGGAGATGAGAGAAAACCTCAAATCTGTCTCCCTGAGGATTTTGGTTTTGGAGTGGGCCAAAGTGTTGAGCTCGTTGATTGGTCAGAGTACAAAGGTGTGGTCATGGGGCAGCATCAGTATTCTTATGCTCATTTGGGTCCTCTGTGGTGGTCTTCAAACTGGTTGTCTCAGCTGTACTTCTGGAATTTAGGATCTGCTGAAGCAATTCTTAAACAAGAGTTTTATCATTTAAAGATCAGAAGTCCTATTTATGGAAAGAATGGGGATGCAACTGGTTAGTATCTAGTGCCACCCTGACTTTTGATTACAAGGAAGTGGGCCAAAGTACAGCCTGATTAATGCTTAATTGTAGCTGTATATCTGTCCAGAATTCTTGTTAACGCTGTAAGGAGGGCTTCATGGTCAGTTGACTAACCTTAAAAAAAGTTTTGTATGGTCTTCCACATCTTCTTTTGATTGAAAACTTGTACAATCAAATTTGAACTCTAAATAAAATCTCTGTATGTTCTATATATTTTTTTCTAGTGCTTGGCTTTCTTGAGTAGTATTTTTTTTTTCCAGACAGAGTCTCTTGTCACATGAGCTGGAGTGCAGTGGTGCGATCTCGGCTCACTGCAACTTCCACCTCCCAGGTTCAAGCAATTCTCCTGCCTCAGCCTCACAAGGAGCTGGGATTACAGGTGCATGCCACCATGCCTGGCTAAGTTTTGTATTTTTAGTAGAGACGGAGTTTCTCCATGTTGGCCAGTCTGGTCTCGAACTCCTGACCTCAAGTGATCCTCCTACCTCAGTCTCCCAAAGCGGTAGGCTTATAGGTATGAGCCACTGTGCCCGGCCATTGAGTAGTATTTTTCATATTTTTTATTATAGGTGTTTTAGCCAACTGGTTTTCTAGTTCTGTCTAATATAGTTGAATGCGTACTAAGGGTTTCCTATGAGCAAGCTTTTTAGAATTTGGAGTTTCTAAGATTCTATAAGCATTGGAATGTCTGCCAGATCTTCTACTAGATATACCTTAGAAATTTTCAAAAGTGTCTTGATGCCTGTAAAATTTTCTACCGATTCACATCTCCACAAAAGAGTTGTCATGAGGTTCTTGACACTTGTCAAATCTTGGTCAGGTGCAGTGGCTCACATCTGTGATACCAGCACTTTTGGAGGCCAAGGCAGGTGGTTCGAGACCTGGCCTTGAGGCCAGGCATTCAAGACCAGCCTGGGCAACATGGTGAAACCCCATCTCTACTAAAAATACAAAAATTAGCCAGTGTAATGGTGCACACCTGTAATCCCAGGTACTCAGGAGGATGAGGCATGAGAATCTCTCGAACCCAGAAAGCGGAGGTTACAGTGAACCAAGACAGCACCAGTGCACTCCAGCCTGAGCGACAAAGTGAGACTGTCTCAAGAAAGAAAAAAAAAATATTCTCCTTGTTTTCTTTTTTTTTTCTAGTGGAAACAGAATCCAACTGGGCTTTATTTTACTTTTATTCCTTTTACAAATATTTCTTGAGAACATACTAAGTTCAAGTCACCGTTTTCATCTTTTTCATTTTTTTACATTTTAGTTGACATATAATAATTGTACATATTTATGAGATACATAGTGATGTTATGATACCTATAATGTGTGGTGACCAGACCAGGGTAATTAGCAGATCATCATCTCAAACATTTATCATTTGTTTGTGTTGGGGACATTCAGTATCCTCCTTCTAGCTATTTGAAACTATTTATTTCTGTGTGTGTGTGTGTGTGTGTGTGTGTGTGTGTGTGTGTGTGTCTTGCTATGTTGCTCAGGCTAGTCTCCAACTCCTTTACTCAAGTGATCCTCCAACCTTGGCCTCCCGAAGTGCTGGGATTACAGACGTCAACGACTGCGCCGGCCTTTATTTCTTTAGGAGTTTTGGTCTATTGGTGCCTGTCAGGTCTTCCATGGGTTCAATCTTTTTCACAGAAGTTCTTAGAAATTTCTTGATTGTTGTAAGAAGTCCAGCTGATTCGCACTGAGCCCTGGGTACTGTCCCAAGTTTCTTGTTGATTGTCCTCTGGGTTGGCAATTGGCTGTGGAGTTTTCCCAAGGCCCTTGGTTTCTGTTGGGTCTTCCGCCAGTTCTGGCTTTTCTTTAGGTATCCTAAACAATCTCTTGCTCCCTGTGAGGTTTCACCATTTCCACTTGGCAGATCTGGGGTTCTTGTTGCTTTCACTCTCTAGCTGTGCTGTCTGCTTTGGCATTTTCATAAGCCCTTTGATGCCTGTCAGGTTTTCTTCCTGACTGCATTTTCCCCAGTCATCCCCAGCAGTCTCCTGGGTTTGTGCTTTGAAGTGTTCCTAAACTTTCTGTTGACATCATCAACATTTATTTGTTCCTCTAGTTCTTTCGGTGTTTACAGGAGCTCTCTGATAGCTGCCAGTCTTCTGTGGGTTTTGGTTTTATTTTAAGTGTCCTGGCATTTTCATGAGAATTCTTAGAGTTTCCGCTGGTTCTGTTTTGTGCTTTGGAGTGCTCATAAGATTTCTATGGGTGTTTCACCACTTAATTTGTTCCTCTGGTTCTTTCAGTGATTGTGGGTGCTCTCTGATACCTGCCAGGTCTTCCACAGCTTTTGCCTTTTCTTCAGCTCTTTTCATCAGTCTCTTGAGGAATGTTAGAGTTTCTATGGGTTCCCTATTATGCTTTGCAGTGCTCCTAAGATTTTTATGGCTACCTATTTTAGTAAACATCTGTAATCAGTTGTAATTAGTAATTTCATTAGTGAATTCCTGAAATTTATAGTTGCTGAGTTTGAACTCTGGCAATTCACTTTGATAAGTTAAATATCATTATTTCTAGCTTGCTCTGATTTAACATTCGGTAGCATTTACATTTTAGCCTTTCTTCCAAAAAATAAAATATAGGCATTCATCCAACTTTAGATATAAGCTCAACATTTGCTGTGAGGGTGACACTTTTCATTTCTATCATGATGACTATAACAAAAATAACTATAATTCACTGAATGAAGACATATGTCAGGCACTGTTCTAGGCACTTTACATGTATTATTTCACTTAAAATTCACAACAGGAGGAAGTGAGGATTATTAACCCCATTTTACAGATGAGAAAAGTAGGGCCCCAAGAGGTTGAGTAATGTGCCCAAAGTCACACGACTGATAGGTAGAAGATCCAGGAAGCTGATCCAGCCTGTTTTACTCCAGAGCTGCTGTTCTCAACCACTCAATGTCTCAACACACAATTAATTTAACCTTGCAGAATATATATATATATATATATTTTTTTTTTTTTTTTTTTTTTCCTGAGAGTCTTACTCTTTTGCCTAGGCTGGAGTGGAGTAGCACAATCAAGGCTCACTGCAGCCTCAACCCCCCCAACCCCTGGGGCTCAAGTGATCCTCCCATCTCAGCCTCCCAAGTAGCTGGGACTATAGGTGTGTGCCACCACATCCAGCTAATTTTTGGATTTTTTGTAGAGACAGAGTTTCACCATGTTGCCCAGGCTGGAGTCTTGAACTCCTGAGCTCAAGCAATCTGCCTGCCTCGGCCTCCTAAAGTGCTGGGATTATAGGCATGGTGGCTGTAATTTGCTGTTTAAAGAAACCACTGTTAAAAACACCTTAGGATCTGTGCTGGGAATCTGTAATAATGACTCAAAATTATTTGTAGGCATGTAGAAATGTTTAATGGATAACATGGATACAATCTGAAATGTTTGACAAAAAACTACTCAGATACTGGTTTGGTTTTTTTGTTTGTGTTTTTCATTTTTCCATTTCATTCGGCTAATGGGCCGTTAGTACCAAGCGTGCCTCCTTCCCAGTCTGGCTTAGTTAACTTTAAAAATTGAAAACCATTTCTTTAAAATAGCTGGTAAATCTTTTCCAATATTTTAAAAAAGAAACATCAGGGGATTTGTATGCTCAGCATAAAAATGAGAACCATAGAGTCTAACATATCACTAAATACCCAATGGTAGCTAATATCAGAGCAAGGACAAAAATAGCACATTCTTAAATTAAGGTTCTGTTTATATTTTTGTGGTAGAATATGAATGTTAAGACTTCATATAGGCTGAGTGTGGTGGTTTATGCCTATAATCTAGCACTTTGGGAGGCCAAGGCAAGGACTGCTTGAGCCTAGGAGTTCAAGACCAGCCTGGGCAACAAAGTGAGACCCCACCTCTGTGAAAAATACAAAAATTAGCCGAGTGTGGTGATGCACACCTGTAGTCCTAACTATTCAGGAGGATGAGGTGGGAGGATCACCGGAGCGCAGGAGATCGAGGCAGCAGTGAGCTATGATCATGCTACTGTATTCCAGCCTGGGCAACAGAAGGAGACTCTGTCAAAAAAAAATAAACAAACAAACAAGAACTTCATATACATAGTGGTTTAGAGTTGGGCTGTGGAGTATGCAGAGTCTGCCTGCCTAGGTAAATCTCTGGTCTCTAGATTTACTAGTTATGTGACCGTAAGCCACATAACTTGTTCCTTTGTGCCTGGAACATCAGAATGTATTTCCAGTGCCATTGTACACATACTGGTTGACACTGCATTCTTGGTGTGAAATTCAAATCTCTTTGTGGAAATTCCAAAACTTTTCTAATTAGTCCTGGACATTAATGATTTGAATTAAGAAGAATAGAAACACATTTATGTAAAACAAAATATAATTAACTTCACTTAAAAAAGCCTACAAAATGATCTTCATGACTGATTTTGGTTGAAGTGACACACTGAGTTTAAGATTGGGTCAGAAAACAGAAATAATAGGGTTGGGGCAGGCAAGGAAGGACTAGATGTGACACACTAAATGAGACTGGAGGGGTTGAGTGTGGACACCTTGCTGTTGAGAAGCCAGTGTAGTGGGCGAATGGTAAGAAGAGCCAGAGAGATTGGCCATGGGAGTCAGACTGGCATACTGGGTCTTGAGGCCACAGAAGTTGTGGCAGGCAGGGAGGTGCAAAACCTGAAAGCCCTGCTTGTTTTCCCAGTGGGGTGGCCTGGAGCCTGGGGCGGGTCCTCAGCCCTGCTCACCTCCTGTCTGGAAATAAACTCAGTGCTATTGGAGGGGCATGTTGGGAGTGAGATGGGCCTTTCGGGCTGCATGGGAGCTGGGTGAGGCCTGTAACTGCTGGCTTTCTCTCACCTTCCTGGTGACCTGCATGACACAGCAGACGCAGCCATAATCCCCCTGGGAACATAACTCCATTGGCCTGAGAACCAGACCTCCATCCACCACAGCAGCCGAAGCAAGCCCTGCCCAAGGAGAGTCTGAGCTCAGACACGCCTATCCCTACCCCGACCTGATGGACTTTCTCTACTGGCCCTGGTAGCTGAAGGCAAAGGACATAATCTCTTGGTAGCCCTATGGACCCACCCACTGCCTGAGAAACTTATCCAGGTGACCTTAGGACAAGCTTGTATCCTCCCTATACTACTGTAGCTGATGCTCTTTATTTATTTATTTATTTATTTATTTATTTTGAGATGGAGTCTCGCTGTGTCACCCAGGCTAGAGTGCAGTGGCACGATCTCAGCTCACTGCAAGCTCCACCCCCTGGGTTCACACCATTCTCCTGCCTCAGCCTCCTGAGTAGCTGGGAATACAGGCACCTGCCACCACGCCTGACTAATTTATTTTTTTTTGGTATTTTTAGTAGAGACGGGGTTTCACCATGTTAGCCAGGATGGTCTCTATCTCCTGACCTTGTGATCTACCCGCCTCGGCCTCCCAAAGTGCTTGGATTACAGGCGTGAGCCACTGTGCCCGGCCGCTGATGCTCTCTTGAAAGCACCACCTCCTGGCTAGAGGCCAACCAACACAAAACTAGCGCAATAAACAACAACACAACAAAGGACCCTCACAGAGTCCACTTCACTCTCCTGCTACCTCCACTGGAGCTGGTGCTGGTATCCAAGGCTGAGAGACCTGAAGATGGATCACATCACAAGACGCTTTGCAGAGACTCCTCAGTACCATGCCAGAACCTGGTAGCTCTGCTGGGCAGCTAGATACAGAAGAGAATTAACAATCACTGTAGTTTGGCTCTCAGGAAGCCTCTTCTCTGAGCACTCACATCCTCTGAGCACGGGAGCACCGTGTGGGACGAAAGAATCTGAACAGCAGCCCTTGAGCCCCAGATCTTCCCTCTGACAGAGTCTACCCAAATGAGAAGGAACCAGAAAAACAATTCTGGTAATATGACAAAACAAGGTTCTTTAACACCCCCAAAAGATCACACTAGCTCACCAGCAATGGATCCAAACTGAGAAGAAATCTCTGAATTGCCAGAAAAAGAATTCAAAAGGTCAAGTATTAAGCTACTCAAGGAGGCACCAGAAAAAGGTGAATATCAACTCAAAGAAATTTTTTAAATGCTATAGGATATGGATGGAAAAATCTCCAGAGGAATAGAGAGTGTTATAAATAAAGTTTCAGTGCCTCAAAAGAAATAGCACTCGAATATAAAATTTTCTTTTTCTCAGCAAGGCAAGGTGCTTCTATAGAAGGGTGCGCCCTTACAGATGGAGCAATGATGAGCACACACTTGGACAAGGGAGGGGAAGGAGTTCTTATCCCTGAAGCACGTGGCCTCTGCTGCTGTGTTGTCCCCCTATTGGCTAGGGTTAGACTGCACAGGCTAAACTAATTCTGATAGGCTAATTTAAAGAGAGTGACGGGGTGAGTGGTTTGGCGGGAAAAATGGTTATGCAGCCTGGAGAATGAGTCAGGACGCAGCAGGTAGCAGGTAATTGGAATGAGTCAGGGTGGAGCAGGTGATTGAAATGAGTCAGGATGGAGCAGGTAATCGAAAAAGATTGCTTTATGAGGAAGTTAAGTTTAAAAGTAGAAGGCAAAGAATTGAACATACTGACATATTGATTCTTTGAAAAGAAATTTAGAACTCATATCTAACAAGCATAAATAAAAAACAATCACAACTTCTAGAATGAAGGAGACATTTAGAAAAATGCAAAATGCGGTAGAAAATCTCAGCAATAGAATCAAACAGGTAGAAGAAAGAACTTCAGAGCTTGAAGACAAGGCTTTCAAATTAACCCAATTCAACAAAGGCAAAGAAAAAAGAATTTAAAAAACAAACAAAGCCTCCAAGAAATTTGGGATTATGTTAAATGACCAAATCTAAGAATAATTGGTGTTCCTGAGGAAGAAGAGAAATCTAAAAGTTTGGAAAACATATTTGAGGGAATAATTGAGGAAAATTTCCTTGGCCTTGCTAGAGAACTAGACGTCCAAATACAAGAAGTTGAAAGAACACCTGGGAAATTCATCACAGAAAGATCATCATGTAGGCACACAGTCATAAGGTTATCTAGAGTCAAAATGAAGTAAATAATTTTAAAAGCTGTGGAGGCAAAAGCACCAGGTAACCTATACAGGAAAACCTATCAGATTAACAGCAGATTTCTCAACAGAAACCCTACAAGCTCGAAGGGATGGGGGTTCTGTCTTTAGGCTCCTTAAACAAAACGATTATCAGCCAAGAGTTTTGTATCCGGTGAAACTAAGCCTCATAAATGAAGGAAAGATACAGTCTTTTTCAAACAAACAAATGCTGAGAGAATATGCCACTACCAAGCCAACAGTATAAGAACTACTAAAAGCAGCTCTAAGTCTTGAAACAAATTCCTCAAGACACACCAAAATAGAACCTCCTTAAAGCATAAGTCTGACAGGACCTATAAAACAACACGATGTAAAAGAAAAAAGTTATTTAGGCAACAAATAGCATGATGAACAGAACAGTACTTCACATCTCAATACTAACATTGAAAGTAAATGACCTAAATGCTCCACTTAAAAGACACAGAATGGCAGAATGGGTAAGAATTCACCAACCAAGTTTCTCCTGTCTTCAAGAGACTCACCTAACATAAGGACTCACATAAACTTAAGGTAAAGGGGTGGAGAAAGATATTCCATGTGAATGGACACCAAAAGTGAGCTGGAGTAGCTTTTCTTATGTCAGACAAAACAAACTTTAAAGCAACAGCAGTTAAAAAAGACAAAGAGGGTCATTATATAATGATAAAAAGGACTTGTCCAACAGGAAAATATCACAATCCTAAATATATATGCACCTAACATTGGAGCTCCCAAATTTATAAAACAATTACTACTAGACCTAAGAAATGAGATAGACAGCAACACAATAATAATGGGGGAATTCAATACTCCACTGACAGCACTAGACAGGTCATCAAGGCAGAAAGTCAGCAAAGAAAAAATGAACTTAAACTATACCCTACAACAAATGGACTTTGCAGATATTTACAGAATATTCTACCCAACAACTGTAGAATATACATTCTATTCATCAACACATGGAACTTTCTCCAAGACAGACCATATGATAGACAACAAAACAAGTCTCAACAAATTTAAGAAAATTGAAATTATATCAAGTACTCTCTCAGACCACAGTGAAAAAAAATTGGAAATCAACTCCAAAAGGAATCCTCAAAACCATGCAAATACATGGAAATTAAATAACCTGCTCTTGAATGATCATTGGGTCAACAATGAAATCAAGATGGAAATTAAAAAATTATTTGAACTGAACAATAATAGTGACACAACTTATCAAACCTTTGCTCTGGGATACAGCAAAGGTGGTGCTAACAGAAAAGTTTATAGCCTTAAATGGCTGCATCAAAAAGTCTGAAAGCGCACAAATAGACAATCTAAGGTCACACCTCAAGGAATTAAATGATAGCAAACCAAACCCAAATCCAGCAGAAGAAAAGAAAATAACAAAGATCAGAGCAGAGCTAAATGAAATTGAAACAGACAAACAAAAATACAGAAGACAAATGAAACAAAACCTGGCTCTTTGAAAAGATAAATAAAATCGATAGACCAAGAAAAAAAGATTAACCTAGAAAAGAGAGAAGATCCAAGTAAGCTCAATTAGAAATGCAAAGGGAGATATTACAACCAATACAATGGAAATACAAAAGATCATTCAAGGCTACTATATATACCTTTATGCGCATAAACTAGAAAACCTAGAAGAGATGGATAAATTCCTGGAAATAAGCAAGCCTTCTAGAATAAACCAGGAAGAAATAGAAACTCTGAACAGACCAATAACAAGCAGCGAGATTGAAATGGTAATTTTAAAATTGCCAACAAAAAAAGTCCAGGACCAGACAGATTCACAGCTGAATCATATCAGACTTTCAAAGAATTGGGGCCGGGCGCGGTGGCCCACGCCTGTAATCTCAGCACTTTGGGAGGCTGAGGTGGGTGGATCACTTGAGGTCAGGCGTTCAAGACCAGCCTGGCCAACATGGCGAAACCCTATCTCTATTAAAAGTACAAAAATTAGCCAGGCATGGTGGCATGCGCCTGTAATCCCAGCTACTTGGGCGGCTGAGACAGGAGAATCGCTTGAACCCAGGAGGCAGAAGTTGCAGTGAGCCAAGATCGCGCCACTGCACTCCAGCCTGGGCAACAGAGCCAGACTACATCTAAAAAAAAGAAGAAGAAGAAGAATTGGTACCAATCGTATTAACACAATTCTACAGGATAGAGAAAGAGGGAATCCTCCCTAAATCATTCTATGAAGCCAGTATCACCATAATGCAAAAACCAGGAAAGGACATAACAAAAAAAAAGAAAAAAGAAAAGAAAACTACAGACACAAAAATTCTCAACAAAATACTAGCTAACCAAATCTGACAGCGTATCAAAAAGATAATCCACCATAATCAAGTGGGTTTCATACCAGGGATGCAGGGATAATTTAACATATGCAAGTTAGTAAATGTGATACACCACATAAACAGAATTAAAAACAAAAATCACATGATCATCTCAATAGATGCAGAAAAAGCATTTGACAAAATCCAGCATCCCTTTATGATTAAAACCCTCAGCAAAATCAGCACAAAACAGACATACCTTAATGTAATAAAAGCCATCTATCTATGACAAGCCCTTAGCCAACATTGTATTGAATGGGGAAAAGTTGAGAGCATTCCCCCTGAGAACTGGAACAAGACAAGGATGCCCACTTTCATCACTTTTATTCAACATAGTATTGGAAGTCCTAACCATAGCAATCAGACAAGAGAAGGAAATAAAGGGCATCCAAATCAGTAAAGAGGAAGTCAAAGTGTTGCTGTTTGTTGATGTTATGATTACATGGCTAGAAAACCCTAAAGACTCATCCAAAAAGCTCCTAGATATGATAAATGAATTCAGCAAAGTTTCAGGATGCAACGTTAATGTACACAAATCAGTAGCACTGCTGTGCACCGACAGTAACCAATCTGAGAATCAAATCAAGAACACAACCCCATTTACAATTGCTGCAAAAAAATAAAATAAAATACTTAGGGATATACCTAACCAAGGAGGTGAAAGACCTCTACAAGAAAACTACAAAACACTGCTAAAAGAAATCAGAGATGACACAAACAAATGGAAACACTTTCCATGTTCATAGATGGGTAGACTCAATATTTTGAAAATGACCATACTGCCAAAAGCAATCTACAAATTCAATGCAATTCCCATCAAAATACCACCATCACTCTTCACAGAACTAGAAAAAAACAATCATAAATTTCATATGGATCCAAAAAGGACCCCACATGGCCAAGCAAGACTAAGCAAAAAGAATAAATCTGGAGTCATCACATTGCTTGACTTCAAACTACACCATAAGGCCATAGTCACCAAAAGAGCATGGTACTGATATAAAAATAGGCACATAGAACAATGAAACAAAATAGACAACCCAGAAATAAAGCCAAATACTTACAGCCAACTGAAAGCAAACAAAAACCAAAAGTAGGGAATGGACACCCTATTCAACAAATGGTGCTGGGATAACCAGGAAGCCACATGTAGAAGAAGGAAACTGGATCCTCATCTCTCACCTATACAAAAATTAACTCAAGATGTATTGGGGTGATCAGACCCAACACCAGGCCATAGGGGCGACGAAGTCTGGCAGAGTCAAAGGATTGAGAAAAAGACGGTTTGAGAAGGAAAGTGGGACCAGGGGGCCATCGGGATTGTGGAGGCTGTGGAGGCTGCGGAGGCTGCGGAGGCTGCGGAGGCTGCGAAGGCCCCGATCTCTGGGAGCCCATGCTATTTATTGGTAATTCAACAAAGAAACAGGTGGTGAGAATGTGGGGGTCAAAAGGGCAGGCGCATGGTCTACAGCTGTTCTTGGTTTAGCATTTATATGGAA
Source organism: Homo sapiens (assembly GCF_000001405.40). Taxonomy (NCBI): domain Eukaryota; kingdom Metazoa; phylum Chordata; class Mammalia; order Primates; family Hominidae; genus Homo; species Homo sapiens. The sequence goes on from NC_000003.12 coordinate 160,245,463, forward strand.
CAAGTTCTGCTACTTGAGATAATGGGAATACAATTGATCTAAGAGCGTAGGAGGGCTAGAAGCAAGGAGCCAGCCAGTCTAGACACATTCCAGAGGACATTATGTCAGACACACAAGCCCTGCCTCAGTTTTTTTCCCCAACACTCAGCTTTTTCCCAACAAAGATGGATCAAGGACTTAAATCATATCTCAAGACCTGAAACCATAAGAATTCTAGAAGATAACATCGGAAAAACCCTTCTAGAGATTGGCTTAGGCAAAGATTTCATGACCAAGAACCCAAAAGCAAATGCAACAAAAATAAAGATAAATAGATGAGACTTAATTAAACTAAAAGGCTTCTGCAAAGCAAATGAAACAATCAGCAAACAGACAATCCTCAGAGTGAGAGAAAATTTTCACAATCTATACATCTGGCAAAGGACTAATATCCAAAATCTACAAGGAACTCAAACAAGTCAACAAGAAAAAAACAAACCACCCCATCAAAAACTGGTTTAAGGACATGAATAGACAATTCTCAAAATAAGATATATAAATGGCCAACAAACATGAAAAAAATGCTTAACATCACCTATGATCAGATGTGGTTCAAAACCACAATGCGATACCACCTCACTCCTACAAGAATGGCCAAAAAAAAAAAGATGTTGGAGTGAATGTGGTGAAAAGGGAACATTTTTACACTGCTGGTGGGAATGTAAACTAGTACAGCCACTATGGGAAACAGTGTGGAGATTCCTTAAAGTACTAAAAGTAGTTCTACCATTTGATCTAGCAACCCAAACTGGGTATCTACCCAGAGGAAAAGAAGACATGATATGAAAAAGATACTTGCATACTCATGCTTATAGCAGCAGAATTCACAATTGTAAAAATATGGAACCAGCCTAAATGCCCATTAATCAACAAATGGATAAAGAAAATGTTTTATATATATATATATATATTTTATATATATATACACACACATATATATCTATACACACACACACATATATATATGTGTATATATATATATATATATATATATATACATCTCCATGGTATGTATGGTATTCCATGGTGTATATATATGTACATATATATACACATATATATACACACATATATATAATATATAAACTCTCAAAAAAAAAGAAGAAAGGAAAAAAGATCTATTACTCAATAACTTGTGTGAAAATGTTCATAACACCTTTACTTATAACAGCCCAAGCAAAAGTAGATACCACCCAAATGTCTACCAAGTGATGAATGGATAAATAAACTGTGGCATATAAATATGGTGGAATATTATTCAGCAATAAAAGAAAGAACTGATACATGCTACATGGATAAACCTCGAAAACATTGTGCTAAGTGTAAGAGGCCAGTTACAAAAGACCACACATTGTATAATTCCATTTAAATTAAATGCCCAGGAGGGGAAAATCTGTAAAGAGAGGAAGTTGATTAGTAGTTTCCTAGGGCTGGGTGGGGGATAGGGGAGGAGACGAGGATTCACTGCTAATGGGTACAGGGTTTTTTGGGGTTTTTTTGTGTAATAGAAATGTCCAAAATTGATTAAAAATATTTTTAATAAAAATAAAATTACAAAAGTGATATTTAAACACACATTGGAGAAAATTCAGTCTTAAAATCTGTCCTTTATCTCACTACACTGAGATACTCCAATGAACTATAACCTTCCAGTCTTTTTTGTTTACATTTTCAACTCAAGTAATAACATATATATCTTCCTTTAAAAAGAAGGAAGGAAAGAAAGAAGAGAACATTACAACAAAGTCCTCTCTACTACCTTGGTCCTCAATCGCTGCCTACTCCTCTAAATTGAGATTTAACCAATGTTTGGTAAGTATATTTCCAGAATTTTCTCTGCATATTTTTGCTTCACGTGGATGTACCCAGAGTAAATGTATAGTACTGTTTTGCACCTAAGGTTTTTATTTATGTGCAATGTAATCATTTGGTAGCTTCATGTAACCATCACCACAATCAAGACACAGAACTGTTCTATCATCACAGGGCTTTCTGGTGCTACCTTTTAGCCTTAGAGCCACATCCATTCTCCCTCTCACCACTTCTTAACTTCTGGCAACCACTAATCTGTTTTCCATCTTACTATTTTTTCTTTCAAGAATGTTATATAAATGGACTCATACAGTGTATAACCTTTTGAGATTGCCTTTCTCACTTGGAATAATTCCCTAGAGATCCACCTAGGTTGTTGTGCCGGTTGTTTTCTTTTTACTACTGAATAGTGTTCCATGATATAGATGTACCATAGTTTGTTGAAGCATTCACTCATTGAAAGATACTTGAGTTGCTTTCAGTTCTTGGCTATTAAGAGTTGAGCTACTACAAACATTTGCATACAGCTTTTTACTTGAACATAAGTTTCCATTTCTCTGGGATAAATGCCCAAGAGTGCAATTGTTTGGTCATATGGTAAGTGCATGTATAGTTTTGTAAGAGACTGTCATATTTGTTTCCATAATGGCTATGGCATTTTTATATTCCCACCAGTAAAATGTAAGTGATCCAGTTTCTCTGCGTCCTTGCCAGCATTTGTTATCACTGGTTATTTCAGTCATTCTGATTGGCATGGTTTTAATTTGCATTTCCCTAATTGCTAAGCTATGGAGCTTCTTTTCATGTGTGTATTTGCCATCTGTATATTCTCTGTGGTGAAATGTCTGTTCATGTCCCTTGACCATTTTCTTATTGGATTGCTTATTTGTTTTTTATTATTAAGATTTGATAGTTCTTGGTAAGTTCTACATGCAGGTCCTTTGTCGAATAGGTGGTCCACATATTTTCTCCCATCTTTTTTTTAAGGTCAGTGTTTATTTTTATTGAAGTTATACATGCACATATTTAAGTAGGCAAATACTTCTATAAGGTTTGTTGTGAAAAACAGTAGTACTGGATCCGTTCTTCTCAACCTTCCCCTCTGCAGAAACAATCACTTTCAGCTCTTTTAGTTGGCTCTTTTGGTATTTACCTTAATGCATCTATTAATAAATAACATGCTTATTATTTACCAATGGTGGGGGAACAGTATCTATTGTCTCTCCACTATGAAAAATGAAGATTTAGCCTTTTTTACCCTTCCTTTCATCCCAAGCCCATGTATATATCCGAATTTTCACTCCAATTCCTCCAAAACAAATCTATAATCTCATATTCACAACTTAAGAATTGCAAATTTATGAACTACAAAAAGTTTTTTCATAACTGACCCAATCTGAACTCATTTGGCAGCAAAACCTGAAGAAAAGCTAGAAAACTTGAAAAGAAGCTACTATCTTTATTTATACCACTTAATGTAAATATTCGTGTGTTACACGGCAGAAATACTGATGTGTTTAGGGAATGATCGCTGCGACCCTGCTGGGGATGTTCTGTAACAAACGCATAGTGTTATCAAGAACTTTGGAATACACACCATTTTTCTTAAACAGATTTGAATTCTGAAACAGATTTGACCCAGGGGTTTTATATGTGGGATTGTGGACCTGAATAGTAATTATTTGGTTATATAAATATTCAGTGTTTAGTTATTATGACTATTAAATAGAATCTATTCACAAGCAAGTCATGTTATGATGATGATCATTAATGTCAAAACCATACAGAATTATTTTTATAGATTAGCACATTTAAATTACAGAGGAATAACATAAGCTCCTCTAATAGGAATTTATTTGATGTTTTTCCTGTGTGTTTTTTTGCAGAAGTTTAAATTGAGCACCACTTCTTTGGGGTGTTTGTGCAAATCTCATCTTCTCAGTGACACCTTCCCATTACACCCTATTTATTGATTTATTTTTAATGTTGATTATTTTATTAATATTGTTATTATTAGCATTACCTATTCTTTTTTCGACTTTATTTTTAAATTAAAAAAAATTCAATAGCTTTTGGATACAAGTGGTTTTTGTATAATTGTATAATTGGTGAAGTCTGAGATTTTATTTTATTTTTGTTTTGTTTTGTTTTGTTTGTTTGTTTTTTGTTTTTTGGAGACGGAGTCTCGCTCTGTCATGCCCAGGCTGGAGTGCAGTGGCACCATCTCGGCTCACTGCAACCTCTGCCTCCCGGATTCAAGTGATTCTCCTGTCTCAGCCTTCCAAGTAGGTGGGATTACAGGCGCCCGCCACCATGCCCGGCTAATTTTTGTATTTTTAGTAGAGATATCGTTTCACCATGTTGGCCAGGCTCGAACTTCTGACCTCAGGCAATCCGCATGCCTCGGCCTCCCAAAGTGCTGGGATTACAGGCATGAGCCACTGCGCCCAGCGGACGTCTGAGATTTAGTTCGCCCATCATCTGACTACTGTACATTGTACTTAGTAAGTAGCTTTTTTCCTCAGCCATGTTCCACCCTCCCCTTCCTGAGTCTCCAGAGTCCATTATATCACTCTGTATGCCTTTGCACAGTACACCCTGTTTAAAATGACATTCCCCCATCATCTTCCTATCTCCTTCTTGTGCTGTCTCTGTTTATTAATTCTGAAATACTATATTTTAAAATGTTTGTTTATAGTATGTCTTCTCCCCATACATACTCATTAAAATGTAAGCAGGAATATTTCTTTCTTCTCACTACTGTTTCTTTATCACCTAGAACAGTTCCCAGGCCACAGTAGGTGCTCAATAGTGACTTGGTTAATAAATGGATTTTGCTATTTGCGGTGTAGGTATTCATCAAGAATGAGGAAAGATCCTTTATTCATTGAAAACAAGTGCCAAAAAAAGGGATTTTGTCAACTTTTAATTATAAATGCTTCATTATTATAACTACTTTTCTGATAATTTTGACTGATTAATATTAAGTAGACTTAGAAGATAAAAAATTTCATTGCATAGCAGCTACTATCTCATATTGTCTTTTAAATTAAGGACAAATTGATTATAGTCCTGAACCTATTAATATAATCCTTTTAAAATTATGTTTTGTGCATTTTGTTGTTCATATTTGTATCTACCTTAAAAACACAGAAAATGAAGAGACACTAATATTATGTTAATGGTGTATATTGAAAGACAGGGCAAGAAACATTGGAAAATTAGCCATAGATTCTACTATTATTTTAATTCTCCAGCACAGTACAAATATTACTTAATCCCTACTCTATGAAATTACATCCTAGCATTTAATGCTAATCACTTGGAGGGTCTTGGCTTACAAACTCTATTGATGTTTTATAGAAGTAAACATTATTTGTTTACTCATTTACTGGCTAAATGAGTAGCCTTCTGGTACAGCCCTTGACTTGAAGACAAGAAAATACACTTTAGGTAGATATTTTATTGCTTCTTGACTGAGTCGTTTTAAACTCTCTATTTTGGCGATAATACTCTCAAAATGAAAAGGAGCTTAGAGCCACTACTTTATACTCAACTTACTAGGAAAATAATTTGTCATAATCATTTCCATGGAATTAAAATGTTTTTTCAATTAAAAGTACAAAAAATTTTAATGTGAAAGTTTCTTCACCATAGAAGATTATTAGAGTAAAAAAGAGTTTTAGATAATCTAGAACATCTGGAACTGCCTGAAAGCATGAATTGCTCTGAATTGTTTCAAAATGGTTGTTTTGAAGTGGTCTGTTTTAGAAATTACTACATTTAAAAATTTATGCATAGTGCATGCTGAGTGTATGATCCCCTGGGTTGCAAATGGCCAGGCAGTGATATTCCAGCAGCTCAAGCCAATTCACAGGGACAGAGTAACTTTAAAGTAAAGCAGACAGAATTTTTAAAAATTGACTTTGTTAGAGACTGTAAAAGGTTGGGAGAACCTCATAAATTTTCTGGCCCAGAGATCATTTACCACTGAGCAGAAGACACTGAAGATATACAAGCTAAGGACAAGAAGATGATGAGTCTTTCCAAAAGAGCTGCTGCGTGTCCTTCTTTGGTTTCCAGATGGTTCTAAAAGAAATCCTGACAAGTGATTTTCACAAAATCCTACCCACAAATTAACAAGGAGTTCTTGGTAAATAACATGAATCCATACATTGTTATTGCTGCATATTACCTCTTAATGCTATGTACATTGTAAATTCTGAATTTTGTCAGTATAAGGATTAATAAGGAAAACGTATTTGAGGTATTTCTCCAAACAGGATTTATGTAGCATGCTTCATTTTCAGAAAGGTATATATTTTCTATATGTACAAAATGACAGACATTTGAAGACTTTCTTCAATAGGGACACATGGAAATATTTTATTATAGTAAACCATTTCCTAAGGTATATTTGCTTTACAACTTGTTTAAAATTTAGGTTCCATATTATATACCATACCCTCTATACCAAAACATTTTTTTGGATCATCATATTTCAGAAATATCATTAGTTTGTAACAGGGTCAGGTCCTAAGCATTCTGGATAAACAATCTTCTCTGTTTGATATGTTTATGAAATATACGAAATGTTTATACCTACATACAAAAGCACTAAGTTGTATCAAACCCTTCTAAAATGTAAAAAAAAAAAATTGGCTTTAAACCAACTGAAAACCTTCTACAATAGATACTTTTTAAAGCATAAGACAAAAGCACATACAAGTGCAACATTGGATATGACTGAGGGAGTGACTTCCGTCACTGATTCACAGAAACTCGGCTTGGGAACAGAAAGAATGAATGGGTGGGGGATGAGGAATCTGGTTTCTTGATGACTATCTAATAACTAATACCTAATGAGACTGCACTGTGCTGCAATCAGTTACCAAAGGTAAAAATTATCAGTGGAATTTAGAAATGGTGGTAGACTCAACTCCAAAGGAAGGCGATCATTTGAATTATAAACCAAAATGTATCTGAGACAGGTCTCAATCAATTTAGAAAGTTTATTTTGCCAAGGTTAAGGACGCCCCTGTGACACAGCCTCAGGAGGTCCTTACACGTGCCTAAGGTGGTCAGTGTACAGCTTGCTTTTACACATTTTAGGGAGACATGAGACACAATCAATATGTGTAAGATGTACATTGGTTCCATCAGGTAAGGAGGGACAGCTTGAGGCAGGGGCTCCCAGGTCATAAGTAGATAAGAGACCAAAGGTTGCATTATTTTGAGTCCTTTGATCAGCCTTCCACTGAATACACAGTTTAGTCTTGCTCAGTGAATCTGCATTTTTACATAAACGATAGGGGAGAAATATGGGATTTCTGCAATCAGATACGCATTTGTCTCAGGTGAGCCTCAGAGGGATGACTTTGAGTTGTCTTTTGTCCACAAGGAATTTCCTTGTGGGCAAATTGTGAGGGAGGTATGTAGCTTTTTCTTTTTGCAACTATCTTACTTAGGAATAAAATGGAAGGCAGGTTTGCCTGACATAGTTCCCAGGTTGACTTTTCCCTTGGCTTAGTGATTTTGGGGTCCCAAGATTTATTTTCCTTTCACAGGGGACATAAAGAAACACAAAATAAAAAGAAATATAGTAAACATACAATCCCTTGGCTGTATCTATAATAGCTAAAGTTGAGAGTGAAAGAAAATGCTAGGGTGGATGTTGACCTTGAACCAAACTCAGATTTTGGTAAGTCTCAGCTATGGCCACTAGCCTCAGGCAACCCCCAAAAGGAACAATTATGCTAGGACAACAGAAGGTAGCTCTGGTCAGCTAGAGGGTACTTCATGTTGTGGGAGGGCAAACCCATAAAACTACTGAAATCAGTAGGTATAGTGTGAAGGAGCTGTTTCATTTCGTGGATAGTTATCAGCCTCCTGAAGAATCTTTACCAAAGTGGACTGTGAGAGTATCTAATTTAGGGGAAGTACCTTTGGTTTTGAATGCTGCAATGCAGAAGATTATGAGATTATGTTTAGGTTGATACAGGACCCACAGCTCACTATGGAACAATCATAGAAGGTTGTATGTGATCCAGACACACAGCAGGGTTATTCCAGAGGGAAGAGCTGGCTTGGTGGACTGGATAAAAGCCACTGTAAAGAGTGTATTTACCTTGAGAAGGACTTTCTGATTCTCTCTATAAATGTCAAGTGAAATAGCCCAGATGAAGCAGCTGATATGCTTTGTATGCAAACCACTGAAACTGGCTTTATGATTATCAGCATATTTATCTACTGAATATGGCCATTACCCAGTCATGGTAAATGCTGTTATTAAAGGGACCCCTTTTGCAAAGGCACCCCATGTAAACTTACTCTTACAGAATTCAACAACAGAGAAGGCTTATTGGATTTTCTGTCTCTGCTTTTTGATGTGGGTCATAAAGATATCAAGAACATTAATTAACAAGACAATGAGAAGAGACAGCAGAAACAAAGGATTCATTCCAGCAGGGTGGAAATTTTTAGATGGTTATTAAGAAATGAGATGAATAAAATGGGCACTGATGGGTTGAAATAAAGATCTTAATATAGCACTATAGAAGGTCGGGTGGACCAATGGGACCCCCTCTCCTGGGCCTCCAACATTAAAAGGACTCCTAAAAGTCTGCTTTATTTATCCCAGTTTGGAGGAATGTTTTTTTTTTTGTTTTTTTGTTTTTTGTTTTTAATAGAGACAGGGTCTCATTATATTGCCCAGGCTGGTCTCAAACTCCTGGCATCAAGCTATCCTACCATCTTGACCTCCCAAAGTATTGAGATTACAGGCATGAGGAGACTGACCTTGTATGGAAAATGCTGTAACCCTGTTAAACTTCTTTGTCTCTGCTTTTATAAAGGAAACCTTAACTTCTCCACTTTAGAGCACTGACCCCATTCCTTTGGAATCTGTGTTTTCCGGGTGGCTATCCTCGAGCTTTTCAAACTCTATACTTAATCTTATTTTCTAAATCTAATGATTTGAGTTTGACAACAGTAAAACAAGCCAAGTAAATCCACCCATCAAGCCATATTTATTGGACAGGATAAATGAGGATGAATGAGATTCCCAACCCCACACAGTCCATAATAGAAGCTGGAGTGTTGGTCTGGACAAACTCTTGGTGTAATCACCCTGCATAGAGCAGAGGGCTTCTGCAAAAGCCCATGAGTGCCTCACAGAAACAATGACTGGACCATTTAGATGTTGGACTAGAGAATTCCCATTTGAGGGGCAATTAATAGCTTGCTGTCAGACATTAATTGAAACTGCCTCTATGACTGAAGGACATAAAATAATTTTGAAAACTGTAATATCCATCATATCTTGGTTGATGTCAGAGAAACACTAATGAGGAAGAAAGTGTTTGGAAGCGCTCCATAATAAAGTGGAAATGATTTGTATAGGAATACATACTGGGGGGATGTAGTGTACTCATCAGCTGGTAGACACTTTTCCCCTAGGACTGCCTTTGGAAGCCCCCAAGGAGCTGCCAGATTCTGTCATCACTTGGACAATATGCCATAAACAGCTCGTTTGATCAATAAATAGCTGTTTGGTTTATGGATAGCAGTTCCAATGTGATCAGACAACATCATTACTCTGATCAAAAAATGTAAAACAAAAAAAAATTTTTTTTTTTGAGACAGCATCTTGCTCTGTCATCAGGTTGGAGTGCAGTGGCATGATCATGGCTCACTGCAGCCTCTACTTCCCTGGCTCAAGCAATCCTCCCTCTTGAGCAGCTCGGACTACAGGTGCATGCCACTACGCCTGGCTTTTTTGTAGAGATGGGGTTTCATCATGTTGTCCAGGCTGGTCTCAAACTCCTGGGCTCAAGCAATTCCCCTGCCTCAGCCTTCCAAAGTGCTGGGATTACAGGCATAAGCCAGCGCACCCAGAGTAGAATGTAAAAACAAATCAGCTTGGTGGGCTCTATTGCATGCTATTTATTCTTATGTTTGGGTTTCTACATACTCATTGGCGGTGGCCAGTGGCCTGGTCATATGGTCAGGCAGAAGAGCAATGGAGATTGGTCTATTAAAGGGATGCCCTTACACGGCATGGCCCTGTGGAAATCATTATGGGAATCTGAGTGGTGCATTAACGTAAGACATGTCAGTGCTCATAAGAGGACCTCCCTTCCAGCATCAAAAGGTGATTGGAGTCCATGAGCAGATATCCAGTTTATTCACTTGATATAACCACCTGGGTCCATAAAATGACTCTGGGGGAGCTGCAGCAATACATAGATGGCGTGAATATAGACATGCTCGTCTTACATCTTCTGAGGAAAAAACTACCAATAAAAATTGTTCTGTCTGCCAAAAAGAGAGACAGAGACTCCAGATAGACGGCCAGGGGGCAGATTTCCCAGGGAGAAGGCCCTACACATAGAGAACAACTTACACTGATGCCAGTGGCCAGTGGCCATCGGCGAGCTACAAGTGGGTCCTGACAGGAGTAGGCACTCTGGACTGGGCTTTGCTTACACAGGGAGAGATGCAAATACTTAAGAGTATCAGTTATGCCCAGTCAGGTATGATCCTTTTACTATAAAAGATCCTGGGTCAAAGACAAGGGTGTGGTCTGTGATAATCAAAGAATATATATGGTCTAGTGAAGGAGGGTTCCTGGCACAGATCTCCCAAAGTCCTTGGAATTTCCTGAGTGATAAGAATATCTTCATTATGCTAAGAAGGTGACTACTAGGGGAGAGTCTAGATAGCTTCAGAATGGGGGTGGTTGCCAGAAAAACTGACCACGTAATTAGAGTTTAAGCCACTAGACCTCTGGGCGGAGGAGGGGGCTGGAGACTGAGTTTAATTGCATGGCCAATGTTTTAATCAATTATGCCCATGTAATGAAACCCTAATTTAAAAAGAACTAACGAAACTTCAGAAAAGTAAGGCTCGGGGGAGCTTCCTAGTGGGTGAACACATTGATGTGCTAGGAAGATGACATGCCTCGATTCCACGAGGAGAGGACATGGACGTTCTATGTTCCCTCCACGTTCCCTCCCCCAACTTTTTCCCAGACCATGCATGTCTTCCATGTGGCTGTTCTTGAGTTCTATCATTTTAATAAAACTGTAATTGTAAGTAACGTGTTTCTGTGAGTTCTGGGAATCTTTCTAGCAAATTATCCAACTTAAAGTGGGGTTGAGGGAGCCTCCAAATGTGCAGCCAAGTCAGACACAAGTGTGAGTAGCCTGGGGACTCTGATTGTGGCTGGAGTCTAAAATAAGGGCAGTCTTAGGGCAGGTGCGGTGGCTCATGCCTGTAATCCCAGCACCTCGGGAGACCGAGGAGCACGGATCACTAGAGGTCAGGAATTCAGGAGTTTGAGACCAGCCTGGCCAACATGGTGAAACCTTGTCTCTACTAAAAATACAAAAATTAGCTGGGTGTGGTGGTGGGCACTTGTAATCCCAGCTACTTAGGAGGCTGAGGCACTAGAATTGCTTGAACCCGGGAGACGGAGGTTGCAGTGAGCTGTGATGGGGCCACTGCACTCCAGCCTGGGTGACAGAGCCAGACCCTGTCTCAAAAAATAAATAAACAAATAAATAAATAAAGGCAGTCTTTTTGGGAACCTTGCCCTTTAACTTGTGGGATCTGTTTCTAATTCTAGGTAGTTAGTGTTAGAATTGGATTGAATTCTAGGATATGAGAGAATTGTTTAGAACACAGACTTTTTATTTTTTGCATTTATTGTGGTAAAATATACATAACATAAAACCTTTTAACCATTTATTTTTAAACATTTTAAGCTTCTTATTGAAATATAACAATATAGGAAACACATACACAGTACAACTTGTAAGTACACTGCTCAATCAGATTTCATCTGGATCAAGAACAGAATATTCCAATATTCCGGAAAAGAAAAGAAACATGTTAAAAAGAAAAGATTTTTATTTAAAAAACCTAGACATAGTAATTAAAATGGGGGTTAAGAGAGGTAATCTCTCTATCCCTTTGTGTGTGTGTGTATATATATATATATCATACATAATCCCATATCTATGCATCTATACCCACCCTATAATGTACCATTTTCAGAAATGGGTTTGCAGAAGACTTTCTAAGGGGTATTTGTTTTATTGTTTAAAAGATTATGTGGTAATAACTTTGGGATACACTAAATAGAGTAATCAAACAAGTTTGTCACCCAAGGAAATTTTCACAAATTCAGACTTCAGGGCCTATTGACTGATCATTCTCAAGTCAAGAGAGGAATGAGGAGAATCCTTCTTGCCCATTCTAGATATATTTTTTAAATTATGATAAAATATACATAACAAAATTTACCATTTTAACCATTTTTATGGGTACAATTTAGTGGCATTAACATTCAAAATGTTGAGCAACCATCATCGCTATCCATTTCCAGAATTTGTTCATCCCAAACAGAAACTATGTACTCGTTAAACAATAACCCCACCCCCCATTTCCTCCTCCCTGCAGTCCCTGGCAACCACTATTCTCCTTTCTGTTTCTGTGAACTTGCCTATGCTGGTACCTCATAAAAGTGGCATCATATTTGGCCTTTTGTGTCTGGCTTATTTCACTTAGCATAGTGTTTTCAAGGTTTATCCTGAGGTAGTATTTATCAGAATTTCATTCCTTTTTAAAGCTAAATAATATTCCATTGTATGTATTATAGCACATTTGTTTATCCATTCATGATAGACACTTGAGCTGTTTCCATCTTTTGCTATTCCAGTAATGCTGCTATGAACTTGGTGTATAAATAGTGGCATTTTATACATTTGTACAAATCCATCCTCATGTATTTTTGTTCTATAAATAAACTTTTGGAGGCATTTTACAATTTAGAGGTCAAATAGAAATTAATGGTAACATACATTTCAAAGAGTCCAATGTTTTATTATCGACATTAATATTTGTTCATGCTGAAGATTTAGGGATGAAGTAATGGGCAAAAAACTGACATATAATCGACACTACACAGGTATCTCTTAAGTACATAGTAATATTTTGCTAATTATTGGACTAAAAAATATAAAAGATAGAAATACATCAATTACTTTGTGTTTCATCTTTCTGCATGTACTTTTACACTAAATACACAGCAAGTACTTATACTCGGTTAAAGATTATGCTTTTTTCTTTAGCAACCAAAACATGCTTACCCTTGGTTAATCAGAACGTGTTTCAAAAGATAAAATTTCTTAAAGATACGCATGGCATTTAGGGCTTTAAACCTATACTCTTGCTGGATTGGCTGCTTGATGATTGCTCTCTTTCTTTTGTAATTTCCATCTCAATTTTGGCTTTGATTTTCTCCCAATCTATTTGGAGCTGCAATAGAAAAAAAAAAGAAGAAATATGCTTAGATAGTGTAAGACATTTTTGTTTACTCCAAAGTAACTAAGAGTAAACAGATAGACTGTGTGACTTCCAAAAGATTAGAGAAAAAGAGAGCATCAAAAGATTAGAGAAAAAGAGAGCATCAAAGTTAAGAAGAAGAAATAATGCTTGGCCAGGCATAGTGGCTTACTCCTGTAATCCCAATAGTATGGAAGGCTGAGGTGGGTGGATTGCTTGAGTCTAGGAGTTTGACAACATCCTGGGCAACATGGCAAAGTTCCGAGATGGGAAAATAAATACAAAAAATAAAAAAAGTAGCTGGGTGTGGTGGCACACACCTGTAGTCCCAGCTATTAGGGAGGCTAAGGTGGGAGAATCAACTAAGCCCTCAAGGTCAAGGCTGCAGTGAGCCGTGATTGCACCATTGCACTCCAGCCTGGGTGACAGAGCAAGGGCCCTGTCTCAAAAAAAACAAAAACAAATAATGCTCAAAAACCACAAAGTAGTTTTAAGAATAAGACCAAAAAATAAGAATTATATAATAAAAAGCAAAGACTCTCATTGTGATTTAAAAGACCAAAATCTAGTCACAGCTATTTATAAAGGTACATCTAAACAGTCCCATGGAGCCTTAGGATTGTGTACACGTGCTCAGGGACAAGGTAGGGGATGAGATGGACCGCTGTCTTCCAAACGAGGAAAAAGTGGACCGGACTCTGGTTACCAAGCCATTTTTCAAATAGGCTTCACATCTTATATACTGCAGTTTCCACTGGAAGCCTAGTTATGAGGAAAGACAGGGATTCATTAGCTTCCCCTAAGCATATTCTGTGAAAGTGGCTCCTTTGCACCAACTCTTAAAGTAAGACATGGTGGTCATTAAGACAATGAGGAAAAGATGTTAGAGAAAGCGAAGGGAAAGCAAGACTGGGAAACACATGAAAAGAATAACTGCAAAGTGCAAACATTTTTATTTGTTTGCTTCCCTTCTATCCGTTATGCAGTCTCCCCTCCCCTAGCCCAGCCCTATTCCTCTCTTAAGTTCATTAGACTTGTTAGGAATAGACTCTGCCCCTGAGTTCTATGAGCAACTTCTTTAGGAAAGCACATTCTACCAGTTAACAAAGTTTGGAGATCACTAATTTAGGAATGTTTATCCTTTCTGAGGCAAGACATGGAAAAAATTGGGTCATAGATTAAACTAACTCTGATTTACAGGAAATAAATCCAAACCCCTGAGTCTGGGCCAAAAGTGAATAGGTTTTCACCTCTGTTTAGGGGAGTTGAATGGAATAAGTAGTATTAAAGCAGAATGAAGTAATCTCAGTCTGCTTGAACAGATTTAGCTTAAGTAAGTGAGGGGTTAATTTAACTTTAATAGGACTTCATGCCTCTTTTATGCTGGAGGTTAAAGAAATTAAGTATTTTTTTTAATTCCAATATCCCATACCTGAATTGCTGTGAAGCAATTTGTAAATATTTTGGCTCACCTTTATTTAAAATAACAATGCCATATACTTATGTATAATACATAAAATAGATGAATTAATAAACGAATTCCTCTCACTCATAGAAGACAAATGTCTGTGCTAAGATGCAAGTGACAGCTCATTGAAAAGCCAAGCAGATGTTAGATTATTTGAAAGACTCATTTTTTCAATCAGGGCAAAATCTGATATTTTTTAAACGGCAAAGCACTCATTTCTATGTCTAACAAAACACTTATAGAGAAGACGAAACTTGATGGATGCTTTGGGTTTCTTCCAGCCTTAAATTGACTTACATACATTTCTCAAATCAATCACAATAAAACCATACATTGATAATATACTGAACAACTGCTGCTCTGTTGCAAGTAAATTGATGATATCTGTATTAGTTATTTGTTATAATACAAATCAGGGTGTCAGTGGATAGCTGTCCTACTGAAAATAAATGTTTCACTTTCGCTTTGGCATTGATCTAGTTTTAAAAAGTGTTCTACAGATAATTTAGTTCGTGGATTAGAATATTTTTAATAGTAGGTTTTAGATAAGAATGTTCTCTGATAGTTGTCAAGTGATTTCTACACTAAAATCCATCTTTTGCTAGTATAGGGACTGCCAATATTATCTGGCACTCCTTATTCTACTCGCTAGCCAATTCTTAGTCACCTATAAGCAATTTCAAAATCATACCAAAAGGCTCTCCATCCTCTAACACATTTCTCTTTCTCTTCCTCTCAGCTGAAGATCAGCTTCCTACTTTACAGAGAATATAGTGGCCATGAGGTATGAATTCACTTTATTTTCCTTCCTTGCATTCACGAACTTACCTGTATCTACACCCATCATTATCTTTCTCTTCCGTCTCAGGCCAACCTCTTAACATATGTCTCTGATTCCATTTTCTTTGACTCCTCTAGGACATCTGACTTCAATTATTCCTCACACATTAAATGTCCTTCTTTTCACTGACTCGCTCTCATCATCCTTGGCTCTCTATGCTGTCTTCTCCCTGCAAGCTACCATCCTTCTTCTTCTCATTCCTGACTCTCATTCTCTTCCCTGTCCACTATAATTCTGATCCTGTGACACTTTAAGAACTTTGCACTAAAACCACCTTCGGCTGTTTTCAGTCCTTATCTTATATACCTTCTCTGTATGATTCAATTTTTCATTCAACAAATATTTAGTGCTTAGTATATATCAAGGATTGTCTGAGGTACAAGGATTCACCAGTGAACAAAAAGATAGAAATCACTGTCTTCATAGAGAGATAATAAACAAAGATAAAAATGGAAAGGGCAGATAATAAACAAAACAAAAAATATATCTAGTATGCCAGAAGCGGTAAAGATTTTGAAAATAGAGAAGGGAGATAGTGAGCACCAGGAATAGAATAGGAGGTTGCAATGTCATCAGTTTACTTCACGGGAGGCCAAGGCAAGAGGATTGCTTGAGCCCAGGAGTTCAAGACCAGCCTGGGCAACATAGTGAGACCCTGTCTATACAAAAAAATAAAAAATTTAGCTGGGCTTGGTGGCATTCATCTCTAGTCCCATCTACTTAGAGGGCTCAGGTGAAAGGATCGCTTGAGTCTGGCTATGTTGAGGCCACAGTAAGCTGTCATTGTGCCACTGCACTCCAGCCTGGGCAACAAAGTGAGACCCTGTCTCAAAAAAAAAAAAAAAAAGGGGGACCTGAAGGAGATGAGTGAGACCCATGTGTATATCTGGAGAAGGGCATGGTGACATGCAGAAGTACACGGACGGCCCTGGAATAAGAGCCTTCTCTGGACCTTGCTGACCACTGCTCTTTGAAAAATCTCTCAAGACTGTATAATACCATTCTCTTCTGGCTCCTGCTCTCCTTTCTAAATGCTGCTTCTTTCTTTCTCTCTCTTTTTTCCCTATATTCTGCTCCCTAGACAATGTTGGAGAAGAAATATAATTTCTCCTCAACGCTTGTAAGTTTATTGATGGGAGAGATAGGTGAAAAGAGAAAAACAAGCCGGTTCAATAATATGTGCAGTGTACATCACAGCAGGAGAAATCTCAATGAAAGGTAACTCAAAACAGTGTCTTGGAACTCTGGGTTACATAGCATTTTCAACAAAGAACAATAAATTTTAAAGATGTGACAAGACTGTTTTTAGAGAAGTGAAAACAGTTTTAGGCTTCCAGAGATTGGAAACCATGGGAAAAAAATATATGGGAAGAAACTAATCAGGTGAGGTTTGTTCTATTTTTGAGACAGGGTCTTGCTCTGTCACCCAGGCTGGTGTGTGGTGGCCCAAACATGGCTCACCGCAGCCTCAACCTCCTGCTGGGACCACAGGTGTATGCTACCACACCTGGCTAATTTTTTAAATTTTTTTAGAGACAAGGTCTCACTTTGTTACCCAGGCTGGTCCTGAACTCTTGGGCTTGGCTTACATGATCCTCCTGCCTTGGTCTCCCAAAGTGCTGAGATTACAGGGGTGAGCTACCACGCCCAGCCACGGAGTAAGGTTTTTTGGTAGATTGCTCTGGAGTCGTCCCTGAGCTGACAAGAGTTGTCTCTAGTAAAGGAGAATTTATATTTTGTCTTTAGGAGGAAAAGGGGGAGAATAGAGCTCTTCCATTTGCTGCAGCTTGTCTTTAGCTCAAAAATATAAGTGTCAAAGAGACATATTTTGGGGTGTCATATTTTGGTTTCCTTCAACAACCTCTTAACTGTTAATATTCACCAGGGTCCAACCATAGCTTTCTAACACTTTCCCTAAGAAATATCAATTCATATAGCTTCAACTATACCTAGATGGTCAAGGCAATAAATTTAGTTTTCTAGCCCTTATTTCTCCCTTGTCAATGTCCTTTTGTGTTCATATTTATATTTCTAATTGCCTGCTAGATACCTCCTTCTGGACACCTGATAGACACTCTAATCACATACAAAATGGTATATTTTCATGTATTCAAACTCAAAGGTCCAAAATGTGTATATTCTTATGTATTCTTTAGATTAATGGCATTCCCATCTATCAGCTGCCCACACTAGAAATGTTGAAGTCATTCTCAAATGCCCTGCCTTACCTCACCACCTCTCCTCCCACCCCCAGTCACCACAACTGTTCTCTTAATTTTACTTCTAAAATTTTTCTTAAATTAATCGTACCCTTTCCATTTCCTAATGGGATTATTATAGTAACTTCCTAACTAGTCTCCTACTCACCACGCTCGCCTCTAAGCTATCTTTCACGTCTGATGTTATCTTTCAAGTCATTCTCTTGATTACAAATCTCCAAGTCTTCCCATTGCCTTCATTACGAAGTCTATTCTCTTATCCTGGTATTAAGACCTTTCAATGACTTTTCCCAACCAGTATTCCAACCACCCAGGGTCCAGAGCAGTCACTCAGGATTCTTCCTCATTCATTCAATAACTCGTACGTTTGCTCTTATTTTCATCTCCTTCAAGTGACTGGCAAAATCTTAAGATAATTTTGTAAAAACTGTTGTTTCCATTTATTTTTAGGAATCAGGATTTTATTTTATTATGTATTTCTTTATTTTTATTTTATTTTTTGTGGGGACGGAGTCTCACTCTGTTGCCCATGCTGGAGTGCAGTGGCGTGATCTCAGCTCACTGCAACCTCCAAATCCCAGGTTCAAGCAATTCTCCTGCCTCAGCCTCCCGAGTAGCTGGGACTACAGGTGCATGCCACCACGCCTGCTAATTTTTTGTATTTTTACTAGAGACGGGGTTTCACTGTGTTAGGATGGTCTCGATCTCCTGAACTTGTGATCTGCCCACCTCGGCCTCCCAAAGTGCTGGGATTACAGGCGTGAGCCACTGCGTCCAGCCTATTTATTTTTAATAGAGACAACGTCTCACTATATTGCCCAGGCTGGTCTTGAAATCCTGGGCTCAAGTGATCCTCCCACCTTAGCCTCCCAAAGTGTTGGGATTACAGGCTTGAGCCACTGCGCATAGCCAGGAATCAGGATTTTATATTTTTTGGGAGATGGAGTCTTGCTCTGTTGCCCAGGTTGGAGTGCAGTGGCGTGACCTCGGCTCACTGCAACCTCTGTCTCCTAGGCTCAAGTGATTCTCCCACCTAAGCTTCCAGAGTAGCTGGAACTACAGGTACATGCCACCATGCCCAGTTACTTTTTTTTTTTGGTAGAGACAAGATTTCGCCATGTTGCCCAGGCTGGTTGCTGAACTCTTAGACTCAAGCAATCCTCCCACCTCAGCCTCCCAAAGTGTTGGGATTACAGGAATGAGACTCTGTGCCTGGCCAGGGATCAGGATTTTATTTTATTTTATTTTTTGAGATGGAGTCTCATTCTGTGGCCCAGGTTGGAGTGTAGTGGCACGACCTCAGCTAACTGCAACCTCTGCCTCTGGTGCTCAAGTGATTCTCCCACCTAAGCTTCCAGAACTACACCTGCAGCTGGAACTACAGGTGCATGTCACCATGTCCAGCTAACTTTTTTTTTTTTTTTTTTTGGTAGAGACAGGGTTTAACCATGTTGCCCAGGCTGGTCTCCAAACTCTTAGACTCAAGTGATCCTCCCATCTCAGCCTCCCAAAGTGCTGGGATTATGGGTGTGAGCCACCGCACCTTGCGGAATCAGGATTTTAAAAGGAAAAAGTGATCATGTTATTGCCCTCCAATGGCTTCTCTTATTTAATTTGCCCTATGAAACCCTAAAGTCAATCCCTCCATTGCTTTTACTCTTTCCTACTTTAAAGCCTTCCCTCTCCTGGAACATGTTATTCTCATCTCCTACCCAACCTCTACCCTGCAGTGAGCTTCTACTATTCATCCTCTAAAGCTGAGTTCAAATATCATGCTCTTTGCTAGAACAGTCTCTGCTGATTGCCTCACCATAGGTCAGGACCCCCATTCATAAAGTCTTATAGCACCACGTACATCTCCTTCAAGGCAATTATCACAATTGAAATGAACAATTACCTAGACAACTGTCACCTCCATTTGAATATAAACTTCATAAAGCCAGGGCCAGTGTCTGTCACGTTTACTATTATATCCCAAGCACTAAGGAGAAAACACTGTCTACAGGAGGCACTCAATAAATACTGAATGAATAAAAGGTAAATAATTACCCAGCAAATCAGTAATCAGCTAACAACTCCTCACTATTAACAATTCCTCCAAACTTAAAACCTGTAAAGCAGCTTTTCGGTAGTAGCTAAGCCTAAAGTGGTTTGTCCTAAGTAGAGTGTTGACTCAGATCTTCAAAATTTTAAACTTTCTGAAATCCTGCTCATGAGTTTGATTTCTTTCACTCTTTTTCTTTTTCCTAGCAAATGTCTGAAGTATTTCCCAGATCTACTTTTCTTCTTGTGCAGAGTATATATTTAATATAATAAATGTATTCTTTGAGTGGATTTTATTTGCTAGATTTAAAATTTGTTTTATAAATATTTACAGAACACTATTGTAGACCAAGTACAATAACTCTAAATATCAGGGTTGTTGGAAAACAGTACTCCTTGTAAAAATCCCAGATTGCCATATTTTAAATTAGAAATGGCCAAATAACATTTCAGGGCTCATAAACTAAGTGTCTATCAAACTTCTCACTTCTTCCCTTATGGTAGATTCCATTCATTTATAAATTTCCAGATGGTATGCATTGTGAGCCCACCAAAATCACCAGATATCTAGAATAAATTTCTCAATGTTATTTTTAAAAGACCCCTTTCTATTTAACTCTTAGTTCTGAAATAAAGCATTTATATAATCATAAGTCTGGCAAAGATAAATATGGATGATATATTATGACTAGATTATAGACTTAAATGAAACCAAAAGGTCAGCAAGTAATGCAGATATCCCCAAGAGCTATTTTCCCAGGGTTACATTTTATTTCATTGGTGGGAAATTTTTAAGAAAAAAATAATTTTCATCATAAAATACTGCTTTATGATTTTTAGTTAACTCCAAATGACATTTATGAAGAAAAGTAGGAAACGAGAACATAGTACCATAGGGAGTCAAAGTAACCTATATAGTTTCTGGATGGAAAAAAAAAACCCTAAAATACCTAAGAAAGCCATGTTGTTCTGGTACTCTTATGATTAAAGTATTATATTTTGGTAACAGTTGAATATATGTATAATGAAAAAGATGATAAAGATGTTAATTTTTGCTATCTAAAATATAATTTTCTTCATAGTAAGGACTTTCTTTTCTTTCTCCTCCCCCCCCCTTCTTTCCTTCCTTCCTTCTCTCTTTCTCTTTTTTTCTTTCTCTCTTTTCTTTCATTCTGACAGGATCTCACTCTGTCACCTAGGCTGGAGTGCAGTGGCATGATCTCAACTCACTTCAGCCTTGACCTCCCAGGCTCAGGTGATTCTCCTACCTCTCCCAAGTAGCTGGGACTACAAGCATGAGCCACCATGTCCAGCTAATTTTTAAATTTTTTGTACAGATGGGATCTCACTATGTTGCCTAAGCTGGTCTCAAACTCCTGGACTCAAGTGATCCTCCTGCCTCAGCCTCCCAAAGTGTTGGGATTATAGGCTTGAGCCACCACACCTGATCAGAACTGTATTTCCTATGTTCTCAAAAGTATCAAATGTGAATATTGAAAAAATATTGATGGCGAGGAGGAAAAAGCAGAGTAGTTTAATCTGCTTTAAAATTATACAATAAACAAGGTGGGTGCTCAGTTTTAACATATGATCATATATTCAAAACTGTGACACAAAGATCAGATTACCTGACCTTTGTGTCACAGTTCTTTGGGCTGCTTAGCACTGTTTTGGTGGTGGCTGCTGTCATATATTATGAATCAGAGTGTAGCCCCAGAGATCCCAGGGATGCTGTGTTTGTCCTAATAGTAGAGTATGCCCAAACTCCCAGGATTCACTTCAGTACTAAGCAGGTTCCAAATGAAATCAAAAAAAGGTTTGTGGAGCTTCTAAAAAACATATCTCCTTTCTACCATGAAACCCACAACTTGTAGCTATCCTGGATCCAGATGTCGAAGTTGCACTGCTAAACTCTAAGAATGGTCTCAAAGGCCTCACTAACATGAAAATTGTTCTGAAGTGCAAAAATGTAGATCAAGACACTACGTATTCTAAATACAATAAGTAGATAATGTTGGCTTTAATAGAAATTGTGGGTGCCTTCTCTCTATCTTCTCTCCTCTTCCTAAGTCTCCTCTAACCCAGTCTGCCCCTATGATCAATCAGAACATTCCATTTTATTCTACACCAAGAAGGTATGCTCCCACATAATCTATAAGCTCCAAAGAGACATAAGAGGCTGTATCTGATTTTAACCCCTAGCATAGTGTCTAGGCCAGAGTGAGATATCATACATTTTTTGAATAAATGAATGAATAAAAGGCTAAAGAAAGTGGTTCACAGAGCTGAAAGAAAGGTCAGCCCTGTCTTGTAATCACAGCTCTTAGGAGTCAAGCTTCTTGGATCTATATGGCTAGTGACATGAGCTCTGTTTCTGCTGTCTGAGCCTAAAAGAATCTGGCTAAGTGGCTATAATCAGTTATGCTCTAGGCAATGGGGCAAACTCATTCTGGGTCTCCTTGTGGGCTGATCTATACTGGAATGACTTCCTTCTTTTTATTTTTATTTGTTTATTTAGAGGTGGGGTCTTGCTATGTTGCCCAGGCTGGCCTTGAATTCTTGGGCTCAAGCAGTCCTCCTGCCTCAGCCTCCCAAGTAGCTGGGACTACAGGCATGCACCACTGCATCCCAGAATGACTTTCTTCTAATTAGAGTAATAAAATCTGAGATTCTGGTAGGAGCCTGGAAGGCAAAGGCTGAGTCTTCTTTGGTTCTAGGTAGTGAAATCTACCTAGGCTAGGCACTTCTAGGAGGTGCAACCTAGCTTTCTAGAATTCTACAAAGTGACCAACTATGCATTTTCTGGTCAGTGCCCTCTGTGCATATATATTTCCCCTACAGCAGAAGAGGCAGCTTGTGGCAGGTGAAATTTAAGAGTTAGAAGCTTTTATTCCACCCACGTATATTATTTATCTAAAAATATCAAATAGCACCCAACCTTAGCACAAATGGAATATTATGAAGACAGACTTGAGTTAATCAAAATATGCCTGCAAGATTCCAGAGAAAAATTTAGTACTATAATTACAGTCAAAATAAGATGTCATAAGGCAAAAAGTAATTCTTTTAGAGGTTAAAAGATTCAAAATTTGAATCATTCACATTTTGTCTCATTAGGATGAATATGACATATACTTATAAAGCATATGTATTATTATACAAAATTGTGAAATACTTACACCTTCTGCATAATGCAAGTATCGTTTATTAGTTTCCTGTTTACCAAATGTCTCCAAAAACTTTTGACGGTAAGCAAGAACTGTATCAACATGTGTTTTGTATTTTACAGCCAATTCCAGTGCCCTATAATGAGAAATAAAACAGATTATTAACATTGTTTGTGTCAGACTCCATGAGTAGTAGAGTTCTGGAGTTGGGGATAAGACAAATGGCTCTTCCCTCTGTTTATTCCACAATATGAAATACCATTTTCTACCTCATCCATCTTGCAAATTCCTACTTATATACTTCAGGGCCCAGATCAAACATGGCCTCTTCTCCCTGACCAGCTCTTCTTGTAGAAATAAATGACTATTATCTTATCTATGCTTCATACCATTTATATATATACTATTATTACAGCACTCCTTATAGTACAATTGTTATGAGTCTTTTTTCTCCACTAGCCAATACACTTATTGAAGGGAGACATTTCTCTTTGGTGAGTAATACAGAGTACATATGTGGTAAATATGCATTGAAAATATTTTTGAGGCTGGGCACAGTGGTTCATGCCTGTAATCCCAGCACTTTGGGAGGCCAAGGTGGGAGGATCACTTGAGGTCAGGAGTTCAAGACTAGCCTGGCCAACATGGCGAAACCCTGTCTCTGCTAAAGATACAAAAATTAGCTGGGCGTGGTGGTACATGCCTGTAACCCCAACTACTCGGGAGGCTGAGGCGGGAGAATCGCTTGAATCTGGGAGGTGGAAGTTGCAGTGAGCTGAGATCGCGCCACTGCATTCCGGCCTGGGTGACAGAGCGAGACTCAAAAAAAAAAAAAAAAAGAAAATATTTTTGAAATCA
The DNA here is from genome assembly GCF_000001405.40 of Homo sapiens. Taxonomy (NCBI): domain Eukaryota; kingdom Metazoa; phylum Chordata; class Mammalia; order Primates; family Hominidae; genus Homo; species Homo sapiens. The sequence continues at coordinate 160,269,259 of NC_000003.12, forward strand.
TCCTGTAATTCAAGTGAATGAAATTCCCCACAGTGTAAGTGGTCCCATTATTTTGACCATTTTCATAAGTCTATACTGAGTTTATAAAATTAAAAACTGGTATCTTTACATTATTACTATAGCAAATTAAAAATCTTATGAAAATAACAAATTGAGGCTAAGAAGTCTGAGAAAATGCCTTTTGCCATCTGAGTCTCAGGAAAAGTTGACAGTCATTTAAGTTTTATAATTCAATCAATATTTATGCAAGTTATTTTTAAAGTAATATTTTATTTAAATGGTAGATGATAACTAAATAAATTGCTGCTGAAAACAGTGGTATAAACTAAAGACATAAAATATATACACTGATGATAATTTGTAGGAGAATAAAAAGATTAATCCTCAGTTCCAGGCTTACTTTCACATGTGGGTTTTGGACAGCACCTCAGCCACTGCAATCCTGTGCATAACTCATATTAGTTGAGTCGGGAACAATCCAGTGGACTATAGCTCTCTTACACTGTTCACTGTCATCTTGTTTCAAAATAAGATAACAGTCATCATAATAGTCAAAAGCACATTATTTCTCAAGTTCTCTTGCTTTCTAATATGACATACGACTTCTGAATATTCCAGTCAGGATTTATCAGAGCCAACTATTATAAGTCTGTTGTTTTAGCAAAGCTGACTACTGATTAGATTTTTTGCAACTAGACTCTTCACTAGGAAAATCTGGTTCATTTTTGGCATGCTTTGGTTTGGCTTACTATTTTTTTTTTAGATGGAGTCTCATTCTGCCGCCCAGGCTGGAGTGCAGTGGCATGATTTTGGCTCACTGCAACCTCTGCTGCCAGGGTTCAAGCAATTCTTCTGCCTCAGCCTCCCAAGTAGCTGGGAATACAGGCATCCGCCACCATACCCAATTAATTTTTGTATTTTTAGTAGAGACGTGGTTTCACCACATTGGCCAGGCTGGTCTTCAACTCCTGACCTCAAGTGATCTGCCTGCCTTGGCCTCCCAAAGTGCTGGGATTATAGCTGTGAGCCACCGTGCCTGGCTTGGTTTGCCTTACTATTGATCAAACTAAATAGTCACTTTAAAAAGTATTTTAGACATGGTGTATGTATTGATTGACAACTGATAGACTTTTGAGAGATATTAAACACTTAATATGCAAAAATTATGAATGTAAGTTATATATAATACAAATGGTAATGCCAAAATTGGGCAAAATGATTTCTTATAAATTGACATACACTGTATTGTGAAATCCAAGGGTCAGTATTTGCTACCATCACACATTCTCACAAAATTCCCTCATTCCTCTGTGACCTTACGTCTTTCAGAAAAAAAAACAGGCAGAAAAGAATGTAAAGTTACTAGAATATAGAGGGGAAAAGTGGAAGATAAAGAAGGCAAAAAGCAATTCACGGAGGCTCAAAAAAGGAGAAACAGAAGTAAAGATGCCTCAGTTCTGCTAACCCTCTCCCATATAATCCCCCCATGTATATCCCTAAGGCTCTGATTCCAGTTGTGTATGTGTGAGTGGAGACTGATGAGCTACTTTTTTTTGTCACCTTAGAAGCTCCATCTCCCATTCTTTCTTTATGATTGTACATGATCAGGGAAGGAGATCTTGATTGTGCAAAACTGAAAGTATTCTCAATGGGGAGTACATAAAATCATCCATTCTGGGTTGGAGCTTTTCCAAAATTCCGAATGAGATACTATGGTATGAAACATCAATACATTTAATTATGTAGAAAGAATAGAATATGATGTCTAATCCTGCATTTAGATGCTAGATCCTAAGAATTATCTATCATTGTCATTATTATTATTATAATAAAATATGTATCGATTGAATAGCAATGGCTAAGGGTAAACATTCAAATGATATGTGCTATTTTAAATGTTCTCTAAAAGCACATACTGGGTAAAAAAATGTTTCTTCTCCACATTTAGGAGGGAACTTACTCCAAATTATCTAAGGGTTTTGGGAACAGTATGTCTCTAGTTTTAAAATGGTTATTTGGCAACCAAACAAATGTGACATTAGATTCTAAGGCTGGAATAAATCCATGTATTTTAAATAGAAGGAAGTTATATAAAAAGATGTTATAACTTCAAAATATGATTTTTGCATAACTTGAATGAAGCGAAATCACTTTGTATAACTGAGATCAGAAATTATTTTTATTAATATGCACATAAAGGATTAACATGCATATTTAGAGTTTCTAGTTTCTACCTCTCTTAACTTCAGTTTTTGAGAACAGACTACTACCAAATGTCCAAAGTGGATAGCAAACAGATAACTTGCTTACCTATAACTCTTCAAGAGCTGTACCTTATTAGGTTGCAGGCAATTTTCAAATTCAAACATGAAAGACAGAAGCATAAACCAGCAAGACTATGCTTCTCAAGTGGAATATCACATATGAACAAAACAAAATCTGTTCCCTTCTAGAGGATTTAAACAAATATAGAGATTCAGGGATATTAAAAGCAATCTAATGTATTTAGCATCTAACAAATTCTATCCTTCTGGAATGATAGAATATCACCATTTTGTAAGCTCAAATTAATAGATTTGGGCAATGATCATCAATGGCTACTAACATCACAAAAAATACCATGAAAAACCACTACAGCCAGTCATTACAAAAACATCTAACACTACTATAATGAAGTCTTATCAAAAAAAAAAAAACCTAAATCTAATCAAGTTCCTAGATTCAACAACCAATATGCAACTAATTCAGGGGACAGAGGACTATGTTAAAGTACACCACAAAGATGCAATGTTTGTCCAAAGATCCAATAATGTCCACACTATGGTAAATTCTATAGGTCCAGTTTCTTCAATGGGAAAATTGCAAGAAAACACAAAAAAGAATAGGAGAAGCTATAGATTAAAACAAATTTAAGAACATATCAACCAATCACAGTGTGTGGATCTTTATTGGATTCTGATTCAAACAAACCATAAAACAAAACAAAACACTTATGAGTGAAACAGAGAAATAAGAACAGTGAATATAATTACTGTTTACTTTTGAAGGTATGACTGCAATATTGTGGCTATGTTAAAAAAAATTTAGAGATACATGCTGAAATATTTACAGAAAAAAATGATATAATGATTGGGGTCTGCTTTAAAATAAATGGTAGGGTAAGGGTAGAAATTGTTCACAAATTGATCATTGTCGAAGTGAATGATGGGTACATTCAGACTATTCTCTCTACTTTTGTATGTGTTTGAAATTTTCCATAATAAACAATTTTTTAAAATTCCATCTTTTCATCCCTTCTGATCTCTATTGCTAAATTCTCTTCTTAAAGCACACCCTTAAATATTGGTATTCAGCAGATATCTGCTTGCTGCTCTCTTTTCTTAAGTTTTCGTGATAAACCTCAGCCATACTCATGGCCTCAACTACTGTCTGTAGACTGATAATTCCTTCACTGGCTTTCCCCTCAATGTCTAGGATCTCTCATGAACATTAAACTTGTATATCCCACTCCCTACTGGGCCTTATGAACTGGATGTAGAAATTCAATTAAAGGTAAACAAATTCAAATTGTTAGATAGCTTAACCATTACCTTATACTTGTACAAAAAAATCTACTACAGCTCTGTTCTATACACATATTCAATGTGGGCCTTCCCTGCAGCTAAAGTACATAAACAAATTCAAGCCCTGTGCATAGGTTATATGTAAATACTACGTCATTTTATACGAAGAACTTGAGCATCCCAGATTTTGGTATCCTGGGGGTCCTGGAACCAATCCTTACCCATCTCACGGATACCAAGCGATTACACTTAATTATCTGTTGAATGAATGAATGAATGTGCAGTTGGAACAAATACTCCAAATTGTTTCAGAAATATCTGTAGAACTTAGAAATAAAAACAATATATAAGTTTCCTGAGAGTTTCTTAGCAGCTATAATTACTTTTGCTGAATATTTGCAGTCCTTTCTTATCCAATCTTGATATTTATGCTAAAAGCAATGGGAAACTATGAATTTCACTGAAGTGGGCTTTATTGAAGTGAATCAGAGGTCAAGAGTGATACGACCAGATTTCCATTGTGAAAAGATCACTATGACTGCAGAGTGAAGAATGGGTAGGAAAGAGACAGAGTAGATATAGGGAGATCAGTGATGACATTAAGCAGAAAAACTTGGATCAACTTACGTAATGGTACTAGTAGTGAAGTGGATGAGTGTTAGAGGCATTTGGGAGGGAAATGGTTGATAATAGGGAGGGCGAAGGTGAGGAAAATGTTAAAAGTAACTTCTACGTTTCCAGCTTTGTACAGCTGAAAGAATGATAAGATAAATTAGGCTGGAGGAGGACCAGGTTTATGAGGGAATAAACATAAATTTGAGCTAAAAAATGTGAGATATCTAATGGAAATGTTAAGTAGGTAGTTGGAGAATTGAATTCTGGAAGCAAATATGGGCAGAACAAAAGGCTAGATGAGAGATGCATATTTTGGAGTCTTAAGTGTATAGATAGTGTAGTGTATAAATAATGGTCAGAATCCAGGAACAATGCTCTGGGATCTTTATCATCTTTTCAGGTAGACTCAGAGATCTCTACCAGCACCTGACCAAACCACTGGCTTACAATTAGGTAAAAGCAAGAAACACATGAAAAGGAGATGCCAGGAGATAAGAAGAATGGAGGAGCACCCAGAATTCATTCTCTTTCCTCATTACATCTTCTTTGACCTTCTTGTTTTCCCTCTCCCTGAGATCTAATGATTTCAAGAGAAGGTCCCTTACTGAGAACTGGAAGGTGAAGGGGGGCATGCGGGGAACAGGATATAAGGATAGCAGGGAAAGTTTGAGGTCTCAGCAAAAAATAAGTAGAGACACATGATATAAGCCTTAAAGGACTGGAGATTTTATAAGATAGGGAAGTAAAGATGAGGGAGGCAAAAAGGACACCAACTCCACTCACACTGGATCCTAAGGAATGTAGAGTGGAGAGAATAAATTGACTCCATTTGAGAGGACTGGTAGAGAAGTGGTGTTCTCTTCTCCACCTTCTCTTCCAAATAAAGGTAGGTTTCATTTGGGTCAAGGAGGTACAAGAAATGTTCAGAAGGTTATATTATAGGCCATCAGAGGCAAATTTCCTCACCTTCTTCTGTGATACCTACTCACTCACTGCATGTATCTACACCCAATAAATGTTTGAAGAGGAGGAATGCTGCAAAATGATGAAGAGTATTGCATAGAGAGTAAGGGCATGAATATTAACTACCTACTATGTATAGATAATGTGAAATGTTTCCGCTCTTCAGGAAGTATATAATCTGTAAGAGGAAAGACGATTTAATATCTGCAAATATAAATAAAGAGAGAAATAGTAATCCAGTAAAAACAACATAAGCATGGCCGGGTGCAGTGGCTACGTCTGTAATCCCAGTGCTTTGGGAGGCCAAGGCAGGCAGATCACTTGAGGTCAGGAGTTCGAGACCAGCCTGGCCAACATGGTGAAAGCCCGTCTCTACTACAAGTACAAAAATTAGCCTGTAATCCCAGCTACTTAGGTGGCTGAAGTACGATAATCACTTAAACCCAGGAGGCAGAAGTTGCAGTGAGCCGAGATCGTGCCGCCGCACTCCAGCCTGGATGACAGAGCGAGACTCCGTCTCAAAAAAACCAAAATGATATATGCAATGGTACCAGCCATAGATAATTGATTGCTTAGTGATAAATTGAGCTCTTCTTTGATATTAGACAACTTGGGGGTTCAAATCCTAGATTTTGTGCTTATTTATATGTAAACCTCAATTTCCTCATTTGTAAAATGGGGCTGGTAATATCTAAACTTCTGGAGTTGCTGAGATAACCTAACGACATGATATATAGCAAGTGTCTAGCACAGTTAATTCCTAGCACATCATAACCACTGAATAAGTGGAGGCCAGTGTTTAGAAGTACTATTTCAACCTCTGTATGTTCCCACTAAACATTAGTATGTGGGTCATTTTTTATTCTTTAGATGGAAGTTTTTTTTTACAGAATTGATGTACTGAACCGTATCAATCTAAAAGGAGGAATGCTGCAAAATGATTATTAATGGTCACCAAGCAGTTAATTATGTACTGCTGGTACCATTGTTTATATTGTTTTTACTGGATTACTGTTTATCTCTCTAATTATTTATCTTTGCAGATATTTATGTTATCTTTCCCCTTATGGATTATATGCTTCCTGAACAGCAGAAACATTTTACATTACCTTTACATAGTAGGTAGTTAATATTCATTCTATGTGCAATACTCTTCATCATTTTGACATTTGACTATTATTAATGACAACGAAATGGAATTCCTAATTAGGTTACAAGCTTTTTAAGATAAAGACCATTACCTTAAATTTTTTTTTGTTAAATTGTACAGTATTCAGAATGCTATAGCAAGAGTAGTGTCTACGATTTCAACATATTTTTTCAAAAACACTGGTCAAAAGAATGCTATAAACACAATTCTTCCCCATTTCTCTATTAGCTGGGTAATGATACATATAATTTTCTATAAGTTATTTAACATAAAATTTAAAAAATATTCACACTGTCTAAACTAGTTACCTTAAACTTTATGAATTATGAATAAATTCAGGACAAAGACAATGGCTTATTTATTTATTTATTTAGATGGAGTCTCGGTCTGGTCGCCCAGGCTGGAACTCCCAGGTTCAAGCAATTCTCCTGCCTCAGCCTTCTGAGTAGCTGGGATTACAGGCGTGTGCCACCATGCCCAGCTGCTTTTTTTGTATTTTTAGTAGAGACAGTGTTTCACCATATTGGCCAGGCTGGTCTCAAACTCCTGACCGTGTGATCCGCCTGCCTCAGCCTCCCGAAGTGTTGGGATTACAAGCATGTGAGCCACTGTACCTGGCAGCCTATTTATTTTTATAGAATGAAAAACATCTTTCATGATCCTTTGTACAGATAAACAATGAATTTGTGTTAATAAGGGACAAAAATAGAGTAGCTAAATTATATGAATAGTATAGATCATTAGCCATAAATTAAATAAGGAGACTACAGTATGTCAATCATAAAATTAACCATCTGCCATTTTTGTTACTTTTAGTCAAGGGAAAGACAGAGATAAAATATCTATAGAAATTCTAATCTAAGGAAGTTTAACTAAAGAGCCTTGTAATTGACAGATACAGGGGTTATTTTTCAGCCCAGGCAGAAACAAAGATCATGAAAGACACTTCAAACCTGGAAAAATATGTCAATTCCACAACAAACTACATCAGGAGTACATAAAAACTATAGTTTTGTTCACTGGGAGACATGTACCTGAGAGAATGAGTGGGAGGAACCTCTTATGTCACAGAGAAGAGCAGCATGCCACTTTGCCTCAGAAAGCAATCTGTCCGAGAGCCTAATGTAAGGCTGTTGATTGCTGTTGACCAATCCTTTCCTCTTTCTTCCTTAGTACTACACATCTCTCTTGGTTCTTTTCTCTGCCTGTCCGACTGCTTTATGGAATAACATTTGGTGTCTTTCTTTCCTTTCATCCATCTCATAATGTAGCGGATGTCTTTTCATTCCACACATTCCCCAGGCAATTGCATCCATTTCTCTTGCTTCAACTACTATCCATTTGCTAATGACTCCTAAATCTAAACCTCTAGTTCAGATATTTCTTATGAGCTCCAGGTCCATTTAATCAACGATTATAACTTTTTGCGAGTATTTCAAATTCAACTTGGCTAAAATGAAACTCAATATCTTCCCTATCAAATCTGCAAATGGTATGGTGTCATGATCTCTCCAGTTGCTAAAACCAAAAATTTAGGAAACACCCTAGCCTCTCTTCTTCACACCCCAACTTTTAATCAGTCAAAAGTTCAGAGAAGAAATAAATTGTAAACTATTCACAAATATGAATATGAATAAATTCTTCTGTGGTGTTAAGAAACTAAAATATAGTGGAAAATGTAATTTACTAAGTGGTAGATGGAAAAATACATTAAGGTCAAACAGATTTTGGAACTGATGGAAAGCATTCTTATTACCTTTCCCAGTTGTAGAGATTAATATTGATCTGGATTGCTTGATAAACAAGGCCAGCCTGAAGAAGTACTATTTCAGCCTCCTGTATGTTCCCACTAAACAGTAGTATGTGGGCCATTTTTGATTCTTTAGATGGAAGATTTTTTATAGAATTGATGTACTGAACCTTATCAATCTAAAAAAGAAAAGAAAAATATTGAAGTAGATAGTAACAGAAATATAATAAATTACGCTAAGAAAAAACACATGTACATATATGTAAACATTAATTACTTACTTCACCAATTGCTGCATAGGCTATTTCTGCAGTAGTCATATCTCGATTAGCAACTGCCATAGCAGCTAGACAAGCCCACATGGTTTGCTCCTAAAGTAAAGTATGAGAACAATTATCTTAACTATGTGACTGAACTGCCTTAAAATAAGCAGTGATTTAAATACTCATACTAAAATGATATTTTAATTTAAAAAATAAAAATTACTGAGCAGGGCATTAAAAAAAACTAATAATGTGGGAATTTCATTGTGGCCATTTTGTTAAAATATATTAATACACAGAAAACTTTTGAATGAAATTTTCAATTTTGAGTTATTAAGGATTTATTTCTGAATTTAAAATAATAACTCAAGGTTATAAACCTTCCAGTCTTTTTGACGAGGTGTCAAAAAATGTAATTTATAGGGAACCAAAGAAATAGTGAAGTTCTCAGACAATGATATTATGGTAGATTGCTACTGATATACCAGTTAAGAAGAAATTACTTAGGCAGATAGTGAGGGTACAGAAGTCCTTTACGATAAGGTTTTCCTTTTAATGAAAAGCAGCCCCCAAATCATTTTCTTTTCTAACAAAGAGCAGCCTGTAAAATAGAGCTGCAGATATAAACAAGCAAGCTGGAAGCTTGCATGAGTGAATGCCAGTAGTTGTGCCCATAGCAATATGCTACCTGGGACTGGGGATGTTCAAACAGCAGCTCCATCTTCTCTTTTTGCCAGCCATCTGTACAGTAAGGAGTATACAAGATGGCACTGGCCAGGTGGAAAGTCTATTTGCATAATAAGATTAGGGTGGGGCAACCAGCCTTCCCTGTGCTATGTAAATGTCACACCTGGTCAAACCAATCTGTGAGCACTATGTAAATCAGACACGGCCTCCTCAAGCCTGCCTATGAAATCTGCTGCAGTCCACCACTTTTCCCTTTTTGGATTCCTCTCTCTGGCAAGGAGCTGCTCTCCTCTCTCCTTTCTTCTGCCTATTACGCTTTCCACTCCTTAACCTACCCACATGTGTCCGTCCTTGATTTTCTTGGTGTGAGATGACAAACTCCGGGTATTTACCCCAGACAATGATGCTATTCACCACCAACAACCCATTGTTAAAAAAAGCATCTAAAAGTCATTTCACAAAAGTGTATTCTAAGGAATGTTCACTGATGTTCAATAAAAAAGGTCTATGGTCAAACATGTTTGAAAAATACTAGATTCAACCAAGTTGGAAAAAGGCTGATCGAAAGCAGAGATTCTTAACCTTAGCTGTACAAAACAATCATCTGAGGAAATTAAAAAATATGCCCAGGACTCAATCCAGATATAATGAATTAGAATCTCTACGGGAGTAGAACTTGGGAACCTGACTTTCAGAAAACTTCCACAGAAGATTTTTATATGTGCCAGTATGGAAAAACAGTTTAAATTTTTATAGCGTCTTCAGAGAATAAATCACACAGCAACATGTATTCCTCTGTATTGCCCATGTCTTTACTTATAAAAAAAGACATGATCTTATTCACAATTTTTCCAGCCTTTAAGCCTATTATCATTACTCATTTTGCACAAAGGTAAACTACTATGAAATATATATACAACTATGAATCTAAAATGTAAATTACCTTAACAAAGCGACAAAGTCTCACAGCATCTTCCCATTTTGAACTGCTTACATATTCATGGAGAATAGCAGGATATGGTGTTATGCTGATGTGAACCAGGGAGCCATCAGCTCTTCTAATAGTTACTTGATTTCCAACAAAACTCACAATATGGGGATTTTTACTAAATTCACTGTTGAAAAAAAAAGCAAAGTACAATTTAAAGTTGTATTCTGAGCAAAATTTTTCATGTATATTAAATTTGGGGAGTGGACCGTGAAATACACACGGAGTCTCCAATCTCCAAAAGGCACACCCCCAAAGGTTAACTCCAGGGAGAATGTATATGTTCAAAAAAAATTTCAATGTATTTATTTGAATACATATTCTCCCTGGAATTAACTTTGAATGTAAACATTTGAATATAACTTGCTATATAAAGTAGCAAAAATTATTACATATTTGAGAGCTATTCCTAAGAGCATTTGAAATCATCTTTTTTTCCGAGGCTTAAGATAAATCACAACAATAATTTATATAGCTTTAGCTTTTAAAAGTATTAAAGGGTAAAACAATAAAAAGTAAACCAAATTCCAAGACTATTTTCTCAGAATAAAAAGAGGTGAGCCAGGCACAGTGGCTCACACCTGCAGCCTTAACTACTTGGGAAGATCACTTAAGCCCAGGCTGCAGTGAGCCATGATTACACCACTGCATTCCAGCTTTGGCAACAGAGTGTGACCTTGACTCTAAAAATAAATAAGTAAAAAGAGATGACCTTTAAATAAAAAGACTAATTTTTTTTCATTAGTCCAAATACTTTTAAAAATACGCTGTTTTATTTTGATGCCTCTCTGGTTTTGTTAAGGTTTTGAATTTGAATACTAAAAACAAACTCAAAACAGATTTGAAAACTAAGCTAAGGTCTAGAATTAAGAAGCCTTTGTATTCCTATTTTGTCAAGAATAAGAGATCTCCTTGCTATTTCTTAGAGAATTTAGGAATATAAATGGTTTGATTTTCTGAAGCATATAAATTTTTAAAAATTTCAGTAACTTTGGTCTTTTCCTACTTTTAATATCAACCAAAAATTCAATTCTAGAGACATTTACATTCTTGAAAGTGTTAACGTCAATGATAATCTGTGACAGCGTTGGGTAGTTGTCACAAGGTTGTGCATCCTGAAAAATCTTAAAGAGTGCCTAGACTAAAATCACTTGATCACACTGAGAAAACTACCTGAGCTACCATTACACAATATTAAGCTTGAAAATTATATTCATATAAGGGACAAATAAATAATTCATATCATACCACACTTTCAACTTGATTCTGTCACTTAAGTCTCAAGCTAGCTTTAGCCGAACAATTTATTCATCAATAAATCTGACTGATGTGTAAAACACCTTGCAGGATTGAAAATAGAAGCCAAAACATGATACTCTATTAGAGTTTTATTTACTACAAAACAGAATTATACGCAGTAAAATGTTACCTTGCATCCCTTTCATATAATGTTTTAGGCAAAATGTCTCTGTCCACATAAACTGTATTGGGGTAATACCACACTATAAATCGAGTATCTTGAAGTCCACAAAGGATATTGCATGTATCGTTCCATGCCAAAGTATGCACCATTGTTCCTTAATTTAAAAAGAATGTTAATGTGCTATTAGCTTTAATATGTAAGAATTAAAAATAGATCTTTAAAATGCCTGACAAACAAAATCCCATACAATTTCTGGTAGATATGACTCTACTTTCTGATTCTATAATGGTGAAAAACACATACCAAACAATCACACAAGAATTTACAGAAATATTTGAATGCTTTACTTAGAACCCTTATATTTTTAATCTGTAAATCTTTCTTTCAGTGACAATTTAGCTGCAGCAGCTAAAGACTTGCTAATAAGTTAATCCTCTTGCCCTCAGGCCATCAAGCTCCAGATGATCCTCAGTGAGGAATACCGTCCCCTCAATATTCAAGAGTCACTCTTCTACAGGGGACCCCTAGTCTGCCCATCAGTGGGACATGACAGAGGTGAAGTCCTCCCTTGTCTCCCTTGGACCTAGCTGCATACTGCTTTCACCAACCCACGGAGCCACCCTGCCCTGACAGCTAGCAAGAGGCCAAGATCCACAGAATAACCACCATTGCCCCTCTGTCAGCAGGAAGCAGTTACAGAAGACTGACTTTTGTCCATTTTCCCCATAGAATTGGGGTCTTGGACTCTTGAGGGTGGAAATGTTACAGCAGGTAGTCAGGCAGACATGAGCAAGTCAGGAGAGGCCCCTGCCACCAGCACCAGGAATGTCAGGTGACCATCAGGTGATGGTCAGGCTGTTGTTAAGCTGTCTCTCTAAAATAATAATTGGTTGCAGCCAGTGCCAGGGAAAGGTAGTCTCTCAATATAAACACTGAAACTGGAAATCAGTAGCTTCTCAATAAGATCTCAAGAGCTAGGTGAGTGGGCTCACACATGACTAACAGGCAAAATGGTGGAGGAGTTTAACTGGTATACAAACTTCCTCTAGAAACACTGGAGTGGTAAGGGAAAAACGCCTCAAGTGAGCATGTGTATAACTTTAGTAAACACACTGTGCATGTGGCCCCTCCCAGGTGTTGGCAGGCCACTATGCATGTGGACAGCCCACCCAAGGGAAGAATTAGGGCAGAAGGGTTGCAACTCCCCAGAAGCATGCCAAAGTATAAAACCCCAAGTCAAAGATCAAACAGTGCACTTGATCTCTCAAGCTGCCTGCTTGCCCTCTACCAAGTTTACTTTATTTCCTTTCTTTCCTGCTCTAAAGCTTTCAAATAGGCCAGGCCCAGTGGCTTACGCCTGTAATCCCAGCACTTTAAGAGACTGAGGCAGGTGGATGGCTTGAGCTCAGGAGTTCGAGACCAGCCTGGGCAACATGGTGAAACCTTGTCTCTACCAAAAATACAAAAAAATTTAGCTGGATGTGGTGGCACATGACTGTAGTCCTAGCTACTTGGGAGGCTGAGGCAGGAGAATCACTTGAGCCCAGGAAGCGGAGGTTTTGGTGACCTTGATCTTGCCACTCCACTCCAGCATGGGTGACAGAGTGAGACCCTGTCTCAATAAAACACAATAAAAATTTAAAAATAAAGCTTTTTAATAAACTTTCACTCCTACTTTTTTAAAAAAAGGGTTAAATAGCTAAGAAGTATTACAAGATCAAAACATTAAAACATTTCCAGATTCATTCAAATTATTTATTACAGCAAATATAAGAAAGTTGACAATTAAAACTTAAAATGTATTAAAATTATTTTACCAAGCTTGATAATTTGTTCTTCCTTCCCAAATCGTTTCACAGAAGTGATACAGAGATCTCTATTTTTATCAATGAAAGCAATTTTTCTATCATTGGTAAGTCCTTTTTGATCCAGAGCAATTTCCAAGATTTCATTCTAAAATTTTTTTTAAATGTAAATACTGGGTTAGTTTTAGTGTTTGACATAAGATCATTTTAATTAATTATAAAATCATTTCCTTTAAGATCAATTAAATGTCATTTCCCCATTTATAATGATAAAATGTCCCTGTTAAATAATTTTAAACTGCCAATATGTTAATCGTTCAAAAGCTGCACTGAAGTATATTTGCCTGACATCCAAGGAAAAGATACCTCTTAAAATACAATAAAATAATATGTATTTTGATATTCTGTAGGCTGAGAAACACTCGATCTGTCCTGTCCTACCTTTCGTAGTCAAGGTGAAAGGGTCAGGCAATTCTGAGTATCATATGAGAGGTCTATTTTGATTAATAAGTTGCCTAACAACTATATCTTAAATATTTGTAAAAAAAATTTTGGAAATATGTGGAAATACATCATGTGTCCAGGGCCTTAAATTCTATAGATTCTCTCACATTCATTCTTGCAAAATAGGAAACAAGCTTGTAATGTAGGTATTACTATACTTACTTTGCAAATCAGAAGACTAGACTCATATTCACTAAGTGATTTTGCTCAGAAAAAGCCAGTGTCAAGTATATCTAAACTTGCAACTCAGACTTCTAACTCCAAGATCACTGCTTTTCATTTGCTAGTGAGATGAATTTTACTATAACTTGAAAATGTTTTAATATAGATTCATTTTAATTCAAACCAAGCAAGATTTATTTACCTCCTACAATGTCTGAAGACTTTGGTAGGAATTGTGAATTCAACCAGAATAATGACTACAACATCAAGTCATTGTATCAAAATGTACTATAAAAAACACTTTTTAAAGTAAAACAAAACACACATACACCTTTATCCAAATTGATGAATCAGTCATATACCAGTTCATAATACATTTTAAAAAGTTCAACTCTTTCTGGAATACCATAATTTATATTTTAAGAAAGAAAAGAATTTGGTTTCATATATATCAAGGCATGCATGAAATATAACTCTAGGTATTTTCAAAATGGAAATGTTTCAGAGAAACTGATCTTTACAATAAAGAATTGCTTATCATCGTCATCATCATCATCAGAACCTAGTGTATTCTTTTAAAAACACTGTTAAACAGATATGATTCTCCTAAGAAATTAAAAATCAAAGATGGATAGTAATTATAGTAATGCCTATGTACATAGGGGAAGAGGGGCTCCCCCACTTCATTCAGCAGGGCTTCCCCCATTTTCCTCTTGTCAAGTCCTACCACCTCCACATAGGTTCTATTCCTCCTGGGTTACTCTTTGTAGTGGGACATAAAAGCAGTTTTGTGTTCATTAGAACCGTCTCCCTTGCCCTACACTAATTAATATTCATTTACTAATACACAGACTTGAGTTCTAGTTTGGGCTCTGTTATTGGGAAGATCCTGGATATGAATTTCTTCCACATATAAAATAAAATAGATTGGGTGATTTTTCTATTATTTTATAGAATGTAAAATTTAAAAATCCTTTGTATTGCATACAAATGTACTGGGTAATTGGGTGAAGTGTGACATGTAGAAGACACTTCCATTCTTATAATTAGGAAATTATAAATTTCTTAATTTTAATTGTAAATTAAATTATTTTAATTGTAAATTAGGAAATTCTTACACTTAGGAAAAGTGTTATAGAAAGAGTTATAACATTAAAATAAATATTTAAGCTTATTAATTGACTCTCCTTTCAATCCTACTAACAAAAATGACTGCATCTTGAAAAGCTGAGACATTTACTCCTTTTGATATGCTTAATCTTACTGAAGAGGAAAAACTCTGCTTATATAGCTTGGATTAAAAATGACAATAACGGAGAGGTTATAGGGAAATAAGCACCTCATATATTACCAGTGCAAAGGTAAACTCATACACTCTCTTTGGAAGATAACTTCACAATACTTATTAAAATTACAAATTCTCATATCCTTTGACCCAGCAACAATATTTCAAGAATAAATTTCACAGTTACACTAGCACATGTACAAGAAGATGTATATGCAAGGTAATTCATCTTGGCAATACTGTAATACTAACGGCAAAAGATTGGAAACAGTTTAAATTCTGATACATACATAAAATGTTATACCATACAGTGGGAGGAAAAAGGGTTGGGAAAGCACTTTATGTATAGATATGGAACTATCTCCAGAAAGACAGTATTATATGAAAAAAGCAAAGTGTAAAATTGTTTGTTACATTTTTGTAAAGGGGAGGAAGAGAACATATATCAGTTTTGTTGATACATACACTAAAAATCTCTGGAAGAATATATAAGAGATTAATAATAATGGTAACTTATTTGGTGGAGAGGCACTACAGTGATGAATAATAGGTATAGTAGGGAGACTAACACTGTATACTTTTTAATGCTTTTTGATTTCTGAACCATATGAATGTATTTGTTATTCAAATTTAAAACTAGGGCCAGGCATGGTGGCTCACATCTGTAATCCTAGAACTTTGGGGGTCTGAGGCGAGTGGATTGCTTGAGCTCAGGAGTTCGAGACCAGCCTGGGCAACATGGCGAAACCCTGTCTCTACCAAAAACAAACAAACAAAAAAACTAATAATTACAAAAATAAATATATAATTTTGAGTAACAGTTCACTAGAAGTATTAATAAAACTAAAAGTGTCTTTAGACCCTAATATATCAGCAATTTAGAAGGATAACTCAATGCAATGTGCTTCTTTTTCTAAGGCTAAAAATCAGAAACCAATAAACAACTTACAATTCAGGGTCTTTTGTACTTTGTATAGCGATTTCTTACTACAGTCTTAAAACCTAAAGAAAATGCTGGCTAAGAACAGGTCAATGAGAAAACTGCAAGATACTTAGAAACACAAATACATTTTTATTTACTGGTAAGTGCTAAAATTTTAATCAAAAAAGAACATGTAACTGAAAAACAGTGAAGAGTTTGACAACAGACATATAAGTCAGATCCTTTTTTTCAACTAATTTGCATGTATAGCTTCCTATCACAAACTTTACCAGTGCTTAGTCTTTAACTGTGACATCTTTAGGCAAAATAGTCAATGGAGAATGCACATTGATTTTAAATAAAAAACTAATTCCTTTGTGTCCTCTTTAAAATGAAAACATTAATTTTGAAAAGGAAATAAATAAATAGTGGCTATTTACATTAGAAGTAGTTAATGTCCATTACCTTATGAGAAAGAAACTTTCCATCACCTAACGGCTTTCCGGTTGATGCCTCAAAGAGGAAGATTACTTGAAAAAAAGTAGAACATTAATTAATGTGTTATATTAGAATTTTTACTGGTAAAATTCAGTGAAACTATTATAATCCTTATAAGAAATTATTTAACTCTCTAGACCACAGAGAGAGCAGCAGCATCCAATTTTAATTTATTAATGTGGTCACATTTCTTATGAAAACAATAAAACTGAATACTTCTTCCTAAAACACATTCCCTAATTAGAATTTTTATTAATGGTATGGCATTAATGCTCCACAGGCTCACAATGGGAAGTCCAAATGTGAATGTAATTTATAATTCTGATAACTTTGATTTAAACTAATATAACACCATAGTGTAGAGGCCAAAGGAAAACTTCCTCTTTGTCCTTTGAAGGTTAACTGAAAATCAACTCACAAAAGGCAGATTAATAGGAGAAATGGCATACAAATTTATTAGCTTGCATGGGGGAGAATCAGAGAGTGATTACCCTACCATACAATGGGGTGCAGATGGTTAAAAGCCACTTCTTCCCCTTCTTAAGGGAAATGGAGATGGGGAAGTGTGGATGGTTTTTAGAACGGGTAGTAAATGATTTCTAGGGGAATTCAGTGGGCATGAAGAACATACAGTGGCCTGGAACAGTCTGTTGGGCCCACAGAGCACACAATGGTTTGTGACAAAAGTCTGCCCAGGTGTGTTGACAGCTTTCTGTATTTCTTCCTGCAATATGAGTTTAGTTAAGGAAAACTCAGGGAAGGGACCAGAGGGAATTGTTGTCTTCTTTGGTGGGTCTGAAGTTGAGGCAGATAAGGGAACTTCAGCACAGCATGTCAAAGCACCATATTTTGGGGTATCAGTTTCTAAGCCCCAACAATAGACCATCATATTCCGCAAAGGAAAAACATGTTGAATGTCTACTATAATGCCAGGCAACGTGTTATGTGCTACTCAGTTTTCTGTTATTAATATGCTACTCTGGTACAATCAATAATTTATCTGGTCTTTGTCCTGGAGCTTCAAAAACCCTGAGAATTTCCTGAGTGATTAGAGTATCTTTATTATTGCTAGTGAGGAGACTCTTGGTGGGCCCCTAGATAGCTTCAGGATAGGGGCTGATAATCAGATCAAGCATGTGGTTAGAAGGTCTGAACTTTCAGGTTCCCAGTCTCTGGAGATGGGAAGCAGGCTGCAGACTGGTTCATCATGTGGGCAATGATTTAATTAACCATGCCAATGTAATAAAACCCCATACAAATTCTGAACGCCAAAGCTCAGCGGAGCTTCCTGGTTAGTGAACACACTGATGAGCTGGGAAGGTGATGTGTCCTGAGAGAAGAGGGCACAGAAACTCTGTGTCTATCCTTTATAATAAAACTGTAATAATAAGTATAGCTTTCCTGAGTTCTGTGAGTCATTTTAGTGAATTATCGAACTTGAAGGCATTGTGGGAACCCCAGAATTTACAGCCAGTTGGTCAGAAAAGTAGGCAGCTGCAGTGGGGCTGGGGGAGCCTTAGACTTGTGGCTGTCATCTGAAATAGGAGCAGTCTTGTGGAAGACTGCCCTTAAGCTTTGGTGTCTACATTAACTCCGGGTAGTGTAGAAATGAATTGCAGTATACCCAGTGGAGGTGAAAATGGAATAGTTGGTATCAGGTTACTGAAACATATGGTTTGGGAAGAGAAAGGATGAAAGGGCAGGGGATGAAGAACTTCTGATTCCTCCATGGCCATGGGGTCACCCAGGGTATGAAACACCAGCTATGCTGCAATCAGTTATTGGAGGTAAAAGTTACCAGTGAAATTTAGAGATGATGCATATATCTTCTGGGGAACTGGCTCACTAAATGCATAGGAAAATGCAAAACAGTAAGAAAAAAGAGAAATATACAATCTCTTGGTAATTACTATCTATAATATAATAGCTAAAAATGAAAGGAAGAGATGAATCAAATATAAATTCTGGCCAGTCTAAATTATGGCCTCTAGTCTCAGGGCCCCTACTGAAGGAATGAATGTGTTGGGAAAGATATTGGATTCTTGCCAGTTCAAGGAACAGGCACTAGCCTCAGAGTCATTTTCAAAGGAAAAAGTTATGCTGAAACAAATCATGAAAAAGACTAAAATGATCCCTAAGAGAATAGGGACAGACAGAGGGAAGTGTCTAGAAACTCATCCAAACTGGGAAAAAAATCTTTAAACAGTTATTAAGAAATACAGCGCAGTCTGGGCGCAGTGGCTCACGCCTGTAATCCCAGCACTTTGGGAGGCCGAGGTGGGTGGATCACAAGGTCAGGAGATCGAGACCATCCTGGCTACGATGTCTCTACTAAAAATACAAAAAATTAGCCAGGCGTGGCAGCCTGCGCCTGTAGTCCCAGCTACTCAGGAGGCTGAGGCAGGAGAATGGCGTGAACCCGGGAGGCGGAGCTTGCAGTGAGCCGAGCTCACACCACTGCACTCCAGCCTGGGTGACAGAGCGAGACTCCGTTTCAAAAACAAAAAACAACAAAAAAAGAAAATACAGCAAACAAAACTATAAAAACCCTGGAAGACAACCTAGGCAATACCATTCTGGACATGGGAACAAGGAAAGATTTCATGGCAAAGATGCCAAAAGCAATCGCAACAAAAGCAAAAATTGACAAATAGAATCTAATTAAACTTAAGACCTTCTGCACAGCAAAATAAACTATCAACAGAGTAAACAGACAACCTACAGAATAGGAGAAAATTTCTGCAAACTGTGCATCTGACAAAAGTCTAATATCCAACATCTATAAGGAACTTAACAAATTTACAAGAAAAAAAACACTAAAAACTGGGCAAAGGACAGGAACAGACATTTAAAAGAAGATATACATGTGGCCAACAAACATATGAACAAAATAGAGAAATACAGATCAAAACCACAATGAGATACCATCTCACACCAGTCAGAATGGCTATTATTAAAAAGTCAAAAAATAACAGATGCTGGTGATTTGTGGAGAAAAGGGAATAGTTTTACACTGTTGGTGGGAAGGTAAATTAGTTCAATCATTGTGGAGAGGAGTGTGGCAATTCCTGAAAGAGCTAAAAACAGAACTACCATTCAACCCAGCAATCCCATTACTGGGTGCATACCCAAAGGAATATAAATCAGTTTACCATAAAGACACATGCATGCGAATGTTCACTGCAACACCTATTCACAATGGCAAAGATATGGAGTTAACTTAAATGCCCATCAATAACAGATTTGATAAAGAAAATGTTGTACATATAGACTATGGAATACTGTGCAGCCATAAAAAAAATGAGATCATGTTCTTTGTGGGAACGTTGATGGAGCTGGAGGCCATCATCCTTAGCAAACTAATGCAGAAACAGAAAACCAATTACCACATGTTCACACTTATAAGTGGGAGCTAAATAATGAGAACTCATGGACACAAAGAGGGAAACAGAGACTGGGGGCTTGAGGGTGAAGAGTGGGAGGAGGGAGAGGATCAGAAAAAATAATTATTGGGTACTAGGCTTAGTAACTAGGTGATAAAATAATCTGTACAACAAACCCCTATGACACAAGTTTACCTATGTAACAAACCTGCACATGTACCCTGAACCTAAAACAAAAGTTTTATTTGGTTGTTTTTTAAAGAAACGAGGTGAAAAAGCAAACGCTGATGGGGGTAAAATGAAAGGGAAAGAGAAAGGGGAGAGTCAAGGGACTCATCATAGCAGGGTGGAAGTCTGAAATCAAAACACAGAGGTTGGGTGGACCAATGCGGCGGTCCTGCTAGTGCCCCAACATTTAAGAGTGCTAAGCAAATCTGCTTTATTCATCTTAGTTTGGAAGAATTTGGAAAGCAGAAAGGCAAAGATGGCAACAAGAAACCTGACCTTCAATTACCTGGAGCAATGGTCTACCAATTTAATCAAGAAAAAGATTCAGGAAAGAGCCTGGGTTCCTTGGCTCAATTCTGAGCTGGGGACCCAACACCTTAAGCACGTGAGTAGGCAAAATGGACACGGGGTGGAGAGGAGAAGACTCTAGACACCTTGACGCAGAAGTGCCATGTACTTTGGTCCAAAACCCCCTGGTGAAGCCCTAAAGGAGACTACAATTAAATTGAGAGGGTACAGAAGTGCAAGGGTTGGTAGAATTAAGGTGAAAGTTTGAATGAAAACTGGAGAGTTTGAACAGACTTTATGTGAACAGGCTGTGTCTCCTTTACCTGAATGTTTCATGGGAACAGATATTATGTCTGACCAGAACACCTCCCCCACCTACTACTGAAAGTCCTAATGGGGCCGGGCTCACACCTGTAATCCGAGCATTTTGGGAGGCTGAGGTAGGCAGATCACTTGAGGTTAGGAGTTTGAGACCCGCCTGGCCAACATGGTGAAACCCCGTCTCCCCTAAAAATACAAAAAATTAGCTGGGCGTGGTGGTGCATGCCTGTAATCCTAGCTATTCAGGAGGCTGAAGCAGGAGAATCACTTGAACCTGGGAGGAGGAGGTTGCAGTGAGCCAAGGTCATGCCACTGCACTCCGGCCTGGGCAACAGCGCGAGACTGTCTCAAAAACAGAAAAAAAAAAAGAAAAAAAAAAAAGAAAAAAGAAAGTCCTAATGGGAGTCATAACTAGATTGAGAAGATATAGAAATGCAAGAGCTAATGGGATTTAGGTGAAAGTTTTGGATGAAAATTCGTATATTTAAAACAAGCTTTGGTGTTTTTTGTTTGTTTGTTTTTGTTTTGTTTTGTTTTGTTTAGATGGAGTTTTTGCTCTTGTTGACCAGGCTGGAGTGCAGTGGTGCAATCTCGGCTCACTGCGAACTCTGCCTCCTGGGTTCAAGCAATTCTCCTGCCTCACCCTCCCGAATAGCTGGGATGCCAGCTAATTTTTTTGTATTTTTAGTAAAGTCGGGGTTTCGCCATGTTGGCCAGGCTGGTCTTGAATTCCTGACCTCAGGTGATCCACCTGCCTCGGCTTCCCAAAGTGCTGGGATTACAGATGTGAGCCACATCTGGCCCTAAACGAGCTTTATGTTAAGTAGTTGTGTCTCATTTACCAGGATATATTATGCGGACTGATATTATGTCTGACTGGAGAGCGTTTCCTCTATTAAGGAATGTGAAACAGAGAGCATGTAAATCCACCCTTTAAGCAATATTAATTAGGAATGCAAAATGGGAATCAATAAGATTACTCTAGTTCAACAGGCCTTTAATATCAATCAGTATATGAACTAGTATGGATGAATTCTCTATACAAAAACGCTGGGTAGAATACAGATTGGAACTTACAGGCGAAAGCCTATGAACACCTCTCAGTGAAAATTACTGGGATTTTGGACTAGAGAATTCCCATCTGAGAGGCAATTACTAGCTTGCTATTTGACATTAATTGAAACTGCCCCTATAACCGAAGAATAGAAAATAATCTTGAAATCTAATGTACCCATAGTATCTTAGGTGATACTGGAGACACATTCTACTAGGAAAGGCAATGCCCAGAAGAGTTTCATAATAAAATGAAATGTATTGAGTAGGAACACATTACTGGGAAATGCAAAAAGTTACACAGTGTATTCATGAGTCTACCTGCTCTGATGGACTTTGGAACCACTTGAGTTGCTGCCAGATTCTGTTGACACTCGGACAGTGGCCTATAAACAGCTCTCAATTAACCAACAAATAGCTGCTTGGTTTATGAATAGCAGTTCAATTGTGAACATACAACATTTTATTTGTAAGGCCATTCCTCTGACAGAAGAAGGTGAAAACAAATAAGCGTGGTGGGCTGCACTGCATGCTGTTTGCCTCAATATCTGAGTTTTTATTAACTCGCAGGCCATGGTCACATGGTCAGGCAAGAAGGACAGTGGAAAACTGGCCTATTATAGGCATGCCCATATAGGGTACAGCCTCAAGGAACTTACTGTGGGAATCTGATGGGTGCATTAAGGTATGTCGTATCAATGCCTATGGGGAGACTTCCCCTTCAAGGTTCAAAAGGTGATTGGAATTGACGAGCAAATACCTCAGGATGCCTGCTTGAGGTGGCCCCCTGGGTATATGAAGCAAGTGGACACTGGGGGCTGCAGCAATGCAGAGATGAACTGAATCTAGAAATGTTCCTCTCAAACCCTCTGAGGCACAAAATACCAGTAAGAACTTTCTGTCTGCCCATGACAGACTGCAGATGGCTATAGGGCAGATTCCCTCAGAGGAAGGCCCTACACATAGCTGGAAACTTGGACTCATGCCAGTAGCCCTGGATGGCTACAAAAGGGTCCTGACATGAATAGATGCCGAGTCCGCACTGGGCTTTACTTAACCAGTGGTAGCCTGGCACATACTGAGGGAACTATAAAAGAACCAGCAGAGAACATAATGCATTGATTTGGACCACCTAGTCACATTTCGTCAGACCAAGGAACATACCTTACAATCCATAATGTCCAACAATGGGCAGAGAGATATCTTCCCCAGAGTAATGGTTTGGTAAAGAATCAGAATGGCAAGTTAAAACAGTGGTTTTCTAAAACAGGGGAAAGTATGAAGAACTGGCTTGCATTACCAGCATGAGTATGGATTCATCAAGAGAGAAGCAAAGAGATATAGATTCCTGCACTAGAGAGATTCCTTTTTTTTTTTTTTTTTTTTTTGAGACGGAGTCTCGCTCTGTCACCCAGGCTGGAGTGCAGTGGCGCGATCTCAGCTCACTGCAACCTCCACCTGCCAGGTTCAAGCAATTCTCCTGCCTCAGCCTCCTGAGTAGCTGGGATTACAGGTGCACACCACCACGGCCAGCTAATTTTTACATTTTTAGTAGAGACGGGGTTTCACCATGTTGGTCAGGTTGTTCAAACTCCTGACCTTGTGATGCGCCCGCCTCGGCCTCCTTTTGTTTTTTTGATGGATCTCAGGGAGAGGGGGAGGAGAAAGGAGGACGCTGGTATGGCAAAACACTTTTTTCTTTCTTCCTTATATCACCTTCTCCTACCTGACACCACGGTCCCAAGACCAGGGCTACCACTACAAATGCCAGAAGCAGAGATGGTTCCCAAGAAAGAAATTGTAACTATACTTTTAAGCCTTAACATCAAAATTCCTAAGGACCTGATAGGATGGGTTGTGTCTTCACTCCATCTGGAGAATTTAGGTTTAATAGTGAATGCAGCTTTATTGGCTGGTAGCGGAAATAGCCTGTTTGCTCTATACAAATGGATAGGAGAAATAATAGCTGAGAGTAAAGAAATGAATAAATGGGTTATGCAATAAGTAAAATATTACATTAATGCTTCAAAAGAGGCTCAGAGCAAAAGAATGATATTGTTTCTTAGCTTAATTATAGCTGATACATGAAAAGATGAAGCCATATATTGCTGAGACCTCTCCTGCCTGGAACTTGACAAACTTGAATGGAATCCTATAAACCTCAGAGGCCTAAACTTGAAGACAACTTGGTCACAGAACATGATGATGGACTGGACTAATTATTAATGACTAGTAGAACTCTAGTAATGCGCTAGTGTCTTCTGACTCTTACTTTACAATATGGTATAACACTGGAATTGTTGGTAAGAGTATAATACTGATAGTACTGGGAATGGAATTAAAAGCCTCCTATCTCTACCCAATATTGATTCCTCCAAACATTAGGCATATTCATGCTGGTCCTATTGACAGGAATGATCCTTTTGCCATATGGGATCCATGGTCATAGGCCAGGGGGTGGTCTGTAGTTTAATAAATAATTTGTCTGGTCTTTGTCCTGGGCTCCTGGCAGGTAGCTTCAAAAATGCTTGGAATTTTCTGAGTGATAGAAGTGCCATTATTATCCTAATAAGGTGACTCTGGTGAGCCCCTAGATAGCTTCAGGATAGCGGTTGGTCACCAGAAAGACCAATCTCATGTTCAGAGGGTTGAGTACTTTCAGCCCTCCACCCCATTAGCAACCTCTTGAGAAGAAGGGAGCTGGAAACTGAGTGCAATCACATGGCCAATGACTTAAATAATCATGCCTAATTAATCATGTAATCAAACCCCAAAAGTATTCTCTAGACACCAAAACTGAAAGCTCAGTGGAGCTTCCTTGTTGAACACATTGATGTGCCAGGAAGGTGATGTACCCTGATTCCATGAAGGCACAGAAGCTCCAGGCCTCACCCGAGGTCTACCCTTTTTAATAAAATTGTAATCATAAATACAGTGCTTTCCTGAGTTCTGAGTCATTCTAACAAATTATTGAACTTGAGGGGCTGATGGGGTCCCCAAATTTTTAGCCAGTTGGTCAGAAATGCAAGTGCCCTTGGGAACCCCCACCCCCACAAAACTAGTGCTGGCATCTGAAGTGAGGTCAGTCTTGGCAGGCCTTTGTCCTTAACTTTTTTTTTCTTTTTTGGAGACAGGGTCCTGCTCTGATGCCCAGGCTGTGGTGCAGTGGCGTGATCTCAGCTCACTGCAACCTCTGCCTCAAGAGGGCTCAAGCTATCTTCCCACCTCAGCCTCCCAAGTAGCTGGGAGTACAGGGGCGTGCCACTATGCCTGCCTAAGTTTTGTATATTTTGTAGAAATGTGGTTTCACCATGTTGCGCAGGCTGGTCTCAAACTCCTGAGCTCAAGTGATCCACCCATCTTGGCCTCCCAAAATGCTGGGATTGCAGGCGTAAGCCACCATGTCCAGCCAACTTTTGGCATCGCACTAACTCTGAGTAATCAGTGTCTGAATTGAATTACAGTACATTCAGTTGGAGTAGAAAAAGATTAATTACTAACAAGTGAGATTCTCCATAAGTCATCAATACGGTGTTACAAATTTGTGGCCTTATTGTAAAATATTCAACTCAAAGTTCCAGAATACCAGAGAACTATGGAGAAGTCTTGAAGAACCTATATTTGTCACAAACACTTGCTTTGGGAGCTAAGCTAAGCTCCCAGTCTGAGAATTTCCCTAAACTCTTGAGGGAGGCTTTCAGAACTATCCTCTCCGTATCTCCAGTAAGCCCCCTAATTTTTAGAGTTAGTGGAGGAAAAGGCATACACGCAAATAAGGTGCAGTCTGTAAAATAATTTTTTAAAGTAGATGATTATTTTAGCATTACTTCTAAAGTGTTTTTCTTTTTAGGGGCTGCTTAGCAATGATTTATCTAACTGATAGTTGGGGAGATCAGCTCCTGTAATAAAACGGGGCAGATATTTCAAGATTAAATATTTTCCAAAGATAATCAAGAGTTGATTTTAAGACAGACAGAACATATGTTTGGGTCAATAGGTAAATGAAAAGATGCTCAATGTAATTAATCATCAAGGAAATGCAAATCAAACCATAATGAGATACCACCTCAAACCTGTTAGGCTACTGCTTTAAGAAGACAACATGTTGGTGAGGATGTGAAGAAACTGGAAAACTTGCCCACTTCTAGTGAGAATGCAAAATAGTACAGCCACTGTGAAATATATTACGAAGGTTCCTCAAAAAATTAGAATAGGCTGGGCATGGTGGCTCATGCCTGTAATCCCAGCACTTTGGGAAGCTGAAGTGGGAGGATCGCTTAAACTCAGGAGTTTGAGACCAGCCCGGGCAACATAGTGAGCCATTGTCTCTATTAAAAATACAAAAATTAACTGGACATAGAGGTGCCTGCCTGCCTGTAGCCCAGATACTTGGAGGCTGAGGCAGGAGGATCACTTGAGCCCACGATGTTGAGGCTGCAGTGGAGCACCAGTGCACTCTAGCCTGGGTGAAAGAGTGAGACCCCATCTCAAAAAAAAAAAGTTAAAAATAGAACTACCCAGCAATCCCACATCTGAGTGTTTATCTGAAAGAACTGAAATCAGGATCTTGAAGAGATATTTGCATTCCCATGTTCATTGCAGCACTGATCACAATAATCAAGATGTAGAAACAACCTAAATATCCATTGACAGATGAACAGATAAAGAAAATGTGGTGTATATGTACAATGGATTATTATTAGTCTTCAAAGAAAAAAGGAAATCCTGCAACATGTAACAACATGGATGAACCTGACGGACATTATGCTAACTGAAAAGCTAGTCACAGAAGAACAAATATTGCATGATTCCACCTATATGAGGTATACTAAAATAGTCAAATTTATTGGAACAAAAAGCAGATCCAGTTGCCAGAGGCAGCAGGGAGGGGGAAATGGGGAGTTGCTAATCAAGGGCATAAAATTTCAGTAACACAAGATGAATTAAGTTCCAGGTATCTGCTGTCTAACATTGTACCTATATTGTATTGTATGCTGTTAACACTATTGAACTGTACCCTGAAAAATCTGTTAAAAAGGTAGATCTCATGTTAACTATTTCTATCACAATCAAATAAAAATAAATTTCAATCCTAAAAAAAACTGCCTGGAAGCCACTAAATAGATATAAAGTATTCATTAAGATCATGTAAGTATTTTAAAATTTCACTATATAAAAATAAACTTCTGGTAACTTTTGATGTAACAGCTCAATTTCCCTCAGATTTATCTCCAAACTTACTTATAATAGTTCTGGTCCTCACCACATACATTCTAATTTCGCCAAAGGAGTGTCTATTGCTCATACTTCTCCACCCCTACCACTTTCTTTACCTGTATATTGTTATTCTATCTGCCTGGCTTTCTCTGAGATATTATTCTGTCAACAATCCCCACTTTCTCCTGCACCTTTACTCTGGTTCATTCTCAGCATATAAACAACTCTGCTATCATCCTCACTAAAAAAAAAAAAAAAATCACTATTACAATTCTTTGCCTTTTTTTAACCCTAAACTTTGTGAAACAACAGTTATTCCAGTTTTTACAACTCCTACCCATTCTTCAACCTATGACAATTTGCTATTCAACCTTACTACATTGATAGAAAGGCTTTGCCTGGGTCACCAATGACCCATATATTGCCAAATCAAAGACTATTTTTAGTCCTCACTCTAAGAGTCTATTTTTAGTCTTGACCTCCCAGCAGCACTGTTGCTTCTAACTATCCTCTCTGTCTTGAAACTCTTATGTGGGCTACACATAACATTGTTTTCTCCCAGTTCTCTTCTATTTTGGACCATTCCTCATTCTTCTTTGCTAGCTCCTCCTTATCTGACAACCCTTGATCTTAAGGTTTTGTTCTTTGCTGCCTTTTTACTATAAATACTTTCCCCTGTATCATTTAATTATACAGCATCAATCACTATTTAAATAATGATAATTCATAGTTCTCTATTTCCAGCCTCAACCTTTCCCTGATGTTGTGAAGTAGGTGAAGTTGTAAAAATTGCAGGAGATATTCTATTGAAGAAGCCTGGCACAAATGCTGCCTCTGCCCCTTTCTCTGTTTCACCAAGGCTTCTCTTAGTCTCAATCGTAACAGTGATATTGGTAGCTGCTGTTTACTCTTTTGAAAAGATTGTTGGGAAAGAAAAAAAACAAGAAGATTATTTTGATGATTCTCTTTAAGTAATTCTCAAATTACTCCAGCCCAAGATTAATAAATAGAGTAATTTTATATGACAGCATATGAATAGGATTACAAGAAATGAAAAGATAGAAATGGCATAAGAGAGAAGTGGCATTGAGTACTCAGCAAAAAAAATTGGACAACATATATAGATTATAAAAATGCTACAATGTGTATAACATGAAATTTAATTCCAGAGGATTGCACTTTTAATACATTATTAGCTTTTAGTAAATCATAGGATTTTAAGTTGGAGGTCACCGCTATATTCACCAAGAAAAATCACGTTGCAACATTTAGTTATCTTCTAAGGTTGCCAATTATGAAAAATAAAAAAATACTATAATAGAATTTTTAATTAAGTAGGAAAACAAAAATGTAAAATTTTTGTCTTTCATTTAAAAAATGCTTTGGGTTTGGCTAAATCCTATTATTTTCATAGCTATGCAAACTAATAAACTTTTTAAACAATAGCAGCCTTCCATCCTTTTTCTGACTATATATATAAAAAGCTGGGGATATGTGGATGAACTCGTCTACTTTTTCCATAACTGTAAGTGCATCTGATCTATGGGAGGCTGGTCCTGTTTTTCAGTGTTAACATGTAATAGAAACTGGCAGAATGAACAACTAAGGAGCTGTGAGTTGAAATAGTTGCTTCGAAACATGAGTAACTACTCCCCAACTTCCAGACATTTGTTTCAAATAATCACCACACTAATATCATAGCATATCTGTGCAAAGTGAATAGGGAGAAGAAGGCAGGCAAAAATAGCAGCTCTAGTACTTAATCAATCACCAAAAGGGGTACTCAAACCCACCCAAGATCTATTTATGGAGCACCTATTATAATACAGAGTACTACACTTGACACAAAAATAAAGAAGCTCCCAAATTAGGAAGGAACCAGTGATATCAAATACAGATGGCACCCTTCTAAGAGTTAAATACGTTGGGTACTTCAGTTGTGTTTCCTATTGTTAGCATTTACCTCTATTTAGCCATCAATAAATGCTAATTTTTTTAAAAAAGGAACATACAAAATATTTTCCCCTCATTTTAAGTTCTACAATAATTTTATTTTAGTCTTTTAAGTTTATATTTACAGCAAAACAGAGTTACATAATTATCTTGTTTAACAAAAACTTACATAAGTAAAACAGATACTTAATTGGCATATAAATTCATATTTCTGTAAATGTTAATAATTCTTTCTAGCTTTAAAATTCTATCAATTATCAATGGATTAAAGAATAATGAAATATGTTCCAGATGTGAATTAACTCCAGAAAATTTCAGAAAATTTCAGAATGTGTTCAGTTGGGAACACATATACTGCCATGCCTTGCTCAATGATGGTGATATGTTCTGAGAAATGTGCCGTTAGGCAATTTATCATTGTGTGGACATCATGGAGGGTACTTATACAAACCTAGACAATATAACTTACTATGCACTTAGGCTATATGATATAGCCTATTGCTACTAGGCTACAAACCTACACAGCAAGTTACTGTACTGAATATAATGGACAACTGTAACACAATGGTATTTGTGTACCTAACCACGTCTAAACATAGAAAAAGGTAATGCACTATGACATTACAATGGCTATGACATTACTCGGTGATAAGAGTTTTTTAGCTCCATTATAATCTTATGGTATATGCAGTCTGTTGTTGACTGAAATGTTACTATGCAGGGAATGACTGTACTTTATTAAAGCTTTTATCTAAAATATGTGGTGTTGAATAAGGAAAGCATAGACAACTCATAGTGATCACAGGGACTTTCAATCTTAAGTTTATTGAAAACAAAAATCTGGCTTCCAAATTACTATTATTTTCACAATTTATAGTTATCTTAATTCTGTCTGCCATCTGGATACTATATTATTCCATTCTGTTTTCCTCTTTCTTAGCCAAAAAGGAAGTCCTTTAAAAAAAAATTACCAAAAGTCTTCTCTCAGAGAAGGCCTAAATGAAGAGATAGAAAAGCTCTATTTAGGAGAGTTATATTTCCTGCCAGTATAAGAGGTGCTATTATCTGAAGTACTGAAAATTAAAAATTAGGACAGTTTCTAGTTCATGAATTAGGTCTTCCGTGGTGTGAACTAACAAAATTAACATTCAAGTCAGATTTTTTGGTAACAGTAATGTACAGTGTTTCATGATATATATTAACAGAGAGAAACAGTTATTTAATATTTAATATTTTTCACTAGGTTTTTGGGATCACTCACTCTTAACTTTCCTCTTACCTCACTGGCTCCTCTTCCTTTTATTCATCCCTAATTACTGATGTGCTGTGTTTGGTCCTCTTCTTTGTGTACACTTACTTCCCACTGATTTCATTCAGTGTTATGGCTTTAAGCGCTAGCAGTATACCAATGACCACCAAATTTATATCTCTAGTCCCAACCTCTCTCCCGAGCCTTGGACTTGTTTATCCTATTGTTCACTCTCATCCCTGCTTGGCTGTCTAAGAAAGATTTAAACATACCAGGACCAAAATAAACTCTTGGTTTGCAGACCGACCCCCTCCAAATGACCTCCTTCTCTGTCTTCCAAATCATTTACTCAGGATAAAAACCTACGATAACATGCTTGCCTTCTCTCTTTCCTCCATGCCCACATCTTCACCATGGCCAAGTCTCTACATGATCTGGTTCCTGCCTATCTCCATGTTGTCCTCTCCTCCCACTCTCTACCTAGCTCATTTTGACCCAGTCACATGGCCTTCTGGCAGTTCCTTTAACATGCCAGTTACTCTCACCTCAGAATCCTTGCACTTGATTGTCTGTCATTCCCCTGCTCCACCTTCACAACGCTTTATTCTCTCACCCTGCGCTAGTTTTCTTCATAGCATGTATCATTACCTGACAATTTATTATATATTTATTAAATTTTAATTTTTATTTGCTAATTTTGTTCACCATTGTATCCTGAACTTCTAGACAAGTAGTTGCCACATAGTAAGCACTCAATAATACTTGCTGGATGAGTGAATCTGTGATACACATATGCCCTAATAAAACGGTTTCATTGTACTATGTAACCCAAAACACCTGACATACTTATATTTATTTATAACTACTAATGTGGCCTAGATTTTTAAACAGAAAATTTAAGTTATTCATACCTTTCTTTCAATTAACTTAAAATATGAATTTAAAAATATAAACAAATTAAATAGTTCAATGAAGTGCAATATTTACTATGTTACCAAATGAAGAAAAAGGGAATATTTAAAAAGATAAAAAACTTAAGCCTTAATATACAGTTTTAGGACCACAACATTAAGTTCAAACTCTCTACCAACAGCTACTGAATATATAAAGATTTTTTTCCTGATTACTGATCTTTGATGTTGTGACAATATCTGTTTGTTCTATTAACTGGATATAGTATGACAACTTCAGCTGCTTAATTAACTCATGTTTTGAAAACAAAATAGAAAGCTCATAATTCTTTTTCTATAAAGCTGATGTACTGGTAGATAAGAAAATGTAAGTTAATTTGTGAAAATTTTATAGTGTTAACAAATTTCATATTTGACAGGAAAAATTATAAAAATATACTTACTTTTTTCATCAGCTTTGTCTCTTATTGCTATGGTATCATTACTCAAAGACACAGTCTGTGCATTCAGAATATCTGTTCTCATTCCAGGAAATTTTGGAGATGAAATAAAGCGCCCTTCATATGAATATAAATAGATACTACTACCATCTACAAGAAGAAAATGTCTAAAAAATAAAGAATAGAAATAGATTCTCAAACAGGAGTATACTTTATTTTTGTTTTCATATTACAGAATAGTTTATCCTTGGGAAAAAAAATCTAAATCTTACAATTAATGTAAATGTGTAGATATATAAGGAACAAAACATTTTAAACACTGAAAGCCAGCATTGGTTGTTTTGGTTTGTTTTCTGGGTTTTTGTTTTATGATGAAGTAGGAGAAGAAAAATGAAAATGTCCATAATCACCACCCTATACACTAAAATTCTGACTTCTTTTACATTATACCCACAATTCATTTCCTTTCCTGAAGAATATTCTATACAAAGGCAATCAAAAAATCGTATAATTTACAATATAGTCATTTTAATGCCGGGTGCTATTTGTTTCATGAAACAGTCTTAATATATATTTTATAACTAAAGATTATGCTAAAAATAATTAAAGATTAACTAGTGGTTAAAGTTTAAAGCAGTGAAAATGACTAAAAAAATTAACATTAGGGCAAGCATTTATTAAAATAAGGCAGTTGTGACTTTAAAATCATATGGTGACTATCAGTATGTATTCATATCTAAAAACACCTATTTTTTTGCCACAGGGTCAGATTCATCTGCTATGCTGACAACCATATTTAAGGCACAGGGCTCTCTGTAGTTAATTTTTTATTAACTCAAAACATAAATATTTTATGGCTGTTATATTTTTCCTTTGAAAATTTATGAATATTGTACAAAATAATTCAAGCAATACAGAGAAAACAAAAGACCTCTTGAGATCCTACCTCCATAGAGATAACTATGGCAAAGTATGAACTTCCAGAACTTTACTAACTCACTCATTCCTGATAAACATGTTTCAAATTATTCACTGTTTTAAAGAATGTCTACAGTGTATATATATCTCCATATGTCTGCCCTACTTATTTCCTTAGTACAGCTTCTAGAAGTGCAATTACTGGATTAAAGACCATACATTTAAAATTTTTAAATATATCTTGTTTTATTGCCCTTTGAAAAGTTGTATTGATTTACACACATACTATGGCTATATTGGTGTGCCTGTTTCCTTCATGCTGAAGACATTATTACTTTTCAAAATCTTATGTTTAATGTTTTAAATATCCTTGATTCAGAACTGGTTCTTGATTTAGGAATTGCTAAATGTTCTTTTTTTGCTATGGAAACAAAACAGAAATAAATGCCAAAACCAATGAAAAATTAGTGTCTAATTAACACCAACCACATACACTTCAATTAAATTAATACTTGAGGGTTGGTAGGTAGTTTATTTAATTGAAGGGTTTGGCCCTTACATACTAGTGTATGGTCATACATATTGGTTTATGAAAACAATATTTGCTAAACTTGACAAAGTGACATATATTAGTATATATTCCTTTGTCTCAGTCTAAAAGCATTTTATTTTCCAATAACACACTATGGCTTTTAACCTATTTGTGAGTAAACACCCTGTTTGAAGGGGCAAACATCTCTATATACATAAATAAGACCAATGATAGGCAGTAACTAAATTTTTTGGCTATTTATGCCATTAATATATGTCTTTATTAAGAGTATATTCAATAAATACATTTATAAATAATGTATAAATGAATTTATTTCGAACTGTTAAAGTAAAAAGCATTTCAGAAACATGATTTTTTAGATAGCTGATATCTTACCTTTTAAATGACAAAAATGACTTATTTTAAAAAATTTATGATGTAACTAAATAATTGATACATTTCAATTTCATTAAATAGATAACATAAAATTTGATATAACATTTTCTTGGTCATTCAAGGTCATCAATATGGTGATCACATTTTTCAATAACTATTTAACTGATAACTTTGATACTCATAAGAATCTGTTGGTGCACAGAATCATTATACTACTCAGCTACACAGTTCTGTGCTTTTAGTTTTCTCCATGTTCCCTTGCCAGGCAGCTACTTTCCTTCCTGTCATTGTGCCAGTCTCTAACAGCCCACCAGTACCATTCTTCTTCTGGTTTTCTATTTATAAAAAGCTGTGGGCTAGAAAACCTGATAATAAACACTATTAAGAGTTGCCTACATGATGAGGAATGAGGAATAAAGCACATGGTTTTGGTGCAAATATTTTATGGGTAGATATTTTAGGTAACTGTCAATTATATTTTCATAATTTTTAACAAGTTTTATTGGGTTGTAGCTGTCTAAGTCCTCCTCTGATTCAGTAGGCTATCACTGTACTCAAGAGACTAATTGACAGTTTTCATGGAAAAGTGTAGGTTCTTGAGTAATAGCTATTCCTAATTTACTCCAGTTAATTGCCTGGCATTTCTTAGTCCTGTATACACTGAATGTCTTAGTAGAGAAAACTAGTTTTCAAACTTCAGGTCACAGACCAGTAGGCCCATGAAACCAAAGAGTTTCAACCAATATTTAAAACAAAGCAGAAAAGAACAGAATAGAAAATAGGAGGACTATGAGGTAAAAACTCTTTAATAGTTATTTACCTGTGTTGCTCTCATTCTCTCATGTCATTACTCTGATGTTTACTTGTAATGAGTTTATTCTCATCCCTTAAAATAAATAGCTTTAAAATTTGTTTTAATTTCTAATATCGTAAATGCTGATATATTTAATCCACATATAACCCTGAATAATTTTCTAAGACTGTTAAGAAATTCAGAGACTAAAATGTTTCAGAATCACTGATTTAAATAACTTATTTATTCTTTTCTTTTTCTTCTAAAATGTAAAATAGAAACAGATTGGTTCTAAATGACTAGTATACCATTCTTTTAATTGGATGTTTTTATTAAAGAGTGCTTTAATGCTATTTATTTTAACCCCAGATCCAGTAGTTAAACATAATAAATTACCTTTCTGCCTGCAGAATCAAACTAACAGTTCCTTCTTTGAGATCAAATATAATTGGTGTGTTCCAGTTCTTCGTGCTAAAAGACAAGTAAAATGGATATTTATTAACATTTAAAATACCAAATACTTTTAAATAAGTAGATTGGTATTCATTTTAAATAAAGTTACTTCAGTTTCATAGCAATTATATACATACTTTTATTACAGCACTTGGTGCATTGTTCTGAAATTATTCACTTATATGTCTGTATCCCCAACTAAAAAGCAGAGACTCTGTATTCCCAGCAATTAGCACATAATAGGAATCCAATAAATGTTTACTGTAGGTATTACAACATGCGAACTGAGGAATTCTAAGTTTGAGTTCTGCCATGTATTGGCTCTGTGAGTTTGGGCAAGTCATCTAATGATTCTCATTTTAAAAACAGTAGCAGCATGGCATAATGAAGAGATGATAGCTTTTTGTTAGACATATCTGGATTAGAAATATGGTTTCACCACCTGTCAGCCACTTGATTTTTTCTTTTTTTTTTTTTTTTTTGAGATGGAGTCTCGCTCTGTCGCCCAGGCTGGAGTCCAGTGGCACAATCTCGGCTCACTGCAAGCTCCTCTTCCCAGGTTCACGCCATTCTCCTGCCTCAGCCTCCCGAGTAGCTGGGACTACAGGCGCCTGCCACCACACCCGGCTAATTTTTTGTATTTTTAGTAGAGGCAGGGTTTCACCGTGTTAGCCAGGATGGTCTAGATCTCCTGACCTCATGATCCACCCGCCTCTGCCTCCCAAAGTGCTGGGATTACAGGCATGAGCCACTGTGCCTGCCCACTTGATCTTAACAAGCTTAACCTGCTAAGCATTAGCTTCCTTATTTGTAAAATGGGGATAATGATGACTTACATTTTGTCTGGCAAAAGACCTGTTATAAAGCAGGTACCAGAAAAACAGAAACTGTAATAACAGTAATATGATGAACATGATTATTTTTCCTGCAGGCCTCCCAATGTTATTGTTGGGTTGAAATGAAAAGATTTCTGTGAAGCATTCTGTAAACTCTAAAATACTATATAAATGTAAGCCATGAACATGCTTATTGAATAAATGGATTAATAAATGAACAAACAGATCATTTTGTTTTTATAGGGTAACATGAATCAAAGATCGGGGTGGGTAAAGAGAACATTTACAAACAGAAAAACCCATCCTTAAATAATAAAAATTGTTCCACAGTTTAAAATAAGTTTTATTACTCCTATATATTCTGAATTTCTCAGTAATTTTCATAAAGCCAATTCTCTACCTCAGATTAAATCCCACGTTCAAATCCAGAAGATGAAGGAGGGAAGGGGAAGGAAGCAGTGAGTAAGCAAACTGGTAGGCAACTAATCTTGGCTAATGCAAAGAATCTGATAATCATTTCAGTAAGTAAATACATGGACAAAGCAAAATAAATAAATTACTGCTAATAATTAGTGATTACTAATTACTGATTTAGTAATTATTAATTAGTCTGGGGTTCATAGATATGATAAAGATATATGCTTTTGTACTTTAGAAAAAAATCACAAAATACTTTATTAACTAACCTTCATTCTTTGTCAAGAGGGTTGGTAAGAAAAGTAGTGATTATGTGAGGGTTTAATATCCCCTTAGAAAGTATCTGAGATTTCTGACAACTGAGAGATATATAAATGCCATGGAAACATAAACTCCCTAAGCTATAAATGCTGAATAGGACAATAATATTTTCAATATAATTATCTGAAAAATCAAATGAAAATTTAATGTAGAATGCTTATATATTGTTTTCTTTTTCTGGAACTTCTTTTCATATAAACCAGTAAATTACTTGCATGTCTGTTTTTAAAATTATATTTTTATTACTAAAAAATAGCCAACAGTTATTAAGAACTTGTATTCAAATCCCTGCTTTCCTTTAGTAACAAAGTCAATAATCTGATGTAAGGTAAGTTATCTAATCATTCTCTATGTCCTTTAGCTTCAGCTTTCAAATGAGAATAATAATAAACATGAAAGTATAACAGTTGCTCAATAAGTGATAGTCATTATTATCTAAAATGCTAGTAGATTTTTAAAACTTTATGAAATATGTTTTGGTGGTGATTCATTCCCACTACTGCATCCTTGCATTTCATTACCACTGCTGCATCCTGGTATTAATATTTTGTACCTTAATATGTGTACCTTAATAATCTTGACATCAAAAAGGGGAGGCAAGGTTCAATCACAAAAGAAGAAAAGCAACCTTACATTTGCCACACATTAACTTGTAAGGGAAAAGTAGAGTGACCAAAAAAATTAACAGCTGCTAAACTTTGGATATTTTTAAGCAACTTCTCTAATACATGTAACACCTAATGATACTAATCCTACAGATTCAAACATTATGTCCTTGCCACTATAACTAGTAGAATAATGGGGAAGTTATTATGGGGAAGTTAAGAGCCTTACCTTTCTTCAAACAAACACTGAACTGAAAAGATCTCTGTTTTCCCCTGCCCCATGAAAATTAATTATTCAAACATCTATCTGCATTAAAGTGACTGTATGATTTTCTCACATTCTATAATCCCTTCCCCACATCTCAACTGCTTAACTTAGTATCTTTTTTGAATCTTCCCAAATTCTTACTGTTCCTCTTTTGCTCTCATGTAAGGAAAAAAAAAAACTCACATAAAATTAAATTGCCTATTTCTTTATCTACTCGCCTCTGTTTCTTCTATTTCATTATTCCAGATTTGGCTATTTGTCCCAAATTGCAGATTCTGATTAGTAGCAGGTTTACACATAATGAATGGGAATTTTTAAATATATAGTTGTAGCAGTTGTTATTTAAGTTAAATACCTTTGTGTTGTGTACTACTAGACTTGGATACCAAGATGATGCTATACTTTACATATTTTAATTCATTTATTCATTCAAAAGTATTTATTAAGTACCCACACGTTGGGCACTGTGCTAGGTGCTAGGCATACAGTGGTGAATGAGACACATATAGTCTCCATCCTCAATTTTATATTCAATGACTAAACTATACATAATGTTATAAATATAAGGACAAAATTTTTAAAAAATCCTTAACTATTTCTAACTCTTGAAAGTATTATAGTGGTTATGTGAGTTTTCTGGATAGTTGAGGAATCAACTGGTAGTATGCTAGAGCCAGCCTGTACTAGTTATTAAATTTTCAAGAATTTTGTAAGCCAACTGTTAAATAAAGCCATTATTTATTATTTGAGACAGGGTCTCACTCTGTTGTTCAGACTGGAGTGTAGTGGTAGGATCACAGCTCACTGCACCCTAGACCTCCTGGGCTCAAGCAATCCTCTAGTACCAGCCTCCTGAGAAGTTAGGACCACAGGTGCGCACCTCCACACCCAGCTAATTCAAAAAATTTTTTGTAGAGATGCGGTCTCACTGTGTTGCTTATGCTGGTCTCAAGCCCCTGCTCTCAAGCAATCCTCCTGCTTTGGTCTCCAAAAGTGCTGGGGTTACAAGCATGAGCCATTGCGCCTCGCTTGTCTATTAACTGTTGATGTACAAACCTCGTTAGATCTATTTTCACTGCTCTAAGTTCACTTTCTCTCACTTCCGGGTTTGAGGTAGTTCAGGATAGCTGAGGTTTTGAGAAAGTTAAGCTTAAACCAAACCACGCTGATGTGAAATCCTGAAAATAAACTCCTCAGCACAGACAGACAAAACTCTGAAATTTTAAGAAATGCAAGATGCTTACGAGAACACGTAACATTGAAGAGACGTTGAAACAACTAAGTGTGCATAGTTCAAAGATGCTTTAATGACTCTATCACGGAATTCCAGTAAATCCACTGCATCATTAAGAACATTACGAACCTAAACAAGGAAAAATAAAATACCAATAAACATTATAACATATCCAAATTTTATTTAGATAAGTTAGCAAGATTTTGAAACACAAAAAATTAAATGCACTACTGATTACCTAATCATATAAAAAAGAATTTAATAGAAACTAGGCATAAGATAGTATACCTAATATTAAAAAACCAACTGACAAAGCATAGATACAGAAAATCTCTTAGAAATAAGAAGAAAAAGACCTACTGAGATTTCTAACTTGCAAGCCAAACTTAATGATGTAGCAATGGAGTGATATAAAAAATATTCCAACACTGAGATATAGTCAAAGGAGGGTGGCATATTGAAGTTGGAAAGATTCTATGTGATTTCTGCCCAAAATGGTAAGAATATCTCTTTTTGGTGTTAGATTTTACTTTAAAATATACATTCTAAAAGTAGAGACATAATTGCTTTAAAAATCAAAAGTGGGGTAGGAGGTATTGGTAAACAAACCAATTGCATGGTGAAGAAGCCAAGCTGCAGGGAGTGGGGAAAGGTATTTCCATATGCAAAAACACAAAGACAGTGTCTAAAAAAGCCAAGCAGCAACTAACAGAGAGATTTGCTTATGACAGTCAGATTTATCATAAAATTTGTAACAGACTATTTTGCAAGGATTTTAATATTTGGCAGTTTTGGAAAAAAATCTTGAAGTTGATGAACAAACTGCAAGAAATTAAGAAAAATGTTGAGCAAGTTAAATTTACGTATCTCTGGTCAATAAAAGAATGGGAATGGCAGTATAGTTAAGAGGAAAAATATAGGGGAAAAAAGTAATTATACCTAGAAATTAGTACTGCTTTAAGTTCTCCTCAAAATGTTACCATTTTTCTAAATATAATGTGACAATTATAATATTAATGAACAATGAAAAGTATGGAAAGAAAAATAGAAGGTAAATCAAACTTCTTATAAGTACTTCAAAGAAGTACTTAGGCCTACTAGGCATTGCCATGATCTAAATGTTTATGTCTTAAAAATTCATATTTTGAAACCTAATCACCAACATGACAGTATTAGCAGGTGGAGCCTTTGGAAGGTTGTGAGCCCTTATGAATGGGATTGGTGTTCTTATAAAAGAGGACCCAGAGAGCTGCCTTGCCCATTCCACCAAGCATGGACACAGCAAGAAGGCACCATATATGAATTAGAAAGTAGGCCCTTGCCAGACACTAAATCTGCTGGCACCTTGATCTTGGACTCCCAGCTTCCAAAACTGTGAGAAATAAACTTCTGTTGTTTATGAGCTACCCAGATTATGGTATTTTGTTACAGCAGCACAAACAGAATAAACAGGTATGTTATGTCTTTTTACTATCTGCTCTCTAACTCCCATCTCCACCAAAATATTGACCCAGCAATCTCATTTCTAGAGTCCCATCCCAAAGATAAATAAGCAAAACTATAAAATAACATATGCACAGACTATCACTACAGCACTATTAGTAATAGCAAAAGACTGGAAATAGCCTAAATGTCTATTGATAAGGGACAGGTTGTATAAACTATGATATAGTCACACAGGGGAATATTATACAGCTATAAAAAGGAATAAGGAAGATCTATAGATGTCCATGAGATGTAGTAAAGTGAAAAAATGCGCTAGGTGTGGTGGCTCACGCCTGTCATCCTAGCACTTTGGGAGGCCAAGGCAGGCAGATAACAAGGTCAGATCGAGACCATCCTGGCTAATGCGGTGAAACCCTGTCTCTACTAAAAATACAAAAAATTAGCCAGG
Source organism: Homo sapiens (assembly GCF_000001405.40). Classification (NCBI taxonomy): domain Eukaryota; kingdom Metazoa; phylum Chordata; class Mammalia; order Primates; family Hominidae; genus Homo; species Homo sapiens. Next base: position 160,309,547 of record NC_000003.12, read on the forward strand.
CGTGATGGCAGGCCCCTGTAGTCCCAGCTACTCAGGAGGCTGAGGCAGGAGAATGGCATGACCCCGGGAGGTGGAGCTTGCAGTGAGCTGAGATTGTGCCACTGCGCTCCAGGCTGGGCAACAGAGCGAGACTCCCATCTCAAAAAAAAAATGCAAGATGCAGAACAGCGTGTATAGTATGATACCTTTTATCTAAGAAAGGGAAGAATATGAAGATATATGGATTTGCTCACATTTAAAAAAAAAACAAGAAATCTTAAACAGTATTCAGTAACATATTATTAGAATAATATTAATATTGTTATTTTCAAACTATATTTTAGGATATAATGTTTTCAGGAACCAAAATTTTCTGGTCAGAGAGAGTTACTCTTAAAAAATCAAGAGTAAAACTCTATAATCTTAAATTTAAATTAGAAACAGCATAAACTCGTGATGTATTTTCATCGGTCAAAAACAAAAGCATTTCTTCCCAGTGTAGACTCAAGTAAAAACGAAAAAAAAATTTTATCTAGAAGTAATGATCAAATCAGTAGCAATGAACACACGTTATTTACAGATCTGATTGTGGTCTATAAATAACATTTCCTTCCAAAAGGAGCAAGGCCCTCATGGAAAAATGGTTGATTCCAAGTCTAGATGGGAAATGTACAAAAGAAGCCTGAAACATCTTGTCACATCAGAAAGCAACGAAGCTATTGAAATCAGTCAAAAGAACATAGGAGCCAACTGGCCAAAGATGAGACAATTTGAGCATTAAAGAGAATAACCACGATGGGTTGAAACACACAGAAAATGTTAAAATCTACAAGTTTATCATGATAACATCAATGACAAGAAAAAAGAAATTCACTGGGCATGCTAGGAAACCAACTTATTACTTGAAAACTGGCAAACAGGAAAATAATTCAGCATTTGTTACCATTCCCCACAGGGTAATCTAATGGTTGAGGAGGCAAACAAAGTCTTTTATAGGAGAATTCTAGCTAATAAATGTGGAAGGAATCACAGAATTACAATGTTACTATTTCACAACCCCCAATGAAAAATAGGTCTAAACAACTATCATTAATGGCAGCTAAAAACATTAAGGTACAAAACCCAGTGGGAAGCTATATGATAGATGAATCAGGTTTATAATACCTGAACACGCTGATCAAATCTTAATACCACTAAAAGAGAGACAAGCAGACATATGTGCCTCCTGATGTGATGCAACAGGAAGTGCACAGCATCACCTAAGGCTCTAAACCCAATGACCAGTCTAGAGGAAACACAGGATAAATGAACATATTAATTGTAATCAAGGCTGGGCATGGTGGCTTATGCCTTTATTCCCAGCACTTTGGGTGGCTGAGGTGGGCAGAGTTCGAAACCAGCCCAGGCAACAAGGTGAGACCCTGTCTCTACAAAAAACAAACAAAAAAAATTAGCTAGGTGTGGTGGCAGACACCTGTGGTCCCAGCTACTCGGGAGGCTGAAATGGGAGGATCGTTTGAGCTTGGGAGGTCAAGACTACTGTGAGCCATGACTGTGCCACTGCACTCCAGCCTGGGTGATAAAGTGAGAGCATGTCTTGAAAAAATAAATACATAAATAAGTAAATAAAAATAAATAAATGTAATCATACCACAAAGATGGAATCAGTCAAATACAGAATGTGGGAAATTCAACAGAATAACCTGTTCCTTTAACAAATAAATTGTAAGTAAATAAATAATAAGAAGTTGTTTCAGATTTAAAAAGACTTAAGAGACAAATTAAATGCAATGTGGGGCTTTATTTCCTGATAAAAACAAACCAACTAGAAAAATATATTTAGAAAATAATTGGAGAAATGTGATCTGTTACTGTAGAAAGACGTTAGGAAAAGACTGGGGAAATGCGAATGTTACTATGGTAATGTTAAAATGAAAATAGTTCTTATCTTTCAGACTGTTTAAAAAGAACTTAAAAAACAATTCCAGAACTAGTGACAAAGAAAAAGACACGAATATTTTTGCTCACCTCTTCAAGGAGTAGGAGGAATGACTGTAAAGAGGGGAGTAGTCTGATGACAAGTTTCAAAGGAGCTAGAGTTTTTTAGGGAAGAGGAGGTTGTAGTGGTCTAGAATCAGCAGGAGTAAGGAAGACATCTAACCAGATCCAGCGATATGCAGCGCATCAAAGAAAAACACCTCTACTTGAGAAGGCTGGAGGAAAAACACTGCTCTCAGTAGTCAGGTGTTGTTTTTTGTTTGTCTGTTTTGAGATGGAGTCTCGCACTGTCTCCTGGGCTGGAGTGCAATGGCGTGATATGCGGCTCACTGCAACCTCCGCCTCCCAGGTTCAAGCTGGGGCTCTTCCGCCTCAGCCTCCTGAGTAGCTGGGACTACAGGCGCCCGCCACCACACCCGGCTAATTTTTTTGTATTTTTAGGAGAGACAGGGTTTCACCGTGTTAGCCAGGATGGCCTCGATCTCCTGACCTCGTGATCCACCTGCCTTGGCCTCCCAAAGTGCTGGGATTACAGGCATGAGCTACAGCGCCCGGCCAGTAGTCAGCTGTTGTTAATTAGAACAAGAATGCTCTTAGTGAAATGGCTGAGCTTTGTCTGCAAGGCCACAGCTATATGACTGCAGGTTGTGTAGTGCACAACTCTGGGTCTATGTGAATGGTGCCCTCTGGAACTGAGCAGGCCGCTGACTGCAGGTGGTGTCTTCAAATTTCCTAGGCCTACAACTACACATATGAAGCCCCATGTAGCAGGTGGCTGTAGATTTTTTTGGTCTCCTTTCAGGATGGAGAGAAAGGAGCTACCTCATAGACCCCCAGGCTCTGATTTCAAACAGACACTTGGATCTAGTCCCTTGTCTCACTTCAAGTATTAATACTTTCAGTTTCCTTAGCCAGCAGGAGCAACTTTCCTCACTGCCTTTCCTTGCCTGCTTCTGGACCTGAAGTAGGTCTGAGACTCCACGCTGTATTTTTGTTCTGTTTCTGGTCCACAGAGATCTTTATCTTGTGTTTGAGTCCAGATGAGTCTTATATATATATAATATATATAATAAATATATATTATATATAAATATATAATATATATATATAATAAATATATATTATATATAAATATATAATATATAATATATATAATAAATATATATTATATATAAATATATAATATATAATATATATAATAAATATATATTATATATAAATATATAATATATATATAAATGTATATTATATATAAATATATAATATATATATAATAAATGTATATTATATATAAATATATAATATATATATAATAAATGTATATTATATATAAATATATAATATATAATAAATATATATTATATATAAATATATAATATATAATAAATATATATTATATATAAATATATAATATATAATAAATATATATTATATATAAATATATAATATATAATATATAATAAATATATATTATATATAAATTAATATATAATAAATATATATTATATATAAATATATAATATATAATAAATATAATATATATTATATATATTTTATATAATATATATTTTATATATATTTTTTATATATATTTAAATCTTTTGGTGCCAAAAGTATGTCTCTTCCATGTATGAATTAACACCATTTTCACGAGAAGTCTGAGCTCTCAGAGATTTTTTTTTTTAAAGATCCAAAATGCCATCTTCTAGAAACAGTTTAAAGCTAGTAGAATGATATAAAAACTTTAAAGGGAAGTTGTATGTTAGTTTCTTTATAGCAACATGCTATCTATTCAAACTGCCTGCAAACTTTCCTAAACAAACAGGTTTAAGAAAATTCAACATTTAAAAATACAATTAATTGTAGAGGCCTCTAACATTATTAAAATTATAGATAGATTTCTTAAGATCCATATTTCCCTAAAGCCTCACATGGAGGAATGTCCCTTTTTGTGAATCTGGTACACTTGAACCAAACCAGAATAAAGCATCCTAGCCATAATAAGAAAACTAAAGGCACTCTAGTAATTGCTGTTATAGTTTCAAAACTATGGCAAATTCCACATCAGAAATGTTCTGTGCTGAATTTTTTTTTTTTTTTTTTGAGACAAGAGTCTTGCTCTGTCACCCAGGCTGGAGTGCAGTGGCGTGATCTCAGCCCACTGCAACCTCTGCCTCCAGGGTTCAAGTGATTCTCCTGCCTCAGCCTTCTGAGTAACTGGGACTACAGGCACAAGCCACCACGCCCGGCTAATTTTTTGTATTTTTAGTAGAGACGGGGTTTCACTATGTTGGTCAGGCTGGTCTTAACTTCTGACCTTGTGATCCACCCGCCTCGGCCTCCCAAAGTGCTGGGATGATAGGTGTGAGCCATCGTGCCCGGCCTCTGTGCTGAATTTTAAAATACACCTATTACTCTGTTCAACTCAGGGCAGCTCCAGGATTAATTTCCTGATATTCGCATCACCTAATTCTTCTATATGATCACAATATTTAGACTCCTCAGATTGACATAAGTCTAAACATTCTGTTTGCACATTTGCAAAACACTCATTTAATCCTATAGCTATAATCATAATCATAGCAATAGCTATCATTTTTGTTTTACATATATTATCTCATTTCATCTTCAATATTACTCTATTATTAGCTCTTATTTTTACAAGACATAAAATGTCCTGTAAGAATTAAGACACTTTTGAACTTTGATGACTATTAAAAGCCAAATTTATACCCCATCCTAAAGTTAGAGTGGCAGGAGAGAAACAAAGGTAACTTTGGGACACTAGAAATGCCTCACCCTTTGTACCTGCACGCTTTCCCTCCTAGGCACTTCCTTCTAACAGAGACATCAAGGATCTCTTTTGGAAAGAATTATCCACTGGGCTGCTTCCTGGAGGCAAGAGGCAGATTAAGAAACTTTTTCACTACAGGCTATCATGTCCCACAAAAGCTGAGGTTCAGAGAGACGGTAGGGCAAATAAGTCTACTGTAGGAAAACAGCACCAGCAGGTCAAGGTGTAGATTTAACAATCATGACTCAACATGATCTCTGGTTTCTGAGTTAATGAAACACGGATAAACCAAAAGCCAAAGAAGCCTCTAAGGAAACTGTAAAATTCTAAGTTGGGCAAACAAAAACAATTGCGATTGTTTAGTCTCACTGAAATCCTGTGACTCCACCTTGCAACAAAAGTGGGCTGTTAAAAAGTACAGCCCTCAGAAAGCGAATCCTCCCAAGTGTCCAGAGAGATCTTCCCAGAAAGGCAAACTAGAGTTAACAAACTGACCAAGCAACTACTTTGTTGCTAAGAGAGTTCTCAGGATATTCTTGGTGTAAAACCAAAGAAAATGACTGGAGGCGAGCCTCAATCAATTTATAGGTTTATTTTGCCAAGGTTGGGGATGTGCCCAGGAAAAAGGAACACAAAATCACAGGAACATCTGTGATCCATGCTTTTTCCAAAAAGGGTTTGAAGAGCTTCAATATTTAAAGGGAAAAAAAGTGGGCAGGAGGGGAAAAAAGAAGGAAGGGAGGGAGGGAGGGAGGGAGGGAGGGAGGGAGGGAAAAAGAGAGAGAGAAAGAAAGAAAGAGGAGGGAGGGTATGGTCACATTCTTGTGAGGTTTAGATTAGAGCTCACTGAATCCACATGTTGCAAGTGAAAACAGGTACAGGGATAGTCAACTATGTATTCCCCCTGCAGTGAATCTGAATTTTTACATAAGATAAACACAGAGCAGAAGAAGCAGTGAAATATGCATTGTCTCCAGTGAGCAGAGGGATGACTTCTAGTCTTGTCTTTCTCCCATACCTGTGAAGATAAGCTGTTAATTTACATTGTTAGGGTGAAACTCAACAGAACTCTGTTTTAGGGTAAAGATCTTGGGGCCTACAGGGAATTTACTTGTGAGCATATTGTAAGGGAAGCCCTCTGGGGAGGTATGTGTTCTTCTATCTTTGCAGCTACCTACTTAGGAACAAAATGGGAGGCAGTTTTGCATGACTCAGTTCTCAAGCTTACCCTTTCCCTTTGACATAATGAGTTTGGGGTCTCAAGATTTTTATTTTCCTTTCACACTCACCAGCTGGATTTTAGCTATAAATGGGTAATCACTGTGTGTTGTTTTCCTTTCTCCCCTTTTCCAAATTGTTTTCATTGCAGCCACCCTCTTTTCCCTTTGCCATTGTAAACTGGGAATATGGAGAGTGGGAGGGGAGGGGAGAAGAATCAAAATACATATTTATGTATAGTTTTCCAAACCAGAGAGTTGGAGCTGGATGCAATAACCATAGAGTCTAGGTTATCTTTTTTTTAGAAAGGGGATGGGTTTGTTTTCAATCACTTATAAAATAGCTGCATGATAAAGTAGTATATTTCTGAATCATATGTATAAGAGTAGGTTGAATATGTATCCATATATATGAATAAAGGAAGCTTGTAAGGTGACTCCCAATGATCCCTGCCTCCTGGTATTCAAACCCTTGTGCAAATCTCTCCATTTAATGTGGTTTGGACCTAATAGCTTGCTTCTAGTAAATAGAATATGGCAACAGTGATGAGATGTCACTTCTGAGCTCGGGTTATAAAAAACTGTGACTTATGTCTTGCTTGCACTCTCTCTGGCCCTTCCTGCTTGCTCTGCTAAAGCAAACCACCAAGTTGTGAGCTGCCCTATGAAGAGGCCACATACAAAGAACTGAAGGAGACCTCCAGTAAATAGTCAAGAAAAAACTGAGGCCCTCAGGTGCAAATGACACTGATGAACTGAATCTTGCCAACCATCATGTCAGTGAGCTTGAAAGCAAATCTTTCCCCAGTTGAGCCTTCAGATAAAACTAAAGTCCTGGTCAATGCCTTGCTTGCAGCCTTGTGAGACTGTGAAACAGGGGAGCCTGTTAAGCCATGCCTGGATTCCTGACTCACAGAAAATGAGAGATAATAATTGTTGCTGTTTAAGCCACTATGTTTAGGGTTATTCATTATGCAGCAATAAGTAACTAACACAGTACAGCTGCTAAACAGCTCAAGGATAGACTATAGCATATATCTATCTATCATTTTTTGTCTGCCCAGAATCAACTGACATCTTTTCTCATAAATATACATTGATTTTCCTTTAGGAAACCATTCCTTCCACTCTTCTCAGTGACTGGCTAGATGGGATTGACTCATTTTCCCCTGCCTCTCCCTGACTAAATACACTTGACTCAGGCTCAGCATATGAAATCCAAGGCTGAGATTTCTCCTGGAATTACTAGGGAAAAAAAAGCACTCTTTCCGCTGAACTTGGAGTTGGTAGAATGTCAGCCTGGAACTACCAAGGCCACAAAATAGAGCCTTTCTGAAAACTAAGACAATTACAGAGAAAAGAAGAGTTGAGGAAGAGAAAGAGATGAAGTCCTCTTGGCATTATTTAAGCCTCTGAACCAATAATGCCTCTAAGTCAGTCTGTCTCTTAACTTCACAAGAATCAATAAATTTCCTTTTTTTCTCTTCATTTTTCACTTTAAATCAATTACAGCTGAATTTATGAAAAAAACATTTTCAAGATAATAATCTAGGGGGTCCATAAAAACAAGGACCAAATCTGTCTTGTTCACTTCTGTATTCCTCATTACTTAGCCCAATGCCTGGCAAGTAGGGATCACTCAATAGATACCCATTGAATTAGTGAATAAAATCATTCTAAGAAGAAACATGAATAGGCCTAACTTAGCAAAAATGCAGTCAAATGTTTTATAATCATGGAGAAAGTAAAACCTCTTTAAAAAAATAAAAATAATGTTCTAGTTTAAAACTTTAAAAATTTATAAATATTATTTTAAACACAAAGACAATTTAGATTAGATAAGCCATTTAAGCATTTCCACGGTTCATCTTATTTCACATAAAAATCCTCCATCACTAGGATAATTCCTTCTTATTATGAAAGAAGAACTCCTCTTTCTAGATATGGTCTCATGTTGGGGCATTTCTGTAATTAAGGCTAAAACTTATTTTAGCACTACTATATTAGCTATAAATATAATATTATACCCCAATTAGTTGATTAGAACTCACAATGGATTCTATGTCATATACAGAATATTATAATGGTTTAGATCCCAGGTTAATTAGAAGAAATATACATTAAACCATCATCTAGATCCTACATCCTTCTTAAAGGAAACACAGAAGATAGAGGGACATGTCAAATCACATGATGGAGATACAATCAGCCCAGTCCAGACTGAGAAACTCTACCAGACAGATAACTTGGTTCTTCAACAAACAAAATGCAGGACAGAAAACAGAGATAGAAGGGGACTCTTCAGACCAAAAGAGACTTAAAAGATACATCAGCCATTGCAATATGTAAAACTGGATCCTGATTCAAACAAAGTTTTGTGGCATGTAGGAAACAACTGGACATTTAAACACTTTGTGGATATTTGATAATATTAAGAAATTATTATTATTATTATATAATATGATAATGGTAGTGTGGTTATATTAAAACAGAGTCCTTATCTTTTAGTTATATATACTAAAATATTTATAAATGAAATACAATGTCTGAATTTGGGGAGCAAGGAAAGTAGATAGGACATGGACTGGGCAGGCTTAAGCATGAACTAGTGATTACTGGGGCTGGGTGATGAGTACATGGGGATTCAGTATACTAGTCTGTGTGTGTTTTAAATTATCTAAATAAAAAGTTTTATAATTTTAAAATAAATAAACAGAATAAAGAAAAAGTATAATATACCGAATTATTAGTAATCTAGTGACAATATTATCCAAATTTTAAAATCTGGATATGTGGGCTAACAGAATATTTGAATAGACCTGCCCATGCTTCTAAATTTTTATAGTAATAATATGAATTATGAATACTGAAGATAGAGGCAATTGATACAGGCAAAAGGAATAAGAGGAAGGTCGAATCCTTCTTTTTGAGGATTTGCATTGGCACATGGTACTTTGATCTTCTCCTTGTACCTTTCTTCAACTAATTATTAATATATTAAAGGCAAGGCACTGGGCTAGAGGCCCTGAAGGAGAGACAAAGATGAGCCATGAAGATACTTGTGCCCTCCCACTGATATCCTTTGACCTGTAAAACATTTCTCCCCACTTCCCACTGCCACATCCGAACCTTCTTGTATTAATCTACAAAATATTTCACTTCAAAATTTTCTTCTGATGGGACTGAGGATACACTATACCAAAATATGGCACTATGGCATACTGAATATTTTAAGCTAAAGGAATTTGATAAAACAAGAGCAGCAGGAGGTCAGTCTGACCTTCCTCTACTCTTCTTCCCTAATACAGGTCATAAAACCTAGAAAGGATTTTCTGACCTTTTCCTGAAGCAGGTCATAAGACTCTCATGTGAGAGGTGCCCTCCCTATACCCAGAGGAAAGTTATATCCTTATTTCTGAAGACACAGGGACACAGAGAAGAATCTAAACACACAGGTCTTGCTAAATTTCCCCCAGCTTATTACCACTAGATCATACTTTTTTTGCCCTATTGTGTATCGCCACAACTGTCTACTCTTCATCAAATGTAGCGTAAAAGCACACAGCCTTAACTGTTTCTTCAGGTCTACATTTCCTCAGGAAGGCTCCAGTGTCATGTAAAACTTACATTAAATCAATTTATATGATTTTTTCTTATTAATATATCTTTTGTTATAGGGACCTCAGTCATGAGCCTAGGATGGGTAGAGATATTTTTCTTCCCCTACACTTCCTAATTCCCAATAAGAACTTCCTATACCATTTTCCCATTTTGACTCTCCTTAGGTAATTCTTAAAATAAAATTTAAAAAAATCAGGTTAAATAAGTTCATCCAATTACAAATAAGTAAAACAATTAACCCTGTCAGTAACTGGCAGATTAGGCCTGCCTTGGATTCAGCTCCAGGAGTCAAATCCAACATGCTCCTGTTTGTTACAGCTTTTTCTCTCCTTCCCTCACTGAATCCACATATTTCCTCCAGGTTTCCAATTTCACTGTATTTGTCCTAAATGCATAACTGAAGTAGCTTTGGGCATTCAGGTTCTATATCTGTGAAAGGTTTTTATGTCAGAGAAAGTGACTAATGGAATAGTTAAAATATTTCTAATGTGACTGAATTTTTATAAGCTTGACTAAATATAATTAATGAAGATAATTCCATATTCTGTACAGTTAACTAATATGAAAAGAAGCAGGTTTAATCAACCTTGGAACATAATAATACCTGCATGGCTCTTCTTTTCGTTAATGTTACTTGAAAATTTTTCCACTCCCAATGTTGTTCCACCACATGTGCAAAAACGACATGTCCATTTCCACAGGCTCCAGCAATCTGAGTGCCATCGATAGACCATGCAATATTAAATATGCTGCCAGTGTTGGGTTTTTCTAATGCATATGACCACTGGGGGAGAAAAAACAAGAAAAAGATGGACTTACTGAAAAAAAATTTTTAGGAAGTTTTAAATCAGGCACATGACAACGTAATAAGATCATTTTTAAAAGAATGTCTATTCTGGAATTATTATTTTTCTTAATAAAATTATAGTGTACTGAATGGAAAATACAGATGTAATTGTTGAAGTCCACAGTAGAACATCATGCTAAAACAGTGTATGAAATATCTCAAGAACTGTAAAAAACCCACATCATCTCAATGTTTACTATTCCTTTTAAGTAATAATACTTAATAGGTAAACACAAAGATTCTGTAGAAAAAACAAAGACATCTTACTATTCATTCCTAATATATAGTCTCTACATCTAAAAAAATTTCTCATTACAATATTTTAAGAATGTCACAAAACAATTGAAACTCAACACACAATGTAACTAAAATAGCTCTGACCCACATCTTAAATCATGAAATTACACGAAACTGGATCTATTTCTTTTCTTTTTTTTTTAACAGACTGCAGTGAGTATAACCTCTCCTAGAACCTATCTAACTGTCTGAGAAAGTTATCTAGAGATATCAATAAGCATTAAATAGGACAAAAGAGATTCTTGTGTGTGTGTCTATAAATAAGACATAAGAAAAAAACAAACTTTTTAATACATGGTATTATATGCACTTGTTTCATTTTTCAGATGCAACATATGTTATTTGCTAGGATGATTAATTTGACTAAACTTATATACATATTCTCTTTTCATTCTTCCAGCCTTACAGCGTATAATCACAGTCTTGATTTTGTTGTTGTTGTTGCTCTCGGCTGGATATATATACATATATATATTTTGTTTGTTTGTTTGTTTTACATTATTTTTTTCCAGAAATACTCATTATTAGCTACAGGCTCACTTTGACAACAAATCTAGGGGAATGGAAAAATATAAAGATTTACTAATTGATGCTATTACAAAACAAGACTTTAAAATTCCTAATGAAAGTTCATACATAACATAAAAATACTGAAAGGCTCTTCAACCACTCACTGACACTCTTTTACAACTCTCCCCACCCTCCAACTTTGGAGCCACTAACTGTTGCTTTAATGGCTTCAGTAAAGGCCTAATAATAAAGTTACCAAGGAGAAGATAATGAACAAACCATAACCTTTGCTTCATCAGCAGTATGAAAATACTAGAAACTTCCTTTTAGAAAATTAAGAAGAATCAATTAAAAAAATACATATAATATTTGAAGTCATCTTTTGAAAATAACTGTAGAAGACTGGGAACTTCAAAGATACTAATAACCTGCTTTGGGCGATAAAATGAAATTAATTCATTTGTGTTTGACAAACAAGAATTATGAAACATTACATGAATACTATTTTACATAAAGATTAAAAGTGGTTGATAATGACAAATAAGACTTGATATATTAACATATAGGCTTATGGCATCTCTCTCTCTCTTTCTAAATCTAGTCTATCCTCATGGTGTAGAAGAAACAGAGATCTTAGTTTAATTTCTATTTTAAAACCATACATTCATATAACAGTCCTTCCTTAACCATGGGGATAAGTCCCAGGATCCCCAGTGGAAGCCTGAAACTATAGAAGGTGCTAAAACCTATGCATCCTATGTTTTTTTCTATATATACATACCTATGTTAAAGTTTAATTTATAAATTAGGGAAAGTAAGAGATTAACAATGTCTAATAATACAATAGAACAATTATAAAAATATACCATAGTAAAAGTTATGTGAATGTGGTCTCTATTTCTGGAAATTTCCATTTCTGACTGCAGTTGACAGAGGGTAACTGAACTCACAGAAAGAGAAACTGTGAAAAAGGGAGGACTACCAAATTTAAAGTATGGTTTTATTTTTTATTTTTATTTTTTTATATGTGAAAGATTCATTTTATTATTTAATCTGTGCATAATTTCAAGGACATTGATGGAGAAAGATGCTCTTTCAGGACAGCCAAGAAGTATCAAGTTAGGCCAGCAGTTGCCCTGAGCATGCTTGTTTAAGAAAGGAGATCTGACAGTAGAAAGGGTCATTGTCAGCTTGTTATTTATTTATTTATTTATTTATTTATTTATTTATTTATTATTATTATACTTTAAGTTTTAGGGTACATGTGCATAATGTGCAGGTTAGTTATATATGTATGCATGTGCCATGTTGGTGTGCTGCACCCATTAACTTGTCATTTAGTATTAGGTATATCTCCTAATGCTATCCCTCCTCCCTCCCCCGACCCCACAACAGTCCCCAGAGTGTGATGTTCCCCTTCCTGTGTCCATGTGTTCTCATTGTTCAATTCCCATCTATGAGTGAGAACATGTGGTGTTTGGTTTTTCGTCCTTGCAATAGTTTACTGAGAATGATGATTTCCAATTTCATCCATGTCCCTACAAAGGACATGAACTCATCATTTTTTATGGCTGCATAGTATTCCATGGTGTATATGTGCCACATTTTCTTAATCCAGTCTATCATTGTTGGACATTTGGGTTGGTTCCAAGTCTTTGCTATTGTGAATAGTGCTACAATCAATATACGTGTGCATGTGTCTTTATAACAGCATGATTTATAGTCCTTTGGGTATATACCCACTAATGGGATGGCTGGGTCAAATGGTATTTCTAGTTCTAGATCCCTGAGGAATCACCACACTGACTTCCACAAGGGTTGAACTAGTTTACAGTCCCACCAACAGTGTAAAAGTGTTCCTATTTCTCCACATCCTCTCCAGCATCTGTTGTTTCCTGACTTTTTAATGATTGCCATTCTAACTGGTGTGAGATGGTATCTCATTGTGCTTTTGATTTGCATTTCTCTGATGGCCAGTGATGATGAGCATTTTTTCATGTGTCTTTTGGTTGCATAAATGTCTTCTTTTGAGAAGTGTCTGTTCATATCCTTTCCCCACTTTTTGATGGGGTTGTTTGTTTTTTTCTTGTAAATTTGTTTGAGTTCATTGTAGATTCTGGATATTAGCCCTTTGTCAGATGAGTAGGTTGCGAAAATTTTCTCCCATTTTGTAGGTTGCCTGTTCACTCTAATGGTAGTTTCTTTTGCTGTGCAGAGGCTCTTTAGTTTAATTAGATCCCATTTGTCAATTTTGGCTTTTGTTGCCATTGCTTTTGGTGTTTTAGACATGAAGTCCTTGCCCATGCCTATGTCCTGAATGGTAATGCCTAGGTTTTCTTCTAGGGTTTTTATGGTTTTAGGTCTAACGTTTAAGTCTTTAATCCATCTTGAATTAATTTTTGTATAAGGTGTAAGGAAGGGATCCAGTTTCAGCTTTCTACATATGGCTAGCCAGTTTTCCCAGCACCATTTATTAAATAGGGAATCCTTTCCCCATTGCTTGTTTTTCTCAGGTTTGTCAAAGATCAGATAGTTGTAGATATGCGGCATTATTTCTGAGGGCTCTGTTCTGTTCCATTGATCTAAATCTCTGTTTTGGTACCAGTACCATGCTGTTTTGGTTACTGTAGCCTTGTAGTATAGTTTGAAGTCAGGTAGCATGATGCCTCCAGCTTTGTTCTTTTGGCTTAGGATTGAACAACCTGCTGCTGAATGACTACTGGGTACATAATGAAATGAAGGCAGAAATAAAGATGTTCTTTGAAACCAACGAGAACAAAGACACAACATACCAGAATCTCTGGGACACATTCAAAGCAGTGTGTAGAGGGAAATTTATAGCACTAAATGTCCACAAGAGAAGCAGGAAAGATCCAAAATTGACACCCTAACATCACAATTAAAAGAACTAGAAAAGCAAGAGCAAACACATTCAAAAGCTAGCAGAAGGCAAGAAATAACTAAAATCAGAGCAGAACTGAAGGAAATAGAGACCAAAAAAAACCCTTCAAAAAATTAATGAATCCAGGAGTTGGTTTTTTGAAAGGATCAACAAAACTGATAGACCACTAGCAAGACTAATAAAGAAAAAAAGAGAGAAGAATCAAATAGATACAATAAAAAATGATAAAGGGGATATCACCACCGATCCCACAGAAATACAAACTACCATCAGAGAATACTACAAACACCTCTACACAAATAAACTAGAAAATCTAGAAGAAATTGATAAATTCCTCGACGCATACACTCTCCCAAGACTAAACCAGGAAGAAGTTGAATCTCTGAATAGACCAGCAACAGGATCTGAAATTGTGGCAATAATCAATAGCTTACCAACCAAAAGGAGTCCAGGACCAGATGGATTCACAGCCGAATTCTACCAGAGGTACAAGGAGGAACTGGTACCATTCCTTCTGAAACTATTCCAGTCAATAGAAAAAGAGGGAATCCTTCCTAACTCATTTTATGAGGCCAGCATCATCCTAATACCGAAGCCGGGTGGAGACACAACCAAAAAAGAGAATTTTAGACCAATATCCTTGATGAACATTGATGCAAAAATCCTCAATAAAATACTGGCAAAACGAATCCAGCAGCACATCAAAAAGCTTATCCACCATGATCAAGTGGGCTTCATCTCTGGGATGCAAGGCTGGTTCAATATACGCAAATCAATAAATGTAATCCAGCATATAAACAGAACCAAACACAAAAACAACATGATTATCTCAACAGATGCAGAAAAGGCCTTTGACAAAATTCAACAACCCTTCATGCTAAAAACTCTCAATAAATTAGGTATTGATGGGACATATCTCAAAATAATAAGAGCTATCTATGACAAACCCACAGCTAATAGCATACTGAATGGGCAAAAACTGGAAGCATTCCCTTTGAAAACGGGCACAGGACAGGGATGCCCTCTCTCACCACTCCTATTCAACATAGTGTTGGAAGTTCTGGTCAGGGCAATTAGGCAGGAGAAGGAAATAAAGGGTATTCAATTAGGAAAAGAGGAAGTCAAATTGTCCCTGTTTGCAGACGACATGACTGTATATCTAGAAAACCCCATTGTCTCAGCCCAAAATCTCCTTAAGCTGATAAGCAACTTCAGCAAAGTCTCAGGATACAAAATCAATGTACAAAAATCACAAGCATTCTTATACACCAATAACAGACAAACAGAGAGCCAAATCATGAGTGAACTCCCATTCACAATTGCTTCAAAGAGAATAAAATACCTAGGAATCCAACTTACAAGGGACGTGAAGGACCTCTTCAAGGAGAACTACAAACCACTGCTCAATGAAATAAAAGAGGATACAAAGAAATGGAAGAACATTCCATGCTCATGGGTAGGAAGAATCAATATCGTGAAAATGGCCATACTGCCCAAGGTAATTTATAGATTCAATGCCATCCCCATTAAGCTACCAATGACTTTCTTCACAGAATTGGAAAAAACTACTTTAAAGTTCATATGGAACCAAAAAAGAGCCCGCATCGCTAAGTCAATCCTAAGCCTAAAGTATGGTTTTAAAACACTGGAAGAACCAAATCAGCCAGAAAGGAATGTCTTACTAAAATTAAACAGAAATATTTATCTAAGAACTTACAGATGCATGATCCTAAGAGGAGAAAATGAAATGTTTAGATAATAGTATATCATCATCCTATATTCAACTGATTTCCTTTACAGTCCACATGAACCAACAAAAATAAAATCTGCAACATGCAACTTATCCCTGAAAACACATCTCAGGGAATAAGATTGAGTATCCTTTACCTGAAATGCTTGGGAGCCAGAAGCGAATTTTGAATTTCTTCAGATTTTGAAATATTTGCATATACATAAAAAGATATCTTGAGAATGAGACCCAAATCTAAACACGAAATTCATTTATGTTTCATATATATGTTATACACATAGCAGAAAGATAATTTTATATATTTCTTATAATTTTGTACATGAAACAAAGTTTTGTAAATGTTTTGGTTGTGGCCTGTCACATGAGGTCAAGTGTTGGAATTTTCTACTTGTAGCATCATGTTCGTGCTCAAAAAGTTTTGGATTTTGGAGTATTTTGGCTTTTGAATTTTTCAGATTAGGAATGCTCAACCTGTATAACAATATTGTGATAGTAACGTTAAATTAAATTCTTACATTAAAAATTTTTAAATTTACAACTTAAAAATTATTTTAAATGTAAGCATTAAAAATTAAAATTTCATCACCCAGGTATTAAGCCCAGTACCCATTAATGATAACAAACCCCCATAATACAAGGTTACCTACATAACAAACCTGCACACGTACCCCTGAACTCAAAATAAAAGATTAAGAAATAAATTAAAATTATTTCTCTCTGTTTTAGATTACTCTAGTAATAAAACAATATAATCAAAACCTAATCAGCAGAGAATAAGTCTTTAATAGTTACTAAAATTGGAGAGACATACTGGAACTATTCCAAAAAATTAAAAAGGAGGCACTCCTCCCTAACTCATTCTATGAGGTCTGCATCATCCTGATACCAAAACCTGGCAGAGATACAACAAAAAAAGAAAACTTCAGGCCAATATCTTTGATGACCATCAATGCAATAATCCTCAACAAAATACTGGCAAAGTGAATCCAGTAGCACATCAAAAAGCTTATCCACCATGATCAAGTAGGCTTCATTCCCAGATACAAGGCTGATTCAACATACATGAATCAATAAATGTGATTCATTACATAAACAGAAATAAAGACAAAAACCACACGATTATCTCAATAGATGCAGAAAAGGCTTCCGATAAAATTCAACATCCCTTCATGTTAAAAACTCTCAATAAACTAGGTATTGAAAGAATACCTCAAAATAAGAGCCATATATGACAAACTTACAGCCAGTATCACACTGAAAGGGCAAAAGCTGGAAGCATTCACCTTGAAAACAGGCACAGGACAAGGATGCCCTCTCTCACCACTCCTATTCAATACAGTATTGGAAGTTCTGGCCAGAGCAATCAGGCAAGGAAAAAAAAATAAGGGTACTCAGATAGGAAGACAGGAAGTCACACTATCCCTGTTTGCAGATGACATGATCCCATTATACATCTAGAAAACCCTATCATCTCAGCCCAAAAGCTTCTTAAGCTGATAATCAACTTCAGCAAAGTCTCAGGATACAAAATCAATGTGCAAAAATCACTAGCATTCCTATACACCAACAACAGACAAGCAGAGAGCCAAATCATGAATGAACTCCCATTCACAACTGTCACAAAAAGAATAAAATACCTAGGAATACAGCTAACAAGGGAAGTGAAGAACCTCTACAAGGAGAACTACAAACCACTGCTCAAAGAAATCATAGATGACACAAACAAATGGAAAAACATTCCATGCTCATGGATAGGAAGAATCAATATCGTGAAAATGACCATACTACCCAAAGCAATGTATACATTAAATGCTATTCCCATTAAACTACCATTGATATTCTTCACAGAAATAGAAAAAAACTATTTTAAAATTCATATGGAGCCAAAAAAGAGCCTGAACAGCCAAGACAATCCTAAGCAAAAAGAACAAAGCTGGAGGCATTATACTACCTGACTTCAAACTGTACTAACAGGGCCACAATAACCAAAACAGCAAGGTACTGGTACAAGAACAGACACAAAGACCAATGGAACAGAATAGAGAACCTAGAAATAAGACTGCACACCTACAACTATCTGATCTTCAACAAACCTGACAAAACAAGCAATGAGGAAAGGAGTCCCTATTTAATAAACAAATTTAATAAATGGTGTTGGGAGAACTGGCTAGCCATATGCAGGAAAGTGAAACTGGACCCCTTCCTTAAACCATATACAAAAATTAACTCAAGATGGATTAAAGACAAATGTAAAACACAAAACTATAAATACCCTAGAAGAAAACCTAGGCAATACCACTCAGGACATACGCATAGGTACAGATTTCAGGATGAAGGTGCCAAAAGCAATTGCAACAAAAACAAAAATTGATAAATGGGATCTAATTAAACTAAAGAACTTCTGCATAGCAAAAGAAACCATCAACAGGGTAAAGAGACAACCTACAGAATGGGAGAAAATTTTTGCAAACTATGCATCTGACAAAGGTCTAATATACAGCATCTATTAGGAACTTAAACAAATTTACAAGAAAACAAACAACCGCATTAAAAAGTGGGCAAAGGACATGAAAAGATGTCTTCTCAAAAGAAGACATATATGGCCAACAGTCATATGAAAGCAAGCTCAACATCACTAATCATTGGAGAAATGCAAATCAAAACCACAGTGAGATACCATATCTCACACCAGTCAGAATGGCTATTACTAAAAAGTCTGGCCGAGTGCAGTAGCTCACACCTGTAATCCCAGCACTTCGGGAGCCTGAGGCGGGTGGATCACTTGAGGTCAGGAGTTCAAGACCAGCCTGGCAAACATAGTGAAACCCTGTCCCTAATGAAAATACAAAAATTAGCCAGGCATGGTGGCAAGCACCTATAATCCCAGCTACTTGGGAGGCTGAGGCAGGAGAATCACTTGAACCCACAAGGCGGAGGTTGCAGTGAGCAGAGATCGTGCCAGTGCACTCCAGCCTGGGTGACAGAGGGAGACTCCATCTCAAAAAAAAAAAAAAAAAAAAAAGGTCAAAAAATAACGGATGCTGGCGAGGTTGTACAGAAAAAGGAATGGTTTTACACTGTCGGTGGGAGTGTAAATTAGTTCATTGTGGAAGACAGTATGGCAATTCCTCAAAGAGCTAAAAGCAGAACTATCATTCGGCCCAGTGATACCATTACTGGGTATATACCCAAAGGAATATAAATTGTTCTATTATAAAGACACATGCAGCTATATGTTCATTACAGTACAATAACAAAGACATGGAATCAACCTAAATTCCTGTCGATTACAGGCTGGAGAACGAAAATGTGGTACATATATGCCATGAAATACTATGTAGCCATAAAAAGGAATGAGATCATGTCCTTCTCAGGGACATGGATGGAGTTGGTGGGACATTATCCTTAGCAAACAAACACAGGAGCAGAAAAAGCAGAAAACCAAATACCACATGCTCTCATTCATAAGAGGGAGATAAATGATGAGAATACATGGACACATGGGGGGACAATGCACACTGGGTCCTACTGGAGGGTGGAGGGTGGGAGGGAGGAGAGGATCAAGAAAAATAACTAATGGATACTAGGCTTAATACCTGGGTGATGAAATAATCTGTACAACAAACTCCTATGACACACATGTTATCTATGTAACAAACCTGCACATCCTGCATGTGTACCCCTGAACTTAAAATAAAACTGGGGAGACAGGGTTGTATTTTTCCAATCAGTAAACTGAATAATTTTTATTGGTAAATAAAAAAGATCTATTTATCATGTGTGCTTTTAAAGAGATTTTTTTAACACTCTAATTCTCTTCTCTTCCCCAAATATGCCATGAGATACTTGGTTCACATTTGTATTACTACCCTCTAAAAGGGAATGAGACAGCTGCCCTGGGTGTAATTTAGTGGTACTGGCAGTGAGAACCCTGGTAGATGAATTTTAAATATCCCTCTTGATGGGGCTCAGAACACACTGCCTCCAAAATATGGCACATCGACACAGAGAACACAGTAGAAGCAGGAATGTCATTCTCTAACCTTCTTTCACCACTCTCCAGAGGCAAGTCAGTTCATCAAGGGAGAGGTACCTTCCCTGTACTGGGAGGAAAGGAACATCCTTATCTCTAAAGACACAGGGATGCAGAGAAGAAGAATCTGAACAGAAAGGCTTTGCTAAATTTCCCCTAGTTTATTAGCATTAGATCGTAACCTCTTTGTCCAATCATACTTTTGCATGACTGTTCATTTGTAATAAAACCTAAGCATAAAAATACACAGGTTTCCCTGTTTCTTGGGGGGGTCTTCATTTCTGAAGGCTTCCATGTTATGTAAAGTTTGTATTAAATAAAATTGTATGCTTTTTTTTTCTTGTTAATCTGTCTTTCGTTATAGGGTCCTCATCCATGAACCTAAGATGGGAAGAAGAGACATACTTTTTCTCCCCTACACTGTTACTTATCTTACTTATCTCTTTCTTTGACCAGACTCTCACTTTAAGATGTTACTCAAAGTGTGCAAGCCAGCAGCATCAACATCATGTGTGAGCTTATTAGAAATGTAAATTCATGGACCCTACCCCAAGCTATTGAATCTGAATCTCTGGAGAGGAGAGACAGGAAGCTTTTAACAAGCTCTTGAGATAATTCTTATGCACATAAAGTTAGGATACTTGTTATCAATGCTAGCTGCACATTATTATTATCTTAGAAACTTTAAAACAAAAGAACAACCAAAACCCTGGCTCTGATCCAACCAATTAAATCCAGAATCTCCTGGGGGTAGGTCTGGATGTGTGTTTAAAAGTTCTCTAGGTGATTTTAATAAAGAGCCATTGTTTCAAGAGAAGAGCAAAATTTGTAATTTGGTTTATCATTAGCAGCTGGCTCTCTGACAGTACCTTACCAACTCGTCTGCTAACTATTAACACAATTATACAACCTTTTCTTAGCCTCTAAACCAGCTTCTCCTAGGTATGTGAATATCTGGCTTCTTATATTCATAACCTAATTTTCTTCTTTTGCACTTTTTATTTCTTTGAATTTCAAACATAAACTTAAGTAGGAATAATAATACAAAGCAGTGGTTTTCAAACTTCAGTGTGCATCAGAGTTACCTAGGATTGTTAAAATGGATTCCTGGGCCCGACCCCAGAGTGTCTGATTTAGTAGATGTGGGCTGGGGTCAAAAAATTTGCATTTCTAACAAGCTCCAAGAGGGTCCTGAAGCTACTGGGCCAATGACCACACTCTGAGAATGACTGGCATAATAGACCCCCATTTACCTGTTACCCAGTTTCCAACAATTATCAACTAATGGCTAATTCTCATCTCCTCTGTACCACCATCCACTTCTCCATGGCCCAGATTATTTGAAGCAAATCCCTAACATATCATTTCATCAATAAATATTTCAGTATACAGTAGTCCCTTCTTGTCCACAGGGATAGGTTCCAAGACCCTCAGTGGAGGCCTGAAGCCACAGATAGTACTGTACTATCTATATAACACTATGAACAGATTTATTTTTCCTCCTTCACAATTTCATAGATAGAAGATTCATTTTTACCATAGATGTTAGCAACCTCAGCCTACCATCTTTTTCTAATTGAGAACTTTCACCTTTTCACTTAAAGGAAGCACTTTATGGCTTCTCTTTGGCACACTGAATTGCTAGCATCCCTACTTTTGTGCTTTGGGGCCATTATTAAGAAAAAGGGTTACTTGAACGAACACAAGCCCTGAAATACTGTGACAGTTGATCTGATAACTAAGCCAGCTACTAAGTAACTTACGGGTGGGTAGTGTACAGAGTGGATATGCTGGACAAAGGGATGATTCATGTCCTGGGAAAACAAAGTAGGATGGCTTGAGATTTCATCATGCTGCTCAGAACAGTGTGCAATATAAAACTTATGCATTCTTTTCTCTAGAATTTCCCTTTAATATTTTCAGATCATGGTTGACCATAGGTAACTGAAAAATCATGAAAGCAAAACCACAGACAAGGAGGAACTACTATATATCACTAAAAAGACAAAGACTTTTAAAACCCAACTTCAATATGTCATTAAGTCACTGTTCAAAATTTCCCAATTGTCATTTTTTTTCCAGTTTGTTTCAATCAAGATGCAAATAAGGTATAACCACTATGTTTGATGGGTAAGATCTTTATGTTCTCTTTCCACATCTTTTTACCCTTGTAATTTTTTTTTTAAGACAATGTCTTGGTCTGTCATCCATGCTGGAGTACAGTGATGCAATAATAGCTTACTCTAGCCTCAATCTCTCAGCTCAAGTGATCCTCCCACCTCAGCATCCTGAGTAGCTGGAACCACAGGTGCATGCCAAGACATTGGGATTTTTATTTTTATTTTTAGTAGAGATAAGGTCTATGTTGCCCAGGCTGCTCTTGAACTCTTGAGCTCAAGTGATCCTCCCGCTTTGGCCTCCCAAAGTGCTGGGATTACAGGCATAAGCCACCACGCCTGGCCTCTCCTTGTAATTTTGTGGTTGTTGAAGAAACTGGGTCATATGTCCTATAAAATTTCCCAGTCTGGATTTTGGCTTCTGCATTCTCATGGTGTTATTTAACATTTCCTCTGTCCCCTTTATTTCCTGTAAATTAGTAGTTAGATTTAGAGTCTTGATCAGATTCAGGTTCCATATTTTTGGAAAGAAAACTTCATAGGTGATGTTGTATACTGTTGTAATTTGTTAAGTGAGGTATTTAAGTTAGGTTTTGTGTGGCACAGTGAGGAACATTCAGACTGGAATGGTGGAAAGATTAGGTTTATTACTCATAGATCTAAGTGAGAAGGCAGAGACAATGGGAAGGTGTGGGGTGTCATCAAGAACATGAATGCTCAACCAGCAGGTGGGGAGCAAAAGAGAGAGGGTGAAACCTTTGGGTGGAGGCTTTTATTGGTGTGCAGGGTGTTACCTAGGTGGGTTTCCCCTGGCAACCCCTAGTGGGGTTGTTTGAAGGGAGCACAAGGATAAGCACGGGAACTTGGGGATTACATTATTAGGTTCCTAACACTTAAAAGTAGGTGATCAAACAGTTTGGGATATGGGGCCTTATCTATCTAGAAGATGAAATGCTAACTAGATGGAGACTATCTCAAAATAGGTGGGTCAAAAGTCAGGGGCAAGACAACAAAATGGATGCTGGGACAGCATTACATAAATAAGAGTTATGACATGTACTTCCAGTAGGAAGCAATTAATGTCTGTTGCCTCTCTTCTTATGCTTTTAATAAACGACGATCATTGCCTACATCTACTAATTCAGTAGGGTTGCAAAATGGGTAATCTTCTAATGTTTTCTTCACTTACTAACTGCAATAGTTTTAGAAAAAGAAGTATCTTCTCATTACCTATTTGGTTACCCTGGGGTATATATATCAAAGGCAGGATAAATTCTTGATTATTTCCAGTTAGTTGCCATCATGTGTTGCTTAATGAAGGGGATGCATTCTGAGAAATGGGCTATTAGGTGATTTCATCATGTGAACATCATAGAGCGTACTTATACAAATATAGATAATATAGCATCTAGACTATATGGTATAGCCTATTGCTCCTAGGCTACAAACCTATCAAGCACCTTACTGAATACTATAGGAAACTGTCACACAACGATAGTAGTGTACCTAAACATACCTAAACACAAAAAAGGTATAATAAAATACATCATTAAAACATAAAAAATGGTATAACTGTACGTGACACTTACATGAATGGAGCTTGCAGGCTTGGAAGTTGTTCTGGGTGAGTCAGGAAGTGAATGGTGAGTTAATGTGAAGGCCTGAAACACTACTGCATACTACTATCAATTTTATAAACACTGTATACTTAGGCTACTAAAGTTATTAAAAAAATTTTTCTTTCTTCAATAACAAATTAACTTCAGCTGACTATAACTTTTTTCCTTTATAAACCTCTTAATTTTTTAAACTTTTTGACTCTTGTAGTAACACTAAACTTAAAATAAAACACGTTGTGACAGCTGTACAAATATATTTTCTTTATATCCTTATTCTTTATGTTTTTTTCTATCTTTAAAATTTTTTGTTTTGTTTTTTACTTTTTAAACTTTCTTGTTAAAAACTAAGATGTAAACACACACACAGCCTAGGCCTATGCAGGGTCAGAATCATCAATATCACTGTCTTCCACCTCTACATCTTGTCCCACTGGAAGGTCTTCAGGGGCAACAGCATGCATGAAGCTGTCATCTCTTATGATAACAATGTCTTCTTCTGCAATACTTCCTGAAGGACCTATGTGAGGCTGTATTACAGTTAACTTCTTTTTAAAATTGAAGTACACACTAAAATAACAATAAAAAGAATAGTATAAGAAATATATAAACCAGTAACACAGTCATCTATTATCACTATCAAGAATTATGTACTGTACATAATTGTATGTACTGTACTTTTATATGGCTGACAGCGCAGTGGTATGTTTACACCAGCATCAACACAAACACATAAGTAATGTGTTGTACTATGATACTAGGATGGCTATGACATCACTAGGCAATAGGAATTTTTCAACTCCATTATAATCTTATGGGACCACTATCATATATGCAGTCTGTCACTGACCAAAATGTTATTATGTGGTACATGATCGTATCACTTTTCAAAAATATAGATTTGAATAGTGACTAGATACTTGATGATACTTAAAAATTACTGTTAATTGTTTTCAGATTTAATAATGGTACTAAGGTTAGGTTAACAACAGACTGTGCTTTCAGTGATATATACTAAAATATTTAGTGACAGAATGATAGGATGCTAGGGATTTGCTTAAGTGGGTGGTGGTACAGATGAGATATGTTATTAGTTGATAATTGTTGGAAGTTGAGTAATGGGTAAATAGGGGTTTGTTATACCAGTTGGTATATACACATTTGATGTGTTTCACTAAATATGATGCTCAAATTGGCTCGCTTTTTTTTTTTTTTGAGACACAGCCTTGCTCAGGCTGGAGTGCAGTGGCACGATCTCAGCTCACTGCAACCTCCGCCTCCCAGGTTCAAGCAATTCTGCTGCCTCAGCCTCCAGAGTAGCTGGGACTACAGGCACCTGCCAGCATGCCCAGCTAATTTTTGTATTTTTAGTAGAGACGGGGTTTCACCATATTAGCCAGGCTGGTCTTGAACTCCTGACCTTGTGATCCGCCCTCCTCAGCATCCCAAAGTGCTGGGATTACAGGCGTGGGCCACTGTGCCCAGCTCAAATTGGCTCACTTTTAGCCTGTGAGATCTCTTTCAAGTTGGGTTTTTTGTTTTGTTTATTTTTTAGTCTTCTTGACAGACTCTCATAGCTTTTTTTTTTTTTTAAAGACAGTTTCCTTGTTTTCTAGAATGATAAAATGTCCACATTCATATTTTAGATTTCCTGACTTACACAGGGAATTCTCAGTGAGCTCTGGTTCATTTTATAAAAATGTGGAAAATATTATTTAAAGAATGCCCACAAGTGCTTGGATACTATTATTGAGTTGATCATTGCTTTTCTAGGTCTTTTTAGTGGAAAGAAATAGGTAATTTTTTCAAGATAAAAAACAAACTCAAATACTTTCCATTCAAATCCAGGAACTATCGGATTTCTACTTACCCTCACCAGTCTTACCCCAGGATCTCCTTTAATTAGCCAAAAAAATCCTCTTTTTTTTTTTTGAGATAAGAGTTTCACTATGTTTTCCAGGCTGATGTCAAACTCGGTTCGGCAGAAAAATCCCAATTCTTTTTTTCTTTTTTTTTTTTTTGAGACGGAGTCTTGCTCTGTCACCCAGGTTTGAGTGCGGTGGCACAATCTTGGCTCACTGCAACCTTTGCCTCCCAGGTTCTCCTGCCTCAGCCTCCCGAGTAGCTGGGACTACAGGCACCCGTCAGCACACCTGGCTAATTTTTGTATTTTTAGTAGAGACGGGGTTTTGCCATGTTGGCCAGGCTGGTCTCAAACTCCTGACCTGAGGTGATCCACTCGCCTCGGCCTCCCAAAGTGCTGGGATTACAGGCATGGGCTGCCATGCCTGGCCCTAAAAATCCCAATTCTTAAGACACCAATATAGATACTCAGAATAACACTATTAATACCACAAACAAATGATTATAAAAGAGTTTAAAACTTCTTTTTGCATTCTATTTTTCCCTTAGGCAAATTTTCTTTTAAGCAACAACTTTATTCAGATGTCACATATTATATAATTCATCCTTTTAAAATATAGAATTCAGTAGTTTTTAGTATATTCAAAGTTGTGCAACAATCACCACTATCTAATTTCAGAACATTTTCATCACCATAAAAGGAAACCCCATATCCATCAGAAGTCATTCCCATTCCCTGCATCCCTCAGCTCCTAGCAGCCATTAATCTACCTTTATTTTCTATTTTGATTATTTCATATACATAAAACACTACATTATGTGGCCTTTTGTGTCTGCCTTCTTTCACTTAGCATGTTTGTTTTCAGGGTTCATCCATGTTGTAGCATGTATCAGTACTTTATTCTTTTTTACTGCCAAATAATATTCTATTGTATGGATAGAACATAGTTTGTTTATACACTAGGCAGTGGATGGACACTTCAATTTTTTCAGCTTTTTGGCTTTTATGAATAATGTTGCTATGAGCATTTATGTGAACATACGTTTTCATTTCTCTTGGGTATATACCCAGGTATGGAATTGCTGGATCTATGGTAACTCCATCTTTAATGTTTTGAGTAGCTGCCAAACATTTTCCAAAGTGGAGGGGTTACTTTCTACTGGGTCTCCTGTGAGCACCAGGAGCAGACAATCAAATAATTTAAATCACTGAAAATAGTTATCCTATGAGAAGTTATGCAAATAAGTGAATCCACAATTAGATCCATTTGTTTCATTTACTTTTGAGGTTTAGGAATTGCTTTCTAAAAAGTTAATTTTTATATAATTATGTAAAATATTTAAATGATTCCAAAGCTGAATTTACAAGAAAAAATATACAAAATATAGTCAAATAAGTCTAACTTCTATTCCTTTTCTCTCCCCCATTTCCTCCCTCTCTCTATAGATAACAATTTTTTATTTTTGTTTTATCCTCACATCTTTCTTCAACATGTGTGTATGTGTGTGTGTGTGTGTATCCATAGCAATATGTCCCAGGGATCATCTATTGTAATATATGAAGATACACTTTCCTATATAGCTATTGACAGTATGATCAATATGTTTCACCTCAGCTCTATCATTTTATGTAATATATATGTCCATATATCTGTGCCTTTCAAACAGTCTTATTGTAGATGGTCTGTTCTATTTGCTCTCTCTCTTTTTCTGGGATATATTTTAGTATTCAGGAAAGTTTCCATTTTTAACCTAATGATTACATTTATGCTAATTACTTTTATAAAAATACTTTATCCCCATGCCACACATTTTTTAGGGCAATTTTCTATTTGTTCTCCACTATAAGCAATATGAAAATTAAAAGACAGCCTTTTTCCCCTCCTCTCCTTTTCTCCATATCTGATTTTAAGTAATAACCCTTTTATTACCAATTAATATCTATAAGTCAGTCAGCAAATTTATTCTACTTTTCATATACTCTTTTTCATCCTCTTCCTATTTTTGCAATGTTGGTGTCTACAGCCAATATACATACTATGCTGTATCTTTCACATCCACCATTTTATCTTAGTTCTACAGATGAATATAAAATGCTCACAATCAGTCCTGATTTTACTATGTCCCTAGTCATATTGTTTATCTGAAGCTAATTCTCTAGTCGATTCCTCAAAATATTTATGAAAACATTCCGTGAGTTCTTACATGTTTATAATAGTTTGATTATGACCTTTATATTTAAAGGTAAGAATGAGCCAGGCGTGGTGGTTCACGCCTCTAATCCCAGCACTGTGGGAGGCTGAGGCAGGTGGATCATGAGGTCAGGAGTTCAAGACCAGCCTGGCCAACATGGTGAAACCCCATCTACTAAAAATACGAAAAAAAATAGCTGGGTGTGGTGGCAGGTGCCTGTAATCCCAGCTACTGGGGAGGCTGAGGCAGATAATTGCTTGAACTTGGGAGGCTGAGGTTGCAGCGAGCTGAGATCGTGCCACTGTACTCCAGCCTAGGTGACAGGGTGAGACTCTGTCTCCAAAAAAAAAAGGTAAGAATAGTTCTATGTAAAATCTTCGGCTTGCCTATTTTTTCTTTGAGTATCCTATATTAACCTATTGTCTTCTGACATAAAATGTTGCTATCAAAGTCTGATGATGTTCTGATTTTCTTCTTTATAAGTGACTTGGTCTTTTCTTTAGATGGCCAAAGTGTTTTTTTCCCTTTTCTCTAAATTCTTATAGTTTTCTTAGCATATATCAAGTGTTAGCCATCTGGGTCAATTTTCCTAATTATCTGCATGCCTTTTCAATATCAATGTCAAATTCCTTATTTTGAGGAAATATTTATTGAATGGTAGCTTTTAGTATTTCTTCTATTCGTTGCTTTGGGCGTCATCTTTGCAGACTCCTATTATATGTACTTTGGATCTTCTCTGCCTAAATTCTCTATCACTTTCTATCAAAACTTTTTATCTCTTGAGACTTCAGGTTCTAAAATGGCAGCATAGAAATAAGGTGGCTTCAACCACACCCCTCACCCCAGAAAACCAAAAACAATTATACAGCACCAAGATTACCACCAGCAATATCCTAGAACTCAAATATGAAGATAAGATAGTTCCTAGGGCATGGATAAATGAAAAAACTCTGAGCAGACAGAGAACTGGACTTCCATATCAGTGACACCCTTTCCCCCATTGGCCTGGCACCAACTGCACAGAAAAATTTGCCCCCAGGCTGGGTGCAGTGGCTCACGCCTGTAATCCTAGCACAGGCATCCACAAGGGAGGAGGATCCTAGGCTGTAATCCACAAGGGAGAAGGATCACTTGCATCTAGGAGTTCAAGACCAGCCTGGGCAACATAGTGATACCCTGTCACTATAAAAAATTAAAAATTAGCTGGGCTTGGTGGTATGTGCCTGTATTCCCAGCTACTCAGGAGGCTGAGGTGGGAGGATTGCTTGAGCCTGAGAGGCTGAGGCTACAGTGAGCCATCACTGCACCACTGCACTCCAGCCTGGGCAACAAAGTGAGACCCTGTCTCAAAAAAAAAAAAAAGGGACCTGAAGGAGATGAGTGAGAACCCATGTGTGTATCTGGAGAAGGGCATGGTGACATGGAGAAGAACATGGCCCTGGGATCTGGACCTTACTGACCACTGATCTTTGAAAAATCTCTCAGACTGTATAATACCAATCTCTTCTGGCTCTTGCTCTCCTTTCTAAATGCTGCTTCTTTCTTTCTTTCTCTTTTTTCCCCTACATTCTGCTCCCTAGAACAATATTGGAGAAGAAATATAATTTCTCCTCAACCCTTGTTAAGTTTATTGCTGGGATAAACCACTGTAACAAAAGATAGATTAAAAAGAGAAAAACAAGCAAGTTTACTATTATGTGCAGTGTACATCACGCAGAAGAAATCTCAATGAAAGGTAACTCAAAACAGTGTCTTGGAACTCCAGCTTACCTAGCATCTTCAGGATGCTATGTTTCTGGAATATTGATAATGTTCTTTATTAATATGGGTGGTGGTTTCTTGGATATTTACATATGTAAAAAATTGAGCTGTACACATAAGATACTGTATGTAAGTAATATCTCTATTAAAAACAACAACATGCTGCCTCTGCCATTATCTTTCCCCCTCAAGCTATTTTTATAGAAATTATAGTCAGCCCTTGCTTTCATTGTTTAAGAGTATTTTGAGACTACAACATAATATTGAGCTAAAATAAGTATATCAATACCAAAATGTAAAAAATGTCCAAAGACAAAAACTTGGAAGGTAGACAGAAAAATTAAAATATTTTGTTATGATTATGGGTATTATTTTTTCTAGCTTTCTGTTTTCATTATTTTTGTTATACTAATTTTTTGCCACAAATTTCTCCAAAATATAAGTTTATCCTGTATATCTAATTAAACCACTTACCACAATTTTTGTCTCCAAAATGTGGTAAGGTTTTCTATTTTTCTCTAATTCTATACAGCAAATTGCAGCTAACACAGTTTTCTTAGGCTACAGAATATGAAAAAGTAAACAAAGATTATTTTTGGCTTCGTTTGATACAAATAATTTCTAAAAACAAAAAGTGGGTAAGCAAAACATAGAAGAAAATGGAAAAAGTAATTATAAAAGAAGTTTACAGGACACAAAAGTGTTCTGTATTAACAATATGATAGCCAACTAAAACACTAATGTTATTTTGAGGTGCTTGTTAAGTAGCACTATATCACTGAACATGAACATAACAATCAATTGCTGTTAGCTTTTGAAAGATTTAGCAACGTATTTTTGTCTGAAGGGAGGGCAGTCTTGAAAAAGTGTGAGACTGACCAATTTGGTTTTTAGCTGTGGGCAAATATCACTGGCATATCCCCAAATATCGAGTACCTTGAGGGTGTTCTACAACTAGCCAAAATCTCTCCATAAAGGGCCATCTCCTGGGCAAAAATATTCTATGCCTCTTTTCACATGCTCTAAAGTCTGCTCTCAGCTAGCCAAGTTACTTAGAAAAGGACCTGATAAAAACAAGTTTAATGTGTTACTCCCATGATACTATTATATTTTAAGAAATAATTTCTTAAATCAAAGGAATAAAGCTAGTGAGATAATTTTTTTTATCAGTAAGAAGAAGGTGAAATCCTCCCCAAGTTATCTACCTACATGACTCATTGCTAACACTGGCCCTAAAAGGCAGTTACAAAGATATAGTTTGTATCTTTGCAGGTATATCTGCAGTGTTCTATTAGTGCTGTAACAAATTACCACAAATTTAGAGCCTTAGAAAAACATAATTTGATTATCTTGCAGTTCTCTAAGTCATAAACACAATATGAGTTTCACTGAGCTAAAATCAAGGTGCTAACAAGGCTGCATTCCTTTCTGGAAGCTCCGGGAGAAGGACCATTTCCTTGATCATTCAGATTGTAGGCAGAATTGTTTCTTGCAGCTGTATGACTGAGGTCCCCATTTCCTTGCTGGCCATTCATAGTTTCTAGAGGCCACCTGCATTCCTCGGCTTGTGGTCCACTTCCTTCACCTTTAAAGCCAGCAACAGCAGGTGCAGCTGCTCTTACTTTGAATCTGTCCTTCTTCATCCACTAACCCCCAGCTAGGAAAAGTTCTCTGCTTTTAAGAACTCATGTGATTATATTGGATGACTGGATAATCCAGGATAGTTTTAGCATCTGAAGGTCCCTACCCTTAATCGCATCTGCAAAGTTCCTTTTGCCATATTAGGTAACACATTCACAGGTTCTGGGGATTAGCATATGGGTATCTTTGGAGGCCCATTATTCAGCCAGTCATGAAATTGCATTAGGAAGAATATAGCAGTTAATTTGGGGATTATAAAAGCATATTCCTTTTTTCTAAAGATTCATATTTAGATATGAGCATAAACACATAAAATGATATTTTTACTACCTTTTTTTTTTGTTTTTGAGACAAGTTTTCACTCTGTCACCCATGCTGGAGTGCAGTGGCACAATCATGGCTTACTGCAGCCTGAGCCCAGGCAATCCTGCCACTTCAGCCTCTTGAGTAGCTACAACTACAGGTGCTTGCCACCACACTTGGCTGATTCTTTTCTGGTACTTTTTGTAGAGATGGGGGTCTCACCATGTTGCCCAGGCTGGTCTTGAACTCTTGGACTCAAGAAATCTGCCTGCCTTGGCCTCCCAAAGTCTTACCACTTTTTAAACGTAGTTTGCGATTTGTGGTTTTGGCTTTCAAGGACTTATTAACAATGATTAAAAAAAAAAAAAACCTAAATAATAATTTGACCATGTGACCATGTTGTCACCAAGTGGTGGTAGGAACTTGGCATGTGGTACTGGATTATTAAAGATATCCAAAAGAAAACATTTTAAGTTATTGAAGAAGTTGCTTTTAAAAAGAAAAAAATTACCAAAATAGGTGCACCTACCCCAACCTGCCTAGACACAACTCATTAGACCAGGCATGTGTACCAAACCTAAGCTGAGCCAGTGATCCCTTCCCTGAGGGAGCGTTTAAAATTGGGACTAAGATTCTTGTCTCAGCCTTACTGCTCTCTCAAATAAAAAAAAATGTACACTTTAGAGTTGTTAACACTGGTCACTTTCCAGCACATAAACTGAGGTGGGTAAAAAAGGTCAATCCACTGGAAAAGAAAAAAAGGACCTGGATATACAGACAGAAGCAGAGACAAAAGAGACAAAGAGAACAGGTACTTTCTGTGTTCTCCTAGCACTCCAGTTCCTGTTTCCTGAGATCTGGCTATATCCTTTCCCTGGCTTCTGGAAGGTATCCCTGTATCCTTATAACCAATTCTCCTTTTTACTTAATGGTTTCTTCTACTTGCATCAACTAAAAGAAAACATAGAGTAAGTTTGAAGTCATAAGATCAGCCACACTTCTCCAGCACTGCTTGTGTTTTTCTCACTTCTGGCATACCACTGCAGTGTTGCCTCTTCCTATGTAATAACTTTATATTTAAAAACAAAGAAACAATCAACACACTAATACTTATAAGAGGAAGCAAGCAGGATGTCCGATGCCCATGGAAAAGGTATCATAGAATCGTGGAGTTGAAAAGAGAGAGTTAATCATTTAGCTTAGACAATTTATTTTGTAGATGAGAAATGTAAAGACCCAGAAGAGGCCTTTGACTTTGTAAACTCACCGCTGGAGTCTTGACTCCAGGCTTTACAAACATGCTAATGCTACTCTTACATTAAAACGAAATAAGCAATCATACTAAACAGCACAATATAGAGAATAACAATTCAGAATGTTTTATAAAGTGTTGATATATCAAAAAGTGATACATTCCTTTGAGGGAAGAGACTATTTTTTTCCTTCTGTATTCTGTCAAATTGCTTAGGCATGCAGGTTATTTCCCAACAGGGAAATAAATATTTAAACTAAAAAACATGACTTGACTATAAGGACTTTTAAAAGTATCTCTTCAATGCCAACCTCACCCTTCTCTTTACTATTCCTGTATAAATATATTACATTGAAAGGATCCTCAAAAGGATAATCTTTGGCTCTTTCTGCCATCTTGGAGCCTGTGGAGGCCTGCTGGGAACAGGATGTCTAAAAGGGAAATATGCTGGAAGGCTGTGGTACAAGACCATGTTTGCTTGCTCTAAGTGGGGTCTCCAGAACCAAAGGGAGTATGCAGCTCTTCTTAAAGTTGAAGGCGTTTATGCTTGAGATGAAACTGACTTCTATTTGGGCAAGAGATATGCTTATGTATATAAAACAAAGAACAACATAGTGACTCCTGGTGGCAAACCAAATAAACTAGAGTAATCCATGGAAAGATAATTTGGGCCCATGGAAACAGTATCGTGGTTTGTGCCAAAATCCAAAGCAATCTTCCTGCTAAGGCCACTGGACACAGAATCTGTGTGATGCTGTACCCTTCAAGGATTTAAGCTAATGAAAAGTAAATAAAAGTGGATTTGTGTTCTTGGGGGGAAAAAAAGCATAAACTTTGGCCAATTTCAATAAATTCAATTCATAAAATTGTACATTCACAAAGTAAGTTTAAGTGGAAAAAAAATAGATGCAAAGTTTCTTACATTCATTTAGGGCACATTAACTGATGTTTAGGACCATTTACTGCAGATGGTAAGTCACTGCAATTATTTTAATTGAAAAGATGAACAGGGAGATGCCTTTTTATTATAATGCTTAAACGAATATTCAAAGACAGAGAAAATGAGAATCACAAAAAAGTTATCTCTTACACAAGCAATAGCACCACCTGCTGATAGATAAAAGCAACAATGTCAGTTAATTAAAAATAAGGCCAAGTACTTTGTATATTTAGATCTTTCCCCTTGGATGCTATTGTTTAATATAGTATAATTCATTAATATATTGTACAATTTATTTATAATAACTATGTTAATTTGAACATTGGTGCCCTTACAATTGGAATCAAGCATTTCTTAAAAATCAAAGGTAAAAATAAAATTTATTATGTAATATAGAAAACATTATAGTACTATGACTTTTAATTTTTATCCCAAAGGTAATTCATTTGTACCTTATTTATTTTACTTACCATCCAGTAATGTACAATTAGTTTCTATATTTGTTTTTATATTTCCTGATCATCTCATTTAAAAAATGCCATCTCCTTCGCCCAGCTTAATTTTTATAGCACTCATTACCATTTAAAATATGTTACTTTTGCTTGTTTATAGTCTTTCATCTGATGGAATAAAAACTGTCAACAAAACAGAATTTATTTTATTTATTGATTTTCTTTAACAACTAGGGCAAGTACCTGGCATCTAACAGACTCTCAATAAATATTTGTAAAAGAATTGATAAATATGAAAATAAATGAACAAATTAATATGCAATGCATTTTTATACTTCCTTGAAGTAATAGCTATGTCAAAAGTTTCAAAGCTCTTGACAGATTTTACCAAACTATCCTTGAGAAAGGCTGTACCAGTTAATGTTCCCATCAATGTTCTACAAGGAGCCCCATTTTCCCATTTCTGATGAATGGGAATGGCATAACATTGTAATTTTTATGTGCATAAAACTCATTGCTAAAGAGACAACATATTTTGCATTTCTGGGGGTATGTACCCTTCTTTTATCCTTTGCTTTTTTCCAATTCCAGAATTTCTATTACATTCCTTTTGTATAATTTCTATCCTTTTACTGGTATTTTCTATTTGTTCAGACTGTGATCTGTTTTCCTTTGGCTCTTTGAGCATATTTAAGATCACTGATTTAGTCTTTGTCCAGTCTCTTCAACAAATGGTGCTGGGAAGACAGGATATCTATATACAGAAGAATGAAACTAGACCCCTATCTCTCACCATATACAAAAATCAAGTCAAAATGGATTAAAGTCTTAAATCGAAGACCCAAACTATGAAACTACTAAAAGAAAGCATTGGGAAAAATCTCCAGCGCTGGTCTGGGCAAAAATTTCTTGAGTAATACTCCACAAGTACAGGCAACCAAAGCAAAAACGGACAAATGGGATCACATCAAGTTAAAAAGCTTCTGTACAGCAGAGGAGACAATCAACAAAGTGAACAGACAACTCACAGAATTGGAAAAGATATCTGCAAACTACCCATCTGACAAAGGATTAGTAACCAGAATATATAAGGAGACCCAACAACCCCATGGGAAAAAAATCTGATAATATGATCAAAAATTGGGCAAAAGATCTGAATAGACATTTCTTAAAAGAAGTCATACAAATGGGAAACAGGTATATGAAAAGGTGCTCAATATCATTGAGCATCAGAGAAATGCAAATCAACACTACAATGACATATCTCACTACAGTTAAAATGGCTTGTATCTAAAAGACAGGCAATAACAAATGCTGGTGAGGATGTGGAGGGAAGGGAACACTCATATACCGCTGGTGAGAATGTAAATTTGTACAACCACTCTGGAGAAGAGTTTAGAGGTTCCTCAAAAAACTAAAAATAAAGCTACCATATGACCAAGCAATCCCACTGCTAGGTATACACCTAAAAGAAAAGAATCAGTATATCCAAGAGCTATCTC
Organism: Homo sapiens; assembly: GCF_000001405.40. NCBI lineage: Eukaryota > Metazoa > Chordata > Mammalia > Primates > Hominidae > Homo > Homo sapiens. The sequence continues at coordinate 160,345,135 of NC_000003.12, forward strand.
CATGTTTGTTGCAGCTCTGTTCACAACGGGCAAGATGTGGAAGCAACCTAAGTGTCCATCAACAGACGAATAGATAAAGAAAATGTGGTACATATACACAATGGAGTACTATTCAGCCATAAAAATTAATGAGATCCTGTTATTTGCAATAACATGTATGGACATAGAGATCACTATGTTAAGTGAAATAAGCCAGGTACAGAAAGACAAATATTGCATGTTCTCACTTATTTGTGGGATTTAAAAATCAAAACAATTGAACTCATGGAGATAGAGAGTAGAAGGATGATGCCTGTAATCCCAGCACTTTGGGAGGCCAAGGTGGGTGGATCGCTTAAGGTCAAGAGTTCGAGACCAGCCTGACCAACATGGGTGAAATCCAGTCTCTACTAAAAAAAACACAAAACTTAGTAGCCAGGTATGGTGGCAGGCAACTGTAATCTCAGCTACTCGGGAGGCTGAGGCAGAAGAATTGCTTGAACCCAGGAGGCAGAGGTTGCAGTGGGCTGAGATTGCTCCATTGCACTCCAGCCTTGGCGAGAGAGCAAGACTCTGTCTCAAAAAAAAAAAAAAAAAAAAAGAGAAGGATGGTTATCAGAGGCTGGGAAGGGTCATGGGTTGGGGGAGGAGAGGAGGTGGGAATAGTTAATAGGTATTTAAAAATCAGAAAGAATGACTAAGATCTACTATTATTTGATAGTACAACAGAGTGACTATAGTCAATAATTTAATTGCATATTTTAAAATCACTAAAGGAGTATAATTGGATGGTTTGTAACACAAAGGATAAATGCTTGAGGGAATGGATACCCCATTTTCTGTGATATGATTATTATACATTGCATGCCTGCATCAAAACATCTCATATACGCCATAAATATCTGCACCTACTGTGTATCTACAAAAATTAAAGTTAAATAAATAAAAAAATCAAATCTATAAAAGTAGAGAGTAGAACAGTGGTTACCAGGTGGTGCGTAGTGGGGAATGGGGAAATGCTGATCAAAGGGTATAAAGTTTCAGTTAGACAGGACAGAAAGTTTTCAAAATCTATTGCATAGCATGGTTAATAATAATAACAAAGTATTGTAAATTTCAAAATTGTTAAAATAGAAGATTTTCAACGTTATCACTACAAAAAATGTTATGTAAGGTGATAGATATGTTAGTTTGATATAATCCTTCCACGATGTATACATATATCAAAACATCACATTACCTGTACCTCATAAGTATATACAATTATTATTTGTCAATTAACAATAAAACTTTGAAAAAAATAAAGTCTTTGTGTAATAAGTCCAATGCTGGGCATTCTCAGGGATGGTTTCTATTAATTTCTTTCCCTGTGAATGGGCCGTAATTTCCTGTTTCTCATATGCCTTGTAATTTTTTGTTGAAAATTGGATGTTTTTAATATCATAATGTGGTAACTCTGGAAATCAGAATCTCTCTCCAACAAGGCTTGCATTGTTGCTTGTTGAGGGCTCAGTTAACTGTCTATTTACTGACTTTTCCAAACTATTTTTGCAGACTGCTTTTTGTGTGTGGTCACTGAAGTCTCCATTCCGTTATCTCAGTGGTCAGCCAGACAGAGCCAAAAAGAAAGAAAAAAAATACTCTCCCACTCTTTGCCAATTGGCTCTGACCTAGGCACTCCTTTAATACACGGCCAGACCACCTACAACTCTACTTTAGCTTTCACTCCTTGTTTGTTCATAAATGAAAGATATTCCAGTGATACAAGCCTCACATCCTCTGGTCTTTTCTGAGTGTGTCTGGCCCTGGGCATGTATGTTACATTCCAGATCCCTCAGTATATGTGAGGACCCTCCAAAGCCCTTATTCGTTGATGCCACTCTGAGAGATTTCTAAGGCGTCAAAACAAAGACAAAACTTTATGCCAGTCATTCAGGGAACTATGAGAGGTCAAAAAGTGCAATTTGTGAGAACCACAACTTTTTGAGGACACTGTCCATATTGTGTACCCTGCCCCACCCCCACTGCACCACCCAATACACACACACCAGCAAGCCACACCAGAACCCAGGTTGCCATCATTTTAGCTACCGCCAGGCTGGGAGTGGGGGATAGTAGGCAGGTAAGCAAAAATGCCACAATGCTTTCTTACCAAAATTTAGCAGTATTTTTTTTTAATTAAGCACTCCTCTGGTTGCTAGTGGTTTTTTTCATTAGATCTCAAAGCTCAGAAAAAATTGATTCTGACATTTTTTGCCAGCTTAACGGCTGCTTCAGTGGAGGAACCAATTTCTAGGGCTGCCTATTCCACCATTTTCTGTGACACCATACCTCTTCTGCTCATTTTTACTGAAGAAAGTTTTAAAAGCTTTATTGCATCTGTATAACTGATACAGAGTCAGAGAGAAAGGCTCACACTACACAAAATCATCTAAAGAGGAAGGAAAAGATGACCCAAATATACTATCCAACAACAATGGGTATACCTTTAGCCATACATTCAAAGACATGGGTACACAATTTTACTTACGTGAGATCATAGAGTAACATGCTGTCCTATAACCCAGTCTTTTTACTAAATAACATCATAAGTATCTTTCCAGGTGATTAAACATGATCCTTCTTCTCCATTTTTAAAGAGTTGAGGGTATTGCACTTTAGGTATACAGAATAATAACCAATCAGTCTCCTGCTCATGGACATTTATTTTTACTTTTCACTATTAATACTGTGATGAAAACTGATATGCATATATCTTTGTGTACTTACACAATGATCTCTTTAAAGAAAATTCCTAGAAGAGAGATTCCTGAGTCAAGGGATATGTGCATCTGACATTTGGATATGTATTATCAAAATACCCTTCAAAAAGTCAAATCACTCTATATTTCCACTAATACCATATAAACAAAGCAGCTCATTTCCTCCTGCTCAAGTGAAACTGAGGGTTTTAGGTCATTATTAATCTTTTCAACTTATTGGGTAAAATATATCATTTTATTTATTTACTTCTTTATTTTATATTTATTTATTAGTTAAATTGAACATCCTTTCATGTTTTTATTGGCCATTTACATTTGTCTATGAACTATTCATGCTTTTTGGCTATTTTTCTAGATAATTTCTTGAACAATGAAATTCAAACGGTAGCTTTCCCACTCTACTCTGCCTTGAGAACCACTGCAGTAGTTTAGCATAGCTCTGAAATGTGCAAAGCTGATTTTTACAAACTCATGTTCAATTATTTAAAATAAACTTTTGATATGTAAGGAATAACAATAGCAGAACAGCTGCTATTAGATCTGCCTTCTCACAGATAACACCTATGTACTCCAGACAAAATACAAAAACAAGTATTTGAACACTGGACAGCAATCAAAAGTAGGCAGACAGCCACTTTGGAAAACAATTTGGCAGGTCCTCAAAGAGTTAAACATAGGGTTACACTTGTCGTAGCAATTCTACTTCTAAGTATACACTCCAGAAAAATTAAAATATGTCCACACAAAAATAAAAACATGTGTTCACACATTCATAGCAGCATGATTTCTAATAACCAAATTTTGATACCACTAAGTGTCCATTAACTGATTAATAAACAAAATGTGTTATAAACATGTGATGAAATATTATTTGTCTATAAAAAAGAATAAAGTACTGGATACATGGATTAATCTTGAAAACATGCTAACTGAAAGAAGTCAGTCACAAAAGGCCACATAATGTGTTATTTCATTTATATGAAATGTCCAAACTTGACAAATCTATAGGAAAAAAAGTAGATTAGTGGTTGCCAGGGACTAGGAATAGAGTAGGGAAAAATAGGGATTGACAGTTAATGGGTACACAATTCCTTTTAGAGGAGAGGAAAATGTTCTAAAATTAGAGTTTTGTAACGGTTGCACAACCCTATGAATATAGTAAAAAACACTTTTTTTAATTGGGTACATTTTAAATGGGTAAAATGTGTCATATACAAATTGTATCCTGATAAATTTGTTTCTTTAAAAAAGCAGCCAGAAACTTGAGTCAATGGTTGAAAGAAGAGAACAGGGCTGGGCACCATGGCTCACCCTATAATCCCAGCACTTTGGGAGGCCGAAGCGAGTGGATCACCTGAGGTCAGGAGTTCGAGACCAGTCTGGCCAACATGGAAAAACCCCGTCTCTAATAAAAAATGCAAAAATTCGCTGGGTACTGTGGCAGGTGCCTGTAATCCCAGCTACTCGGGAGGCTGAGGCAGGAGAATCTCTTGAACCCAGGAGGCAGAGGTTGCAGTGAGCCGAGATCGCTCCACTGCACTCCAGCCTGGGTAACAGAGCTAGACTCCCTCTCAAAAAGAAAAAAAAAAAGGAACACTGCACCTCAACTAAAAATTTGTGAAGAGCTCTCAAACACTAAATAGAAATTTTATAAATTTGTGGAAAATGCTAGGGTATAGATCATTCCTGGAGATTAGATTCTTATATATCTGATATTGAAATTCTTTCACAAAATCTGGCCCTGGATAAATACCACTTTAAGTTACAGATTATGAGAGAAACAAAAAGAAACAAGGGGCTACATTTAAGGGTAACATTTCCAGATTCAAGAAAACATGTACTTTTTAAAAGAAGCCTTGGCAAGTTTTTTTTCGAAAGAGAAAACATTGTGTGAGAAAAGCAGCTGACATAAGCTGACTTAAATTTTCAGGTCTAAATTGACACCATTAAGAGTAAGTTGGGTCAACTTACTCTAAGCTGACACCAGCAGTTACCATATCTACTTACTTGGTAAGAAGAAAAGGTGAAGAGTCTCAATAAGCGATGCCCTTCTTATCTTTCATCACACTAACCTGCTTTGACCCTCCAGACATTAGTTCTCATTACTAACAGCAGCCTGTTCCTGTTTTTAAAATTTATTACAACTATAATTAAATAACTGAGTGTATAATTAATGTTTTAATATATGTCTTATCAACAAGAAAGTAAACTCTATAAAGGCAATTTCTGCTTGGGATTCTTAAAAAAGATATGCAGAGGCCGGGCATGGTGGCTCATGCCTGTAATCCTAGCACTTTGGGAGGCCAAGACGAACAGATCACTTGAGCTCAGGAGTTCAAGACCAGCCTGGGCAATATGGTGAAACCCCGTATCTACTAAAAATACAAAAAATTAGCTGGGAGTGGTGGTGGACGCCTGTAGTCTCAGCTACTTGGGAGGCTGAGGCACAAGAATCACTTGAACCCGGGAGGCAGAGATTGCAGTGAGCTGAGATATTGCCACTGCACTCCAGCCTGGGTGACAGAGCAAGACTCTGTCTCAAAAAAAAAAAAAAAAGGATATGCAGAAAGTATTTACATACTTTTTTTTAACTCAAAATGCTCATAGCATTTATATCTTAGTGAGTAGAATTATTCCCCAATAAAGATGTATGCCACCAGGCAGGACACGGTGGCTCATGCCTGTAATCTCAGCACTTCGGGAGGCCGAGGCAGGTGGATCACGAGGTCAAGAGATTGAGACCATCCTGGCCAACATGGGGAAGCCCCACCTCTACTAAAAATACAAAAATTAGCTGGGCGTGGTGATGTGCGCGTGTAGTCCCAGTTACTTGTGAGGCTGGAGCAGGAGAATCGCTTGAATCCAGGAGGTGGAAATTGCAGTGAGCCGAGATTGTGCCACTGCACTCCAGCCTGGCGACAGAGCGAGGCTCCGTTTCAAAAAAAAAAACGTATGTTACCTGAAAAATAGTTTCCCATATTTTAACTAATACATATTTCTAAAATAACTTGATAGCTTCAAAAGACAACATTTCTTAAAAAGAGAAAGAAGGCTGAATTACATGATTAGAGAATCTAGGGAAAGCTAAATAAAATAAAGGATAAAGCTATTTTTTCCCTTTTCAAAACCTGTACATTTTATTTGAAAATGTACATTTTTTAAATGTACATTTTGAAAATGTAGATATGCAAAAAAGAAGAAAAATCACCTATCACCACTTATGACTAAATCACCAAACTCCAGACATAACCATTGTTAAAATTTGTTATATCACGTCAGACTATTTTTCTGTTCATTTATACAGATATATACTAATAAGATCACCCTATGCATAAAGTTTGTAACTACTTTTTTCTTGTGGTCATATATTTTAAAACATTTTCATGGTATTATAAAAGTAATTATCATTTTTAATAACAATATAATAATTAATTATAAGAATTATATTCCATAATTAAGTTAAATAATATCTTACTGTTAGAGATTTAGATTGCTTTTCATTTGTTAAATTATAAAGAATGTTCCACTAAGCCTTCTTTATCTTATTATTACCTTAGGATAAATCCTAAAACTGGAATTGCTGGGTTAAAGTATATGTTTATTTCTTGGGCTTTTGATATATAGTATCAAAATATCCTCCAGAAAGATTTGAACAAATATATATATACACATATATTATATGTATATATATATACACACATATATTATATGTATATATAATATATATATTTGTATATATTATATATATAGTATATATAGACATACATGAATACATACATATGCATACATACACACATAAATAACACATTAAGTAACTCATAAAAATCTAAATATTAAGTAACATAAAAATCTAAATGATAACTGTATAAAAGGATATATTACAGGGTTAATACAAACCTTGCAAAAAGAAATGATTGCATAAATGAATTCCAAATCCTTTTGTGAAAATACACAAGGCAGAAAATGAGCAAAAAAACTATTGATAATTCAATGAATGAAAGTTAAGTGTTTGAATAGTATTTACAACTAGCTATTCTGAAAGAATCAGTCTAGAACATTAAGAGATAATACCATCACACATATGATTCATATACTATCAACATTTTTGCTGCAGCAAAGTGGCAGACATAACACAATAGTAATTTTTTTTTTTTTTTTGAGACAGAGTCTCTCTCTGTCACCCAGGCTGGAGTGCAGTGGTGCGATCTTGGCTCACTGCAAGCTCTGCCTCCCGGGTTCACGCCATTCTCCTGCCTCAGCACCCGCCACCACGCCCGGCTAATTTTGTTTTTGTATTTTTAGTAGAGACGGGGTTTCACCATGTTAGCCAGGATGGTATCGATCTCCTGACCTCGTGATCTGCCTGCCTCGGCCTCCCAAAGTGCTGGGATTACAGGCGTGAGCCACCACGCCCGGCCCCCAACAGTAATTTTAAATGAAGAAGATGCTTAGAACAAGTCAGAAGAATAAATTACCTGAGATTTTTAAGAAATGTAATTTTTTCTATTATACTATTCTTTTTTGGTATCACCTGCGTTATAGTTTGCTATTTCATCTCCAAATTCAAGGTATTTTTTCTACAGTAGACTAAGCATTGCCCATTTCAGGACTTAAAAGGAATATCAAGCATCTCACTAAGTCTTCCTTCAAGTGCCCTCTGAGGACAGCCTGCATAAAGACAACTAGGAAACTTCCTAAAAATACCACTTCACAGAGCCTCATTCTCTGAGATTTTGATTCTCCATATTGCAAATAGTGCCCAAGAATGTGTATTTTTGCAATACCCAGGTGATGCTTATGAATGCTGAAATTTAGGTAACTTGGTTTACTATCGTAATGATTGAACAGGGCATCACATCATGAAAGGGCATTATCCTCAGGCAAACACCCAGACAATAAGGAATGGAAACTCAGGTAATTATTCTTGTCTCTTTCTACTTATACAGCAAGGATTTATCTCCTGAACCTGTCTATTTCTTTCCATCTCCACTGCTACTTCCCTATTATTCAGGCCAACGTCATCATTTTCTTGTACTACAACAGCTCCTAATTAGCCATCCTGCCTCTAGTGTACCTCTACTCTAATCTGTCCTCTATGATGATCTTAGAGTATGCTTCCCCAAAAATGCCAAATCTAATAAGGTAACTATCTAAAATTGATCAGTGACTCACCATTGCCCATAAGATAAACTCCAAACTATTGTGGCCATACTAAATTCTTAATTTTTCTAATAAACTATGATACCTCACCTTTGTTTATTCTATTCCTTCTCTCGAATCACTGTTCCTTTCACCTCAAAGCAGTATTTCCAACATTTGAATACTACCATGTTACTACACACCATCCATGGCTCTCTACTGACTAATATACTCAATTGCCAACCTCACTGTTTTTCAGCTGTTCAAAGAAAATCTTATATTAGACGCTCAAACAGTATAACCGGAACTGCTCTGGTTGCAGGTAGTGAGAGAGATCAGGGGCTCAACTCCCTCACCTCTTTTCTACCCCACAGCAACCCCAAAGGAGGCTCCACAGAACAGAATTAGATTTTAAAAGACTGAAATCTGGATTCTGTTGCATGGCAAACACTTTAGTCCATCTATCTTTTCTGTATTATCTCCTGGTATTATGCCATGAAAATTTTACAGACATTGCACAAAAAGCACCATACTCTTTTGTACTTTGATTCACAAGAGGTTTCTTTTGCCTGTAACTCTCTTCCCCAACTTTGTCTCCTTGGAGAACTACTAATTCTTCAAGGCTCTGCTCTCTAGTCAATGTCCCACAGGCTGAGTTAGGCTCTTCCACACCCTTGCAGTGCTTGTATAAAAAACTTCCTGTATAGCACTTGTCATAATGTACTGTAAGTCTTATAGTCTAATTCTCCACTAGACTGTCAACAACTTGAGTAAAAGTCTTTATATCTTTTTCTTATTTATACCCCCAGTTTCTAGAACACTGTCTGATGAGTAGTATATATTTAATGTCTATTAAATAAAAGATAGAGGTTAACATTCTAAATAAAACGACTAGATGCCTAACGAGGTAAACCTTTAATATGTTTTTAAAATTTTAAAATATTTTAATCAAAATGACAAAATAAAATTATGTTTAAATTGGCTTATTAATAAATTGTTGAGTATCTACTGTGTTGTACAGATAATACAGAATTATTGAACTATTGGATTTTATAAACTAGGGAGTCAAAAATAATATACATGAAACTAAAATTGACAATGTAAGAATGTAATACATTGTGAAAATGAGACTACACATTCTATAGATTTAGAATCATTGATAGGGAAAATCAGAGGTAAAAGCTCCTTAAGTGATTAGATGGGATGATCTAACATCCTGATGTTGTAATTGAGAAAGGAGGGACCTAGCAGAAAAGAAATTAGAAAAATATACAAACAAACTTTAGAGTCAATGGAAGGCATGATCAAAGGAAGTCAAACTTGAGACAGGCCTTTAAGAATGAGTGGAACTTGGGCCGGGCTGGGTGGCTCACAGCTGTAATCCCAGCACTTTGGGAGGCTGAGGTGGGTGGATCACTAGGTCAGGAGATCGAGACCATCCTGGCTAACACAGTGAAACCCCGTCTCCGCTAAAAACACACCAAAAAAACTAGCCGGGCGTGGTGACGAGTGCCTGTAGTCCCAGCTGCTAGGGAGGCTAAGGTAGGAGAATGGCGTGAACCTGGTAGGCGGAGCCTGCAGTGAGCTGAGACCGCACCACTGCACTCCAGCCTGGGCGACAGAGCAAGGCTCCGTCTCAAAAATAAATAAATAAATAAAATAAAATAAAAAGAATGAATGGGACTCACTATGGTCTAAGACAGAAATCAAAGTATTCCATGAAATGAGAAAATGAGTAGGGATGTTAGTAAGAGGTAGGAAAGGTTCAAAAGCCAGTGTTCAATGTGAGTTGAACACACTTAGAGAGTTGTGGGGGAAAAGACTCAATGGATTTTATGGCACCAGGTTTCAAACAGCTTTTAAAGCTAGGCAGAGGACTTCATATTTTATGTGATAGAAAACAAGTAACCAGAAATCTTAATAGATTAAAAGCTCTAAAAATTCTGTCTTATTCTGCATTAGAGGCAAATAAGCCACAGAACAATTTTATGATTTCCCCAGTTAGGAATAGTATAAAACAGCCACACTCAAACTCTTTTTACCACATAATGCTGCTGCTTTTGGGGTACTTCAACGAACAATTCATTCAAGTACAATGGGTAAATGCTGCTGAGCTTGGCTATTTCCCCAGGTTCTAAACAGAATTTGTATGAAGGAGGGCATATTCTCTTGTGAGGAAAAATTCTTGCATGTATTCAAATATGAATTCTTGATAAAGAAAAATATGCCCTTTGGTTATTTATTTATTTATTTAGAGACAGGGTCTAATTCTCATCCAGGCTGGAGTACAGTGGCATGATTATAGCTTGCTACAGCCTCCACCTCCTGGGCTCCAGTGAGCCTCCCACCTCAGTCTTCCCAGTAGCTGGGACCACAGGTATGCACCATCATGCCTGGCAAATTTTTCAATTTTTTTTATACAGACAGAGTTTCACTCTGTTACCCGGGCTGGTCTCAAACTCCTGGGCTCAAGCAATCCTCCCTCCTTGGACTCCGGAAGTGCTGGGATTACAGGCATGAAACACCACATCCAGCCATGTCCTCTGGTCTTAAAATGACTATTTTTCCAATGCACTATTAATTTCTTACGCAAAATATGCAATCGAGATTTCGTATGAAACATATTGACAGCAAAAAAAAAATAAAAGTTTATAAGCTTCAAGTCAGTGAAAGGTTAGAAAAAAAAAGTTTAAAACTGAATTTTCCATATTGAATGGGCATAAATTTTAATACTTTAACTACTTCATCCTTCACAATCATGCTCAAAATAATATTTCCAGAAAGACAAATAGTAGAGATCGTGCCCATGCTTCAAACTTAAACAGATTTTGGTCCCATATATCTGGAATTGATTGAACCAGCATATTAAGAAGACAAATCAGAAAGATTCAACCAGATGCATCCATTGAAAATGTTTTTTAAAGACTGAGAACCATGTGTGTTGTGCATTACCACATTTATGACAGCACATCTGTGATTGCTCACCACTATAACTTACCCCAGTTTTATCACACAAGCGTAAAGTATGAAACGATCCAACAGCAAATAATTCTCCATCTGGAGCCCAGGCAACTGAAGTAATGGGATGCTCATGAGGTTGTGAATTGTACAGTGGGCGGCCGTAACTATCCCATACCTACAAAAGCAATTTTTAAAAATCTTTTATAATATCAGGGAGAAGTTTGCAAAAACTAAAAGAAAAATAAATAAATAAAATAAAAATGTTTTATAACAGACACCACATAAAAACAAGTTTGTCTTCCAGTAAGGTAGTAAATAAAAATTTAGAAATCAGCACCTTATATATTAGCAATTAAACGTCTTTACTATCACACAAGGGGAAAACAAAGCTGTATTCCTTTAAGCCTAAATGTCTCAAAAAGAAACTATTTTATAACACTGTCATAATTTTCAGATTTTACTAAATCTCTGAACATAAAATCTACCCATTTTAAGTCCTTTTAAATATAATAGTACATTTTGAAATGTTTAGTTCTTAGCTTTGTTTTGTTTTTTGAATTTTAGAGACAGGGTCTCACTCTGTGGCCCAGGCTGGAGTACAGTAGCATGATCATAGCTCACTGCAGTCTTGATCTCCTGGGCTCAAGAGATCTTCCTGCTTTAGCCTTCCAAATAAGCAAGGACTACAGGTACATGCTGCCATACTTGGCTAATTTTTAAATTTTTGTAGAGATGGGGTCTTGTTATATTGCCTAGGCTATTCTCCAACTCCTGGTCTCAAGTAACCCTACTGCCTTGGCCTCTCAAAGCACTGGGGTTATAGGTATGAGCTACCATACCTAGCTTGCTTACCATTTTGCTTAAATTTTTTCTCCCTGTAAGGGCTCTACCTACTTTCTCTAAAAGTATTTATTTCAATTTAATTGCCTCTAACTCTAGTTATTAATACATTAAACCTTATTCCTCTCTACAAATTATTTTGACCTGAAATTGATCAATATTTAGTAAACCAGCAGGGTTAATTTTTAAAAACATACTGAACTGAACTCAAATTGAGTCACGGTAAAATTAGGGGCTATACTGATATTGTTACTTATTAAATATCAAACTCTATAGATCAATGAGATAGTCTTTCTTTTTCTGAGAGAGGGTCTCACTTTGTTGCTCAGGCTGGAATGCAGTGGCACAATTATGGCTCACTGCAGCCTCAACCACCTGTGCTCAAGTGATCCACTCACCTCAGCCTCCCAAGTAGCTGGGACCACAGATGTGCTCCATCACAACTGGCTAATTTTTTTTTGTAGAGGTAGGGCCTCACTGTGTTGTCCAGGCTAATGAGATAGTTTTTATGAAGTCCATGCTTTAAAATACCACTTAACATTATAAAATAATTTGCTAAATTACTGGAGTAAAAAGACATGGCTAAAGTAAAAAACTAAAAGAATATTCTTATATGCTAAGTACTTATAAATTTGATTATTTCAGCCAAGTGATAAATCTAAACATTATATACCTTATATTTACAGTCTTCACCAGCAGATAAAATAAGATCATTGACCGAGTTCCAATCTACTTTTAAAATAATGCCATCATGAGCTTTCCACTGTGAGAAAAAAGAATAAGATATTAATTATAAGTTTAAAAGCACTTAAGTTTTTTTCTGTAAGAAATATATTTTGCCTCTTTCTAATGACTCCTTTGTCATCTTCTCAGGGATTCCTATCTTCCTTTTATAGCCAATGTACAATACCTCATTTGCTTGTTTCATTTGTAATTTATACTAATGTAAGCACCTAGCACCTAAGACATCCACTATATAGCCTCAAACCTTATGAATTTCCTCAGTTGCCTGGACTCCAGATGGAAAATGACTTGCTGCTGAACTATTTCAAGCCGGACATTTGTACAATAACACTGAATGAATATGTTATGTATTCCAAAAATGTCAACTGAATCCAAATCTTGCTTTCTCCTTCATATAGCAGATTCCATTACTGATACTGCCTTCATGCTTGTTTACTTATTTATTTTATTTATTTATTTATTTATTTTTGAGACAGGGTCTCACTGTCACGCAGGTTGGAGTTCAATGATGTGATCAGGGCAACTGCAGTCTCGACCTCCCACATTCAAGCAATCCTCCTGCCTCAGCCTCCCAAGTAGCTGGGACTACAGGGACATGCCACCACACCCAGCTACTTTTTTTTTTTTTTCATTTTTGGTAGATAACTCTTGCTATATTGCCTAGGCTAGTCTCAAGCTCCTGGGCTCAAGTAATCCTCCTGCCTTGGCCTCCCAATGTGCGGGGATTACAGGCGTGAGCCACCATGTTCAGCCCCCCTCAACCATTTTTTTTTTAAACTTCTGCACAAACATCTTTACTACCCTCTTCATTTCATTCTGTTCGTCATATTCTTCTAAGTTTCATTCACTTTATCTTCATGTGTCTGGTTTACAACTGGACTACTCTGAGAAACTTCTGCTGTATTTACCATGTAACAAAAAGATGTTTTCCATAGATAAGTATATATTCTATACATTCATTCTTTGGTATACAGTCATTCTTTGGTATCTGTGGGGGATTGGTTCCAGTACCTCCCATTGATATGAAAATCGTTAAGTTCTGCCTTGGCCTCCCAAAGTGCTGGGATTACAGGCATGAGCCACCGTGCCCAGCCATGGATTCTTAAGAGTTTCATTTTAAAGGAACAAAATAAATATTGCGTATTCAAGATTTATGAATAAAATATGATTTAAATTTTCCTTACACTGTAATTTAGGGTATCAACATATATTACAAATATTTGCATATTGTTAAACATATAATAATTTTTATTTATTTATTAATGTATTAGGCATTTTGTAAAATTCCTTTGAACAAGAAGCTCCTTGAAGGCAGAAACTATGTTCTGTTTCATTTTGACTATCTCATACCTACCACAGTGCCTGGTATATAACAGGTATGCATTACATTTTTATTCAACGAATAAATAAAAATTTCCTCACTATAAGACCAAGTTCGAAGTGTTGAGAAGGCCTTAAAAGACATGAGGTATATACTTCTGAACTGCATTCCACAAGCAAGAATTAATTAAGCACACTTTTTTGTGGACAATCCTAATTTGAATATGTTTTTATGCTCAAGAAGAATTGCAGCTGCTTTAGTCTCCCAAAAGGAATAGATAATTTGCATGAAGTTACTAATTATACTTTAAGTCCTGTTTCTCTCTAGCTAATTTTGGCAATGGATACTTTGATTCACTCTACTACCTCCTGGCCCAGAGGTTCTACTGAACCACTAAGCCATATTTAACTTGACCAATTGTGATATAACCAGCTTCCTGAGTTTCATTTCTATAAGCCTAATTACAGGTATCTAAACAAATTTACAGGGACACCATTCCAAGATGGCTGAATAGGAATAGCTCTGGTCTGCAGCTCCCAGTGTGATCGACACAGAAGACGGGTGATTTCTGCATTTTCAACTGAGCTCTGAAGAGAGCAGTGGTTCTCCCAGCACGGCGTTTGAGCTCTGAGAATGGACAGACTGCCTCCTCAAGTGGGTCCTTGACCCCCGTGTAGCCTAACTGGGAGACAGTTAGGGGCCGATTGACACCTCATACAGGCAGATTGACACCTCTGGGACTAAGCTTCCAGAGGAAGGATCAGGCAGCAATATTTGCTGTTCTGCAATATTTGCTATTCTGCAGCCTCTGCTGGTGATACCCAGGCAAACGGCCTGAAGTGGACCTCCAGCAAACTCCAACAGACCTGCAGTTGAGGGTCCTGACTGTTAGAAGGAAAACTAACAAACAGAAAGGAATAGCATCAACATCAACAAAAAGGACATCCACACCAAAACACCATCTGTAGGTCACCAACATCAAAGACCAAAGGTAGATAAAACCACAAAGATGGGGAGAAACCAGAGTAGAAAAGCTGAAAATTCTAAAAACCAGAACACCCCTTCTCCTCCAAAGGATCGCAGCTCCTCGCCAGCAATGGAACAAAGCTGGACAGAGAATGACTTTGATGAGTTGACATAACTAGGCTTCAGAAGGTCAGTAATAACAAACTTCCCCAAGCTAAAGGAGCATGTCCTAAGCCATCACAAGGAAGCTAAAAACCTTGAAAAAAGATTAGATGAATGGCTAACTAGAATAAACAGCGTAGAGAAGACCTTAAATGACCTGATGGAACTGAAAACCATGGGATGAGAACTACTTGACACATGCACAAGCTTCAGTAGCTGATTCGATCAAGTGGAAGAAAGGGTATCAGTGATTGAAGATCAAATTAATGAAATAAAGTGAGAAGAGAAGTTTAGACAAAAAAGAGTAAAAAGAGACGAACAAAGCCTCCAAGAAATATGGGACTATGTGAAAAGACCAAATCTACATTTGATTGGTGTACCTGAAAGTGATAGGGAGAATGGAACGAAGTTGGAAAACACTCTTCAGGATATTATCCAAGAGAACTTCCCCAACCTAGCAAGGCAGGCCAACATTAAAATTCAGGAAATACAGAGAACACAACAAAGATACTCCTCAAGAAGAGCAACCCCAAGACACATAATTGTCAGATTCACCAAGGTAGAAATGAAGGAAAAAATGTTAACGGCAGCCAGAAAGAAAGATCGGGTTACCCACAAAGGGAATCCCATCAGACTAACAGCAGATCTCTCAGCAGAAACTCTACAAGCCAGAAGGGAGATTGGGGGCCAATATTCAACATTCTTAAAGGAAAGAATTTTCAACCCTGAATTTCATATCTGACCAAACTAAGCTTCATAAGTGAAGGAGAAATAAAATCCTTTACAGACAAGCAAATGCTGAGAGATTTTGTCACCACCAGGCCTGCCTTACAAGAGCTCCTGAAGGAAGCACTAAACATGGAAAGGAACAACCAGTACCAGCCACTGCAAAAACATGCCGAATTGTAAAGACCATTGATGCTAGGAAGCATCTATGGGCAACTAATGGGCAAAATAACCCAACTAATGGGCAAAATAACCAGCTAACATCACGTCAGGATCAAATTCACACATAACAATATTAACCTTAAATGTAAATGGGCTAAATGCCCCAATTAAAAGACACAGACTGGCAAATTGGATGAAGAATCAAGATCCATCAGTGTGCTGTATTCAGGAGAACCATCTCACATGCAGAGACACACATAGGCTCAAAATAAAGGGATGGAGGAAGATCTACCAGGCAAATGGAAAGCAAAAAAAGCAGGGGTTGCAATCCTAGTCTCTGTTAAACAGACTTTAAACCAACAAAGATCAAAAGGGACAAAGAAGGCCATTACCTAATGGTAAAGGGATCAATTCAACAAGAAGAGCTAACTATCCTAAATACATATGCACCCAATACAGGAGCACCCAGATTCATAAAGCAAGTCCTTAGAGACCTAAAAAGAAACTTGGACTCCCACACAATAATAATGGGAGACTTTAACACCCTACTGTCAATATTAGACAGATCAACAAGACAGAAGGTTAACAAGGATATCCAGGACTTGAACTCAGCTCTGCACCAAGCAGACCCAATAGACATCTACAGAACTCTCCACCCCAAATCAACAGAATACACATTATTCTCAGCACCACACCACACTTATTCCAAAATTGACCGCATAGCAGGAAGTAAAGCACTCCTCAGCAAATGTAAAAGAACAGAAATCACAACAAACTGTCTCTCAGACCACAGTGCAATCAAATTAGAACTCAGGATTAAGAAACTCACTCAAAACCACTCAACTACATGGAAACTGAACAACCTGCTCCTGAATGACTACTGGGTACATAACGAAATGAAGGCAGAAATAAAGATGTTCTTTGAAACCAATGAGAACAAAGACACAATGTACCAGAATCTTTGGGACACATTTAAAGCAGTGTGTAGAGGGAAATTTATAGCACTAAATGCCCACAAGAGAAAGCAGGAAAGATCTAAAATTGACACCCTAACATCACAATTAAAAGAACTAGAGAAACAAGAGAAAACACATTCAAAAGCTAACAGAAGGCAAGAAATAACTAAGATCAGAGCAGAACTGAAGGAGATAGAGACACAAAAAACTCTTCAAAAAAATCAATGAATCCAGGAGCTGGTTTTTTGAAAAGATCCACAAAATTGATAGACCACTAGCAAGACTAATAAAAGGAGAAGAGAGAAGAATCAAATAGATACAATAAAAAATGATAAAGGGGATATCGCCACTGATTTCACAGAAATACAAACTACCATCAGAGAATACAATCAACACCTCTACGCAAATAAAATAGAAAATCTAGAAGAAATCGATTAACTCCTGGACACATATGCCCTCCCAAGACTAAACCAGGAAGAAGTTGAATAGACTGATAACAGGCTCTGAAATTGAGGCAATAATTAATAACCTACCAACCAAAAAAAGTCCAGGACCAGACAGATTCACAGCCGAATTCTACCAGAGGTACAAAGAGGAGCTGGAACCATTCCTTCTGAAATTATTCCAATCAATAGAAAACGAGGGAATCCTTCCTAACTCATTTTATGAGGCCAGCATCATGCTGATACGAAAGCCTGGCAGAGACACAACCAAAGAAGAGAATTTTAGACCAATATCCCTGATGAACACCGATGCAAAAATCCTCAAAAAAAGTACTGGCAAACTGAATCCAGCAGCACATCAAAAAGCTTATCCACCATGATCAAGTTGGCTTCATCCCTGGGATGCAAGGGATTCAACATACGCAAATAAAGAAACGTAATCCATCACATAAACAGAACCAACGACAAAACCACATGATTATCTCAATAGATGCAGAAAAGGCCTTCGACAAAATTCAACAGCCCTTCATGCTAAAAACTCTCCATAAACTAGGTATTGATGGAACATATCTCAAAATAATAAGAGCTACTTATGACAAACCCACAGCCAATATCATACTGAATGGGCAAAAACTGGAAGCATTCCCTTTGAAAACTGGCACAAGACAGGGATGCCCTCTCTCACCATTCCTATTCAACATAGTGTTGGAAGTTCTGGCCCGGGCAATCAGGCAAGAGAAGGAAATAAAGGGTATTCAATTAGGAAAAGAGGAAGTCAAATTGTCCCTGTTTGCAGATGACACAATCGTATATTTAGAAAACCCCATTATCTCAGCCCAAAATCTCCTTAAGCTGATAACCAACTTCAGCAAAGTCTCAGGATACAAAATCAGTATGCAAAAATCACAACCATTTCTATACACCAATGACAAACAGAGAGCCAAATAATGAGTGAACTCCCATTCACAATTGCTACACAGATACTAAAATACCTAGGAATCCAACTTACAACGGATGTGAGGGACCTCTTAAAGGAGAACTACAAACCACTGCTCGACAAAATAAAGGAGGACACAAACAAATGGAAGAACATTCCATGCTTATAGATACGAGGAATCAGTATCGTGAAAATGGCCATACTGCCCAAAGTAATTTATAGATTCAATGCCATCCCCATCAAACTACCAATCACTTTCTTCACAGAACTGGAAAAAACTACTTTAAAGTTCATACGGAACCAAAAAGAGCCTGCATTGCCAAGACAATCCTAAGCAAAAAGAACAAAGCTGGAGGCATCACGCTACCTGACTTCAAACTATACTACAAGGCTACCACAACAGCATGGTACTGGTACCAAAACAGAGATACACAGCAATGGAACAGAACAGAGCCCTCAGAAATAACACCATACATTTACAACCATCTGATCTTTGACAAACCTGACAAAAACAAGAAATGGGGAAAGGATTCCCTATTTAATAAATGGTACTGGGAAAACTGGTTAGCCATATATAGAAAGCTGAAACTGGTTCCCTTCCTTACACCTTATACAAAAATTAATTCAAGATGGGTTAAAGTCTTAAATGTTAGACCTAAAACCATAAAAATCCTAGAAGAAAATCTAGGCAATACCATTCAGGACATTGGCATTGGCAAGGACTTCATGACTAATACACCAAAAGCAATGGCAACAAAAGCCAAAATAGACAAATGGGATCTAATTAAACTAGAGCTTCTGCACAACAAAAGAAACTACCATCAGAGTGAACAGGCAACCTACAGAATGGGAGAAAATTTTTGCAATCTACCCATCTGACAAAGGGCTAATATCCAGAATCTACAAAGAACTTAAACAAATTTATAAGAAAAAAACAACCCCATCAAAAAGTGGGCAAAGGATATGAACAGACGCTTCTCAAAAGAAGACATTTATGCAGCCAACAGATACATGAAAAAATGCTCATCAACACTGGTCATCAGAGAAATGTAAATCAAAACCACAATGAGATACCATCTCACACCAGTTAGAATGGTGATCATTAAAAAATCAGGAAACAACAGTGCTGGAGAAGATATGGAGAAACAGGAATCCTTTTACACTGTTGGTGGGAGTGTAAACTAGTTCAACCACTGTGGAAGACAGGGTGGCAATTCCTCAAGGATGTAGAACTAGAAATACCATTTGACCCAGCCATCCCATTACTGGGTATATACCCAAAGGATTATAAACCATGCTACTATAAAGACACATGCATACATATATTTATGGTGGCACTATTCACAATAGCAAAGACTTGGAACCAATACAAATGTCCATCAGTGATGGACTGGATTAAGAAAATGTGGCACATATACACCATGGAATACTATGCAGCCATAATACAGGATGAGTTCATGTCCTTTGCAGGGACATGGATGAAGCTGGAAATCATTATTCTCAGCAAACTATCACAAGGACAGAAAACCAAACACCGCATGTTCTCACTCATAGGTGGGAACTGAACAATAAGAACACTTGTACACAGGACAGGGAACATCACACACCAGGGCCTGTCGTAAGGTGGGGGGCTGGGGGAGGGATAGCATTAGGAGAAATACCTAATATAAATGATGAGTTAATGGGTGCAGCAAACCTACATGGCACATGTATACCTATGTAACAAACCTGCACATTGTGCACATGTACCCTAGAACTTAAAGTATAATTAAAAAAAAAAGAAAAAAAAACAAATTCACATAACTATAAACTAAAGGTATAAACTAAAAGATTCAACTTGTCTGTTTTTGCTGTATAAATTTCATAGCAGATTTTCAGCGTAGGTAATTGGCATGGAAGGACTTTGACTAAGAGCCATCAAAACTAGTCCTCTTTCCCAGCTTCTTCCCTTTGCCCAAATTCTTTACCTTAGGTGCCTAAGGACAGGGGCTTGTATGTTCTATTCTTGCATGTCCCTATAGTTCCTAGCAGAGTGTTCTGCACACCATAAAAATGTAAATGCATTTTGGCTGTGTAAAATACATATAGCATAATCTGTACAGATGTTATAATATGGAACCTCAAAGTCATCTCTATGTCCTTATTCCCTAAAATCTACATCTACTCAACTGTGAAAACACTTCTATGCCTGCTGTAGCCTGTCAATGTCTACCAACAAATCTCTTACTCAAGACCTAGTCATTTTACAATGTTTTCCTGGTCTCCTTGGTTGACTAAAAGGTAGAGATGGCACAGCAACTTATAATAGCATAATAATACAGATAATAACAGGTACTGTATATTGAGTGCTTACTGTATGCCCGGAATTGTCCTTTGCACTTTGCAATTTTAACTCATTTAATCCTTACAGCAATCCTGTTAAGCTGATATTAGTGTCACTAACTAAGAGATGTTCTCATCTCTTAGTTGAGATATTGAAGGCTGACATTCAACAATATTTTATAACTTGCCTAAGGTCATGTATAGGTAAGTGAGTGAAGATTTGAACCCAAGTAGCTAACTCCAAAGCCTGTGTTCTTATTAGCAAAACTATGCTGTATCATTATCAAAATGAGTTGGAATAAGGGGAAAACAAACCTTGTTGGAAATATAAAGATATTCCTTGTTCTGTAATAAAGGCTGATTAAACCATGTACTTAAAGACCAGACTGTAAAAAGACCACCCAGAAGAAAGAGACTCCTAAGCAAGTGCCCTCTAGTTTAGCAGTCAGGCAGACCCTGATAACAATTTACAAATGACTGAGAAGTACCTGCAAAACTTTAGCATTTGGTTGAAGAGGTTTAATGATTAGCTGCTTGCCTGCTGTATAAAGAACCTTTTCTGAATCAGGGCCCCACGCTACTGAATACACTGGTGTTCCTGTAAGATGAAAAAAGAAAAAAAAAAGGCTGATAAACTTTAATTATTATGCCTTATAAAAAGAGAGATTGTTAAGAGGATCAAAAAAGCCATATGAGGTGTCATTTCATTTCTTCTCTTTTCAATGGACCTTTCAAATTAGAGTATATAGTCTGATGTTGAAATGCTGACTGGGTTAATATTGACCTTTGAAAATCTACTGTGAGCAACTGACATACTATATTTTTAACTAATTAGGATCTTGCTGAGAAAATATGGAGTTTTTAGAAATTCCATATAGGTGCTATTGAAATACATAAGATAAAATAAATATACTTCATTTTTAATATATAAAGAAATAGCAGAAAAGTCATGATTTATCATTTCCCATCATTGACAGCCATCAGTATGTATTTATTTATTGGCAGCAAATGTTTTTACATTTATTTGCAACTAGTTCAACAAATGATGTTGGTTTAAAGCAGCAGTCTTGGGGCTTGGCTGCACATTGTAATCACCTAGCAAGCTTTTTAAAAATTTTTATTTTTAATTTTTGTGGGTACACAGTAGATATATATATTTATGGGGCACATGAGATCTTTTGATACAGGCATACAATACATAACAATTACATCATGGAAAATGGGGTATCCATCCTCTCAAGCATTTTTCCTTTGTGTTATGAACAATCCAATTGTACTCTCAACCTGTTGTGTTATCAAATACTAGGCCTTATTCATTCATTCATTCTATTTTTGGTACCCATTAACCACCCCACCTCCCTCACAACCCCCTCACTACCTTTCCCAGCATCTTGTTACCATCCTTCTCTCCATCTCCATGGGTTCCATTGTTTTGATTTTTACATCCCACAAATAAGTGAGAACATGCAATGTTTGTCTTTCTGTGCCTGGCTCATTTCACTCAACATAATGAATGAACTACAGTTCCATCCATGTTGTAGCAAATTATTGAATCTCATTTTTTTTATGGCTGAATAGTACTCCACTGTATATAAGTACCACATTTTCTTTATCTAGTCATCTGTTGATGGAAACTTAGGTTGCCTCCAAATCTTGGTATTGTGAACAGAGTTGCAACAAACACAAAAGTGTAGCTATCTCTTTAATATACTGATTTTCTTTCTTTTGGGTATATACCCAGCAATGGAGTTATAGCCATCAGTATTAAACTGACTCAATGCATAAAGTAACTTAAATTTTACATATTAAAATACAAATGGTATACTCACCTTATAAATTAATTATCATACCTGATGCTACAACAGGCAATAGAACTTCCCCTCACATGCTGCTTAAGCAGCAGACTAATGGACAGAAATAACTTCATCCAAAAACAATCTAATAACCTCCCACTCATGAATTCACAAATGGCAAATTTTTTTATATCAGATTAGGGAAAATTTTGTTATCTATTAGGTTTGGCTTTAGCCCAAAAGCTTGGCTAAAAAAAGCTCCAATATCTTATAACTAGCATAAAGTTTACTTCCAGAGGAAAAGTACAAGTTTGATTTACCTACCACTCTATAAACTACATTACACTTGATAGTGTTTTCAATTGCCAATAGGAATTTAGAGACGGTATTTTTAAAATCAATTACATTTAAGTATAGTATTTCTTACCTTAATTACTTTCTAGATTACCTAATGTCTTCTGGAAGACTATACTTTATGTAAGCCTAGTTTTAAAAAATGACTATCATATTTATTGAAAGCATTGGTTATACGGCAGTAAATAATCTGTTTTCCACTTGCCCGGCCCAGCTGCCTAGTCATTAGGCAGGTGAATCAAGGTTATGTAGTTAATCTATGAAATAGTAACCCAACTATATTTACAAAACCATCTTTTAAAAATTGTCTAGGACTCCTAAATCAGACTATTGTAGTAATTGACTTTCTGTGAATCAACGAATCAATGAATAAATGAATGAATCATTAAGGAATTTACATTCTTAGTAGAATGAAATCTGAATTTCAGGGTTTGTGGGCAATCAATAAAATTTAATTGTTTATTCAAATGAAAAGCCCAACTGATGATATAATCAATAAATCAATGTCTTACTGAATAAATTTCAGTAAGACAAATGCTTTTGTTTAAGAGGTACCCTACTTTTTGTGTGCTATTTTCTCCCTAATAAAAACACAATTCAATTGTGAGCAAGTCCCAATGGTTTATACAGGTTAGAAAGTCTAATCTAGACCCAGTCCAAAAAAAAAAAAAAAAAAAACCCTGAAACATGTCTTCCACAGTTCAGGTGTTATAAAATGTCTAAATATCCTGTTTAGTCAATGACATCAAGGATTGTTCTGTATCAAAGGAACCCACAGAAATTCTTCCTGATGAGATGGCCAACCTCAGAAGGTACTCCTCCTTTTTCTGTACTTGATGAGTATATTTTCTGGGAATATTCTCTGGGAGTAGCCAGGAGTTGACCTGTACTTCAAAAATAAATCTCCAAATGAACGAAGTTTAACCTTAATAAACTCCCCAAAAATAGAAGTCAAAATTTCAGATATTTCAAATGTAGTTCTTGGTGAGGACTGGAAAGGAGTGACAGGGACTTACTAGCTAAGGTTGTAGAATTATATAAGCCATCTTTATTTCCATTATTATAGTTATAATTTTTGTACAAAAAAGTAAATTAATGTTTTAATTTATAGCCTATCAAATCTTCATAAATACACTCAGTAAAATTATACTTTCCTGGCGTGTATACCAAACTGTGACAAACATCTACCCTCAAGGAAATAATTCAGTAAATACAACTCCCATTGAGTTATACAGGATGTGACTTTAAGGCTTTAGTTGTGGTAAAAGGCACGGTTGGGGTACAGAATGAGGAACTAAGGACTCTTTAGTCCTCTTAACTTTAACATTTAATTTGTGGTCCCATTAAGTCAGCTATGACACCATTTCCTTGTTTATGAACCTTTCTTCATAGTATTTATCTTCCCTTTTGGGACAAAGAGATAATTCATTTCCTGCTTATAAAACAAATTTGTAAACAATAATGTTAAAGAAACAGGTATAACTTATATAATAAAAGAAAATAAGCTTATAAAGAAAAAGTTAAGTAATTCCTTTGTTATAACATGTGGTTTTTAACCACATTCCTTCAATCAAAATACAAGCAATGGAAACAAATAAATTATTTATTTATGATAAATAAGCATGGTCAATAGACAGGACTCATAGTTACTCTCCTTAACCATTAAAAATTCAAAATGGATATCACATTAAAAACCTTGATCTTTATTATAATCATTCCTTACACTTAAAATATTAAGCATTAAACTACTGTACATATAAACATTTTCTTTTCTAAAAGGAAATAAACTACATAGCTATACAACTTTCAATTTGGGTGGTTCTAATAAAGATCATTATTAAAAGTGGAAGAATCAGCTTCATGAAATAATTTGTATTATTATGAAATCCATCCACTAGCATTTAAAAAATTTATATTTCAAATTTTTAAAATATATTTATTAAAGCATGAATTATTCCCAGTGCTATGTTTCGCTTTGCAAAGTCAGCATGGAAATAACAAACTTAGCCTTTGCATTGAATTACTTTAAAACAGAGTTTAGCAAATTATGTAACAAAATGTTATTTATTTCATCATTAACAAAAATGGGCAAAAAACAAAAAATAGCTTTATAATAAATAGTTTTTTACTTTTTATATTGGAAATTTTAATTTATGCTCCATTTCTGCTAAGACACTCAAAAAGATCTTGTTTTTCTAACTTTGTACACTAAAATCATGTGACCTTTTTGACATTTTTTAAGAAACCACATGCACCTGGGGTTGTGTTAAATGTCAGACCCTTATCTCTCCATAAAACAAATTATCTAAATTCTTTCAACCTGTTGAAGGCATTTTAAACCACAGAAGAGGAGACAAAAATGTATTTCAATTGTTTTAAGGAAGTACATGGTCAAATATACCATGTTTTTCACATTCATACTATAAAAGTATCCCCTAAAAACGCTGTTTTTGTATGTTTTTAAGAATGCCTTTGAAACAAACTGTTCACTACTCTAATAAATTACAGTAGCTATCTTTGCCTTGAATGCAGTATCGGTCTATATTGAGTGAATAGAAGTAAAGTACTTGGAATAGAGTCTGGCACTATATAGCACTATCTGTTAACTACTACAAATTATTTTGTAATAAGCAAGCATTTGCTTACTGTATTGTTCATAGTAGTAGCCATTTGATTTTTTTTTTTTTCTGTTTTGGCCAAATCATTGGCATTCAAACACGAAGAATGATTTCCTTTTCATTTTATTTGTAGGAGACATGAGCTAACAATAGTTAATCAAGTGGGATTTATTCAAAAAATTCCATGCTCCATGCTTACATATATCACTGGATCAATACAAGAAAAAGTTTAAATAAAGGCATTTTTTTTTAAGTTTCTATCTTCAACCACTTCTCCCTTGGGGGGTCTCAACTTCCCCATAGCTTCACCTTTCACTTAATGTAACTTACTCCCAAATTAATATTTTAGCCTTTACCTCTGAGCTCCAACACATTTCTACTTGATCCAAAGAGATCTCCATCACAGAGCTTCAAGTTCTACATATCCAAAACCATCATCCCTCCACATATATTTCCTAATTTATCCCTCTTTGAAGTCTTTACTCTTACAGGGTACATCCCTCTCAGTCTCTGAGAACTATCCACTTTTCCAACTACTGTTGTCACTGCCTCTATTCAAGCCTTAATCGCTGCCTTACTAGCATAGACAATTTGAAATCTTACTGGCCACCTCTATTTAATCTCTACCTCCTCTAGTTTAACTTTATTATTACTGAAAAGGGAATCTGTCTAAAAGATTGGCATTATCTTTACTTTCCTGGTCAATTTTTTAAAGGTTTTGTATGCTTATAGAATAAATGCCAAACCCCTTCTTTTAACATCCAGGACTGTCAGTGTTTTGGTCCCCTTGGCAGTACTATCCTTCACACGGCCTACACTCTGGCCCAAGGAGTTAGCTCCCACTCACCTGACTTTTAGGTCTCACGGTCTTCTGTCTCTAAGCCTCTTATGATGCTAAGCTTCTTAACAGCTTCACTCCAATGCCAACAAGCCCATTTCCTTTCCCATTTCTTCATTCTTCAAAGCCCAGTTCAAAAGATGCTGCAATATTTGCCAGGAACCCTTCCCAATACATTCACTCTCCCCAGAACATTAATCTCCACCCTCTGGTCCACTCCCACCTGCCACCAACAGCACCTTAAGCACATTCCTTTGTATTACAATTATTTATTTATTAATTTGTATTGATTGATTTTTTTTGAGAAAGGGTCTTACTCTGGTGCCCAGGCTGGAGTGCAGCGGCATGATCACAGCTCACTGTAGCCCCAACGCCCACGGGCTCAGATGATCCTCTCACCTCAGCCTTCTGAGTAGCTGGGACTACAGGGATGCACCACTATGCCCGGCTAACTTTTGTATTTTTTGTACAGATGGGGTTTTCCCATGTTGCCCAGGCTGATCTCCAGCTCCTGGGCTCAAGTGATCTGCCCACTTCAGCCTCTCAAGTGTTGAGATTACAGGCATGAGCCACTGTGCCCAGCCACAATTACTTATATTTACAGTTTACCTCCTTAACTGAATTCATTATAGGCAAGTTCCATGTTTTGTTGTTCTATTCCTCCACTTGAAAATAGTGTGGGGAAAATGTCCTTAAAGGTTTGCAGCATTACTTTATATATTTTAATTAGAGATTAAAACTAGAACAATGACACAAAAGATATGGCCTAAGTATAATTATCTCTGGTGTACATATTATTTTTCTCTAATAAGGAACAATAAACTCCCCATAAATACCAGTAAGAATCATTTTTAAACTAAGTCAAATCCCCCCACCCAAAACTGAGATTAAAGTATCTTCTGGATTAGAAGAGAAGTTAATGACTAAAGCTTTTTCTATCTGAACATCTGGCTCCAATAGTCAAGAAATGAATTCAGGAATTAATCTCTATTCATCAAGAAATAAGTATAATGAACACACATAGACAAAGTCACATGGATGCTTCCAACACTTTACAGATTTCCAAATTTTATGATAATTCAG